>NW_018654717.1:5161204-5462785 GCF_000001405.40 Homo sapiens
TTTATTTTAGGATGTTGTTTATCCAAACCTCTTAAATGATACGTGTTTGGAACAAGTAACAGCATCGTTCATTGATGTTGTGGACAAACCACTATTTTGTTACTCAAGACTGGGTAATTTATAAAGAAAAAGAGGTTTAATGGGCTCACAGTTCCATGTGGCTGAAGAAGTCTCGAAATCATGGTGGAAGGCAAAAGGAATGTCTTACATGGTGGCAGACAAGAGTGATGAGAGCTATTTTGCTCATTGTTCGCTGGCCATAGAATTTACTTCTATATTGTGAACTGAGAGCCAGGCACACAAGACGGTTACAGGTCTGTCTTTTGTTTTTGATGATGATGATGATGATGATGATGATGATGAAATGGCTGACATGGTTGATGACTTGCTTTTTCTCATCATCTCAGACCTAGATTTTTGGCTGGACTATTGGCTTGGGATAGATGAAAATCATTCCTTGTATCCCCTTATCTTAAAGTCAAGACTGAACCAGCCTCCAGACTCAAGCTTTCATGGGACTTCAGATACCATGACGAATGGGTGTCCCTGCAATATTGTCATGGCTGTCAAAAGTGTTATTGGAGCTGGGCAAGTGGGCGCTCTCCTGTCATTCCATCCTCCTTAGATTTCCCATTCAACACCAATCTTATTTCCTTTTTTTTTTTATTTTGACAGTCTCGCTCTGTCTTCTAGGCTGGAGTGCAGTGGTGGGATCTCGGCTCACTACAGTGTCCACCTCCCAGGTTTAAGTGATTCTTGTGCCTCAGCCTCCCAAGTAGCTGGGATTGCAGGTGCACACCATCAAGCCTGGCTCATTTTTTTTTTTTTCTTTTTGTACTTTTAGTAGAGAAAGGGTTTCGCCATGTTGGCCAAGCTGCTCTTGAACTCCTGACCTCAAGTGATCCACCTACCTCGGCCTCCCAAAGTGCTGGGATTACAGGTGTGAGTCACCGTATCTGGCCCCATTTCCTCTTATACCATAAGTCATTGCCTGAAGATGTGTTTTCTCCATTAGTTTGCAAAAGCTTCCTGAGAGTAGGTCTGTGCCTCATTTATTCTGGAATCTCCCTGGCACAAAGCACAGGGCTTTATCTTCAGTAGGCATCCAACAAATGTTTCATTTCATTCAACAGCTCCTCTTACCACTGCCTCCACCTTATTTGCAGGTGGCTAAGTACAATCGGAACAAGTAGGTATCATAAGATTTAGTCCAGAGTCAATTTGAGAAGAAATTACTTTAGTGATATGAAAATAAACCATGCTATTGAGTCAGAATACTTCTGAGAATATCCCCTGTCCAAGCATTTGCTGAATTTCTATGTACTAATTTTCAGGTGGAACAGTATGCTTGCAGAGGGTCCATTTGGACATAGATACACTTTCATACATTCATGTCTTTAACAAGAATTTGTGTCCCTACTGTGTTTGTTCACTAACTCCTTTGAACCTACCACATAAGCTATATCTGTATTTTCCTTGTAATTTGGGAGGTCCAGTGCTTCATTACGCTCATATGCCTGAAACTAATGAAGAAAATAGCTCGTTAACCAGCTAGTATAAAAGTAGCCACCAAATCAAGTCAATCACCTGCCTTAAATTAGCCCAGTACTCCCATCTTGAGCGGAGAAGCCCATTCTGAATCACAGTCAAGACATTGATGGAAAAACAACTCCCTCTGGGGATCAAAACCACGCTCACTCCAAATCCTCCTCCCCAGAGTTCTACTCATTGCTCACCCACTGAACCCAGAACTAACCAGAAGTGCTTGAAATGAGGACGGGTAGCTCCATGTACCAATCGGAATTTAAAACTCTATCAATTCCTGCTATAGAAATGAGGCTTCTCCCCAGGACCAGCATTCCACGAAGGCAGCCCTTTTCTAGATGGAGAAAACAGAACCTGAAGACACCCGTTTCCCTAAACTGCTCTCGCTCATGTGTAAGTACAAATGAAAAATGGTGAGGCTGCTTCTGTTGGCATTGCTTTTTAATTATGGCCATCAATAAATCATTTTGTCCTTGAACAAGACTTGAGAATGACCCGAAGGCAGAGGCACAATTCCTTAGGAATTAGGCCAACAGAGAATGGGCTATCTCTCTTCCCACCCCTTCTCTTACTCTGCTGTCAGAAACAGAAACGTTCTCTGTGAGTAGCTGGGAGTAGACGGCCACACTTGAGTTCCATCTCGGGGTTCTGTTAACACAGTTTTACCCCATCCTGCCTCGATGGCCACTGCCACACAAGCTGCATCTGTTCTTTCTTCTGCGCCTTTTGTTACTTCATTGTTTTTCCTCTTTCTAGTGTAGTGAGCTGAATGGTGGCTTTGCACAATATATATCCAGATCCTTGTGCCTAGAATCTGTGGAGGTGGCATTATTTGGAAAAAGGGTCTTTGCAGATGTAATTAAGTTAAGGATCTCGAGATTATCCTGGAGTAATTTAGGTAGGCTGTACATCTAAAGACAAGTGTCCTTATAAGAGGACACTTTTGTCCCGGCGCAGTGGCTCATGCCTGTAATCCCAGCACTTTGGGAGGTCGAGGCGGGTGGATCACCATAGGTCAGGAGTTTGAGACCAGCCTGACCAACATGGAGAAACCCCATCTCTACTAAAAATACAAAATTAGCCGGGCATGTTGGCGCATGCCTGCAATCCCAGCTACTGGGGAAGCTGAGGCAAGAGAGTTGCTTGAACCCAGGAGGAGGAGGTGGCAGTGAGCTGAGGTCATGCCATTGCACTCCAGCCTGGGCAACAAGAGTGAAACTCCATCTCAAAAAAAAAAAAAAAAAAAAAGGACACCCTTTTTCTGGCGCGTCCGTGTGAAGAGACCACAAAACAGGCTTTTTGTGAGCAATAAAGCTGTTTATTTCACCTGGATGCAGGTGGGCTGAGCCCAAAAAGAGAGTCAGCGAAGGGAGATAGGGGTGGGGCCATTTTATAGGATTTGGGTAGGTAAAGGAAAAAGGGGGGTTCTCTGGCAGGCAGGAGTGGGGGTCACAAGGTGCTCAGTAGGGGAGCTTTTGAGCCAGGATGAGCAAGGAGAAGGAATTTCACAAGATAATGTCATCAGTTAAGGCAGGAACAGGACATTTTCATTTATTTTGCGGTGGAATGTCATCAATTAAGGCAGGAACCGGCCATCTGGATGTGTACATGCAGGTCACAGGGGATATGATGGCTTAGCTTGGGCTCAGAGGCCTGACGTTCCTGTCTTCTTATATTCATAAGAAAAATAAAATGAAATAGTGGTAAAGTATTGGGATGGTGAAAATTTTTGGGGGGTGTTATGGAGAGACAATGGGCGATGTTTCTCAGGGCTGCTTCCAGTGGGATTGGGGTGGCATGGGAACCTAGAGTAGGAGAGATTAAGCTGAAAGAAGATTTTGTGGTAAGGGGTGATATTGTGGGGTTGTTAGAAGAAACATTTTTCATTTAAAATTATTGGTGATGGCCTGGATACAGTTTTGTATGAATTGAAAAACTAAACAGAATAAGAGAAGGAGAAAAACAGGTATTAAAGGACTAAGAATTGGGAGGACCTAGGACATCTAATTAGAGAGTGCCTAAGGAGGTTCAGCATAGCCTTGCCAGCAAAGATTATTTAAGAGTTAAGAGTGGTGGTTTGGGGATAGCACCAGGAGATGTCAGCTGTGATGGCTTGGAGAAACAGTGTAAACCACCAGTGTAAACAAGAGCAGGGCATATATGAGTAGTTGAGAATGGTGAATAGGAGTATGGCTAGACAGAAGATAGTAGGGATGAGAAGTTTTTTGGGGCACAGTCCAAGTTGGTCTTGTGTCTGGAATGAGACTGGAGCCTAACAAAAAGGAGTGTCTATACAGGAGATCCAAGGGGTATCGGGGGACCTGCCCCGATAATCACGTAGGTTCTTCTCTATTTTCCTAAGCATTGACTGGCTTGAGAAATAAAAGGACAGAGTACAAAAGAGAGAAATTTTAAAGCTGGGCGTCCGGGGGAGACATCACACATTGGTAGGATCCATGATGCCCCACAAGCCACAAAAACCAGCAAGTTTTTATTAGGGAGTTTCAAAAGGGGAGGGAGTATACGAATAGGTGTGGGTGACAGACATCAAGTACTTAACAGGGTAATAGAATATCACAAGGCAAGTGGAGACAGGGCGAGATCACAGGACCACAGGACCGAAGTGAAATTTAAATTGCTAATGAAGTTTTGGCACCATTGTCATTGATAACATCTTATCAGGAGACAGGGTTTTGAGATCAACCGGTCTGACCAAAGTTTATTAGGCGGGAATTTCCTCTTCCTAATAAGCCTGGGAGCGCTATGGGAGACTGCAGTTTATTTCACCTCTGCAATCTCGACCTTAAGAGACAGGTAAGCCCCGGGGGGCCAGTTCAGAGACCTACCCCTAGGTGCGCATTCTCTTTCTCAGGGACGTTCCATGCTGAGAAAGGAATTCAGTGATATTTCTCCCATTTGCTTTTGAAAGAAGAGAAATATGGCTCTGTTCTGCCGGGCTCACCAGCGGTCAGAGTTTAAGGTTATCTCTCTTATTCCCTGAACGACTGCGGTTATCCTGTTCTTTTTTCAGGATGTCCACATTTCATATTGCTCAAACACACATGCTGTACAATTTGTGTACTTAACGCAATTATTACAGGGTCCTGAGACGATATACATCCTTCTCGGCTGACAGGATTAAGAGATTAAAGCAAAGACAGGCATAGGAAATCACAAGGATATCGATTGGGGAAGTGATAAGTGTCCATGAAATCTTTACAATTTATGTTTAGAGATTGCAGTAAAGTCAGGCATAAGAAATTACAAAAGTATTAATTTGGGGAACTAATAAATGTCCATAAAATCTTCACAATCCACGTTCTTCTGCCATGGCTTCAGCCTGTCCCTCCGTTTGGGGTCCCTGACTTCCTGCAACAAATGGGCTGTACCTTGTAGCATTCCAAGGACAGGCCGGAATTCTGAGAAGGGAAAGTGGTAAAAGTATTGTCCAGTCGTTTTTAAGTTGGTGGCTGAGCTTGGTAAGGTGTGTTTTTAAAAGACCATCAGTCTGTTCTACCTTTCCTGAAGATTGAGGACTGTAAGGGATATAAAGGTTTCACTGAATACTAAGAGCCTGAAAAAATGCTTGGCTGACTTGATTACTAAAGGCAGGTCTGCTATCGGACTGTATAGAGGTGGGAAGGCCAAACTGAGGAATTATGTCTGACAGAAGAGAAGAAATGACCGTGGTGGCCTTCTTAGACCCTGTGGGAAAGGCCTCTACTTATCCAGTGAAAGTGTCTACCTAGACCAAGAGGTATTTTAGTTTCCTGACTCGGGGCACGTTGAGTAAAGCTAATTTGCCAGTCCTGGGTGGGGGCAAATCCCTGAGCTTGATGTGTAGGGAAGGGAGGGGGCCTGAAGAATCCCTGAGGAGTAGTAGAATAGCTGATGGAACACTGAGAAGTTATTTCCTTGAGGATAGATTTCCACGATGGAAAGGAAATGAGAGGTTCTAAGAGGCGGGCTAGTGGCTTGTACTATAGCATACCCTGCTTTTGCTGGTGTGTGGCAATTAGGCCTGGTGGAACTGCCATCAATAAACTAAGTGTGGTAAGGGTGAGAAACAGGGAAGAAGGAAATGTGGGGAAATGGGGTGAACGTCAGGTGGATCAGAGAGATGCAGTCATGAGGGTCAGGTGTGGTATCAGGAATAATGGGGGAGGCCGGATTGAAGTCTGGGCCAGGAACAATGGTAATTGTGGGAGACTCAACAAAGAGTGAGTACAGCAGAAGGAGCCGGCGAGCAGAATGTATATGTGGCAGGTGTGAGGAAGACAATAGATTTTGGAAATTATGAGAGCTGTAGAGAGTGAGTTGAGCATAGTTTCTGATTTTAAGGGCCTTTAAAAGTATTAGGGTGGCAGCAGCTGCTGCACGGAGACACAACGGCCAACCTAAAACAGTAAGGTCAAGTTGTTTGGACAAAAAGGCTACAGGACGCCATCCTGGTCCTTGTGTAAGAATTTCAACTGCACAGCGCTGCACTTCGGCTGCGTGTAATGAAAAGGGTTGGGATGAGTCACGGAGAGCTAGTGTAGCAGGACGAGTTCCAGACAAAACTCCTCAGACACTAGATTAAAGAAGGAAGAGGTTTTTTTATTCGGCCGGGAGCGTTGGCAGACTCGTGTCTTAAGAGCCGAGCTCCCTGAAAAAGAAATTCCTAGCCCTTTTAAGGGCTGACAACTCTAAGGGTTCTACGTGAAAAAGTCATAATAGATCAAGGAAGCTTGAGGAACATGACTGGGGGCTACATACATCAGCTAACAGAACAAAAAGTTTTTACAGTGCTTTCTCATACAATGTCTGGGATTTACCGATAACAACAGTAGTTTTGGTCAGGGGTTAATATTATTGTTACTTTAACCACCAGGGCCAGGTGGTGGCGCCAAAGTCGTCTAGGTATTTATTTTACTTCTGTTTTTTCCAGCTTTTTGCTTTCTCCCTTTTTTGCTGTCTTATAAACTAGGGAAAAGGGGAGGTTGGGGAGAAACTGGGAAGGACAACAGGAGAAGTGGTGGTCTCATACCATATTTTCCCCCTTTGAGCATTTTCACTTTTTAGTGGGAGTTCTCACTCTCATCTTTACTTTTTGAGTCTCTTTGTGAGATAGAGCGATAGTGATTTATATAACACACGTGTGCTGAAGTTTTCTGATGAACCAAAGTAGCAACAAAATCTTTTATCATTTGAAAAAGCAAGAGTAATACACAGGGGAGCAGCAAGTAAGTTCCTATCACTAGCAATACACCTACAATGAGGGTTTTAAATCCTCCTATAGCTGGAAACCATTTTTCAAATAAAGACTCAGGATTAAACTCGTGCCAAACCTCTACAGGCACATGTGCAACCTTTGTCATGTCCCTGACTATGTTTTTAACCATCTGTCCTTGATCATTTATTTGTAGGCAGCAGTTGGTTAAGTTAAATTTTCCACAAACTCCTTCAGCTACTAGCAAGTAGTCTAAGGCCAGTCTTTTCTGATAGATAGCATTCCTCATTTGGGTTTCTTGCAAAGCTAAAACAGTCAAAGCTCTGCCAGTTTCATTAGTAATTATTTCTTAGACGGACTGCAACCGTATGATCCAGTTGAGCATGTAGATGGGGGTTTGGTATCCCCATGAGCCATCTTGTGCCCCTGTGGCAGGCCCATAATACTGAATGATCCTTTCAGGGGGCCACTCATTATCTTTCCAGTTTCCTATAACTATGCCTTTATTTTCTCAGGAGGCATAGACAGGGAAACCTATGAGCTCACCCATTTTTATGGGTAATAAGAAAAAGGACGGCTTAATAGTGCCAATAACACAACTGTCTGCCCATTTATTAGGTAACCGAATGTAGGCTCTGTGCCTACGTATCTAGTATAGTCCAGTGGGAACCGTCCAGTCCTAATGAGATTCTGCATGAGCCTAAGCAGTTTTTAATTTAGAAAATTTACTAAATGGATTCTTTTCAGTGTGGGTTAGGCCCTACTAAGTAATTGTCTTTGTTGTGCTGTTATACAACTTCTGTCCTATACAATTAAGCTTTCCTACAGGGATGATAAAGTCTTTCCCTTCTCTAGCTATACAGTATTGTCTAATAATTGAGGTTTTAGGACCTAGAAGTTGCTAGCTTGGGCCTTCTGAACTGGAATTATATCAGGAGCTGGATCAGTAGACACCAACTCTCGGGCTTCCGAAGGCCATCTGTCTCCGATAGTGGTTCCTCCGCATACATAACAAGAAGTAACATTAAGGGAATTAGCTACATTTTCTGCTAATTGGAGAAACAAATTTTTTGTCTTTTTCGGAAGTTCTGGTGTTGGCAGATTCAGCTCCTCATAAAACGTTTGAAATACTGTTTTGGGAGAGCACTTGTGGACCTCCCCTCTAATTAAAATGGCAACTTGAGGGTTTAACCCTGTCCTATTGATCCCCAGGGTTACGCGTTCTCCCTTTTTCCAAAGGGGATCTAGGGGATTGGTAATTATTAGTTCTAGTGGGTTACAGTGACCGGCGGCCCAGGAGGGGTTGGCTTCTCCCTTCTGAAGATAAACCGAGTCATTTTTGTTCTTTTTTTAAGTAGCCTAAATAACACATGGCCAATAGGCACAATTTTTACAAACCCCTGACTCATGACAAACATATTTATTTTCTACTCTTTAGCTCCTTTCTCAGTTAAGAGAACCATATCCTATTTCTAGCTTTTTACTATTAATGGCTGCACAAGCATCAGATCTTAAAGTTATTTGCTTGGGGATTTCTTTTTCTTCTGTTCTAGTTATTATTTTACTTGTATCACCTAGCAAAAGGCCAGTTCTTATTTCAAAAACGGTGGTTGCAGGGGGCTCAGATGGGCTATAACACGCATCAGGTCGGTCATTTCTCGGGCTACATACCTTGTACTGAGTGGCATTATACAAACAAGTTTCTTTTAATGTTTCCATACATTCATAATAACTATAGAACAGAAAGATTGTTTTAATTTGCTGTCCTACTTCGGTGACCTGATAAATACACTGGGAACAGTCCCCATTTTGAGTAAGGTTAGTTGAAGCCCTTACTGTATAAGTCCAAAATTTAAGAAAAATGAATCTAACGATGAGCTTCCTCGTGCTTCGGCCATGCGTGGACCAGTCAGCTTCCAGGTGTGACTGGAGCAGGGCTTGTCGTCTTCTTCAGGGTCACTCTGCAAGGGTTGTCTGGGCTTGGTCTTGCCTCCCAGGTTTCCGGCGCTGCAGGTTTTACACAGCTGTGGTGGTTCCAGACTGGGATTCCTTCTACCTTCACAGCGGTGGGAGTGCTCAGGACGACAGTCTGGGGTCCGTTCCACAGTGGACACAAAGAGGCTACTTTCCAGTCCTTGATCCACACTCGATCACCTGGGGAGAAAGGGTGAACTGGGGAGAATAAACTAACAGGGCATCTCTCATTTACCCAGGCTGAGATTGTCTGTGTAATTTTTCCTAAAGCCTGTAGCTGTCGCTGTAACTCAATTTCACCTAACTCTCAGGGAGTGCCTGGAAGTCCCCGCAATATAGGAGGGGGCCTATGATATAATATTTCATAAGGGGAATATCCTGTTCTTTTAGAAGTGGTACATCTAATTTTAAATAATACCATAGGGAGAGCCTGTATCCATTTTAATCCTGTTTCCTGACATACTTTCCCTAAACTATTTTTGATAGTTCAATTCATTCGCTCCACCTTTCCAGAACTCTGAGGCCAGGAGGCAGCATGCAGTTTCCGTGTGATCCCCAATACCTTTGCCGCCTTCTGTACTAAGTCAGCCACAAACGCCGGCCCATTATCTGAACTGATCCATAAGGGCAGTCCAAATCTAGGAATAAGATCTCGAAGAAGCACATGAGTTACTTCATGAGCTTTCTCAGTTCGTGTTGGATAAGCTTCCACCTACCCAGGGTAGGTACGCCCAAGAACTAGTAAATACTTGTTACCTCTACACTTTGGCATCTCTGTGAAGTCCATCTGGAGCTCTTCAAAGGGGGCTGTTCCATAAGTTTGTATGCCGGGTGGAACGGCTGGACCCTGCCTCGCATTATGCTGTCGGCAGGTAACACACCACTGCGTCAACGTTTCGGCAAGGGCTGACAAATGCGAGATGTAGAAATACCAGCCTAACAACTTTTCAAGTGATTCCTAACCTAGATGGGTGGTTTCACGCACAGCCAGTACAACTGCAGCTCCTAGCAGCTGTGGCACAGCTACTCTCCCATCCGGTAACCGAATTCATCCTTCCTCCATCACTTGTCCTCTCTCTGCCTGGAGAAAGTCCTTTTCTTCTTTAGAATAAGTAGGTACCAGATCAGGTGCTTGAGGGAGCAGGGGGGTTGTGATTGATGCCCAGAAGGGGGCAGATGCTGCTTTTCGAGCCTCTAAGTCAGCGCAGGAATTCCCTAAACCCACCAAGGTGGAAGCTCGCTTGTGTCCTCTGCAATGCATAACTGCCACCTTGTGGGGTCTCCATACGGCTTTTAATAATTGCAAGATTTATTGTTGATATTTTATGTCTTTTCCCCCAGAGTTCAATAAGCCCTTTTCTTTATATAATGTTCCATGCATTTGAAGGGTTGAAAAGGCATATTGAGAGTGAGTGTAAATGTTGACATTCTTAGCTTCACTGAGTTCTAAGGCCCGAATGAAAGCAATGAGTTCAGCTTTCTGAGCTGAAGTGCCCTGGGGAAACGATCTGGCTTCAGCAACAGTGTCCAGAGTTACCACCGCATAGCTTGCACATCTCTCTCCCTGTGGGTTGATGAAGCTGCTCCCAGCCACGTGTAGTTCCTAGTCTACTGATGCCTAAGGCTGTTCCTGGAGGTTAGGTCTGCTAGAGTAAACTGAGTCCAACACTTCTACACAGTCATGCTCGACAGGGCTCTCTGATACTGGGAGCAAGGTAGCGGGGTGTAGGGTGTTACAAACCTCAATGGTTATGCGGGGATTTTCACAGAGCAAACTTTGGTACTTAGTGAGTCTAGCATTCATTAGCCAATGATGTCCTTTAGTATTCATGAAAGTCACCACAGCATGGGGGGCCTTTACGTTCAGGTTTTGTCCAAGAGTCAGCTTATCTGCTTCTTGTACTAGCAGGGCAGTTGCTGCCAAGGCCCTCAAACAAGGGGCATCCTTTAGAAACCCCGTCTAGTTGTTTAGAGAGGTAGGCCACCGGCCTTGGCCAGGGCCCCACAGTTTGGGTTAAAACACCAACTGCCATCTTTTCTCTTTCTGACACATACAATGGAAAAGGCTTTATTAGATCGGGTAGCCCCAGGGCTGGGGCTGACATAAGTCTTTCCTTTAACTCATGAAAGGCTTGCTGTTGCTGGCATCCCCATTCAGAAAGTTCCCGGTCCCCCCACTTTGTGACCTCATACAAAGGCTTGGCTAATACTGCAAAGTTTGGGATTTACAGTCTGCAAAACCCCACAGCCCTTAAAAATGCTCTCACCTGCCTTCTGGTCTTAGGCTCCGGTAGATTGCAAATGACCTACTTTCTTTCTGATCCTAGGCTGCTCTCCCCCTGTCGGATAGTAAATCCTAAGTAACGTACCTGCTGTCGGCAGATCTGAGCTTTTTTCTTGGACACCTTATACCCACAGTCCTCCAGGTGCCGCAGTAGAGCATCTGTTCCCTTGGCGCACCCGACTGCCGTGGGGTGTCCCAGCAAAAGATCATCAACCTACTGGAGCAACACGCAGTCTAGGTCTCTGGTGGGAAACTTCTGGAGGTCTCGAGGCAATGTCTCCCCGAAGATAGTGGGGGAGTTCTTGAACCCTTGGGGAAGCCGGGTCCAAGTGTACTGAGTAGTGACACCTGACTCCGGATCTTCCCACTGAAAGGCAAACAGCTTCTGGCTCTCAGGGGCTAATCTGATGCTAAAGAAAGCATCTTTCAGGTCCAAGCAGGTGAAGCAGCTGTCCTCAGCTGGCAGCAACCCCAGCAATGTGTACGGGTTAGGTACTGCTGGATGTAAAGTCACTGTAGCCTGATGAAGCAAGCGCAAATCCTGTACCGGCCTGTAGTCCTTGGTCCTAGGCTTGGGAACAGGCAGGAGGGGAGTGTTCCATGGAGACTGACAAGGAACTCTAATTCCAAAAGTTCTTAGGTGCTTGAGATGGACCTGGATACCTTCAAGAGCTTCTCTGGGGACCGGCTCCTGTTTTTGCCTAAATGGCTGGGCCCTAGGCTTAACTTCTATAAGTACGGGGGCTTGGTTGACTGCCAACCCTGGAGGGTTGTCTTCCACCCGTACTCTTGGCCACCGCTTAGCCAGAGCTGGTCTTATCTCTTGGCCCGGCTCAGTTAAGAAAAGTCTCCATTCCTCCTCTCGGGGGACGGTAAGGGTCATAATGACTCCCGTTCCGGGTAACTTTAGCAGCGAAGAGCCATGCTCTGTAAAAGAGATAGTGGCTCTCTGTTTGCTAAGCAAGTCCCTTCCCAATAAGGGCAAGGGACAGTCAGGCGTGGACAAAAACTGATGAATCACTTTATGTCCTCCTACAGTACAAGTCCAGGGCAAGCAGAAACTTGCTTTGCGGAAACCCCTGTGGCTCCGATGATGTCAATAATCTTTTTGTATAAGGGGGCGACCGGGGCGGTTACTACCGAATGTTTAGCACCAGTATCTACAAGAAAATCAATGTCTTTACCCCTAACTGTCATCCTGAACATAGGCTCTTTCGGGGTCCTTGAGCCCGGTCCCCCTCAGTCCAATAACCCTTCTGCCAGGTTGAGCAGGGCCCCTTTCTCCTTGTCTGGAGCCTCTTGCTCCGAATCACCTTGTTTTCTTTTTAGCTGAGGGCATTTGCTCTTCCAATGTCCTATTTCTTTACAATAAACACACTGATTACGCTGCAACCTTTGACAGCCAGGCTGAGTTTCTTTCCCGGGGCCCCCCTTCCCTTGCCTCTTTTGGGGGACCCCTCTGTTTGCTGCCGCTAACAGGTCGGCGTTTCGCTGGGCCTGACGTTCCTTCTCTCTGCAGTTTTCCTTATGGCTTACTGCATCCCTGTTTACAAACACCTGGTTAGCTACTTCTAATAACTGTGATGTGTTCATCCCTGCAAACCCAGCCTGTTTCTGCAGTTTTCTTCTAATGTCTTCTGCGCTTTGACTAACTAAAGCCATGTTAATCATGCATTGATTTTCAGGGCTATCGGGATCAAAGGGTGTATACATACCATAGGCATCACACAGTCTCTCCTAGAATTGTGCTGGACTTTCTTCTTTTCTCTGAATGACCTCAGAGACCTTGTTAACATTTGTGGCCTCCTGGGCTCCCCTCTTTAATCCTTCCAAGAGAGCTTCCCTGTATCGGTTTAGCCTTTGCATATCCTCTCTTTCATTTGGGTCCTTCTGGGGGTCGGTTCCAGTAACTGGGTCCTTACATACTCTTGGGGGTTTTGGTAATCAGCCGGTGCATGTTCCTCTAGCCACTTAGTTGCTGCTTCTAGCACTCTCCATTTTTCATCTGTGTTAAAGAGGAACATGTGCAGCTGGTGACAATCAGTCCAAGTGGGGTTGTGGGTCTGGATATTAGTTTGGAGCAAATCAATTAGAGCTTGTGGCTTTTTGGTATAGGATGGGGTACTATTTTTCCAGTTGAGAAGGTGGGCAGAGGTGAAGGGCTGGTACACAGAAACACGCCTCCCCACCACATGACCATCCTCATCTATCCCTGTATACCGCTGCTCTCTCAGGAGCATTTGGATCCCCGTTTTGGGTCTTAAACGAGCTGCCAAGGGAGGGGTTCCTCCCGAGTCCTCACCTCTTCTTTTGTATACTCTGGATTGCCTAGGGATATGTTTGTCTTGTGGAGGCCCAAGCACTGTGGACTCAAAAGTGGGGAGCCTTTCTCCCTGGTAAGGGGAGGGCACCACTGGGATCACTGGTGCCATCTCCTGCAATGCATGTTCTGCTGTTGGGTTGAACAGATCTTCAGGTGTTGATTTCCCTCGGCGGGTGGAGCACGATCCTTCCTTGGCTATCTGTCCCTACGCTACTAGCACTGCTGCTGCCTGCCCTCTTAGCCACTGTGGGGGGTTTAGCATCAGCTGTAACCAAGTGTCTATGTATGGAAACTGGTCTGAGTGTCCTGACTTACCAATTACCTTGTGCCATACCTTAGAAACAAGGGACCTGCCCAGGCTTCCTTCTGATGGCCAACCCACTTCTAAAGCTGGGCAATCTATTTCACACAAAGTTCTAAATTTCCCTGGTGTCATAGTAACCCTATAGTCTCCATTAAATCCTTTCTTAAAATTTTTCATCATAGTTCCTAGCAGAGTAGGCTTACTTTGTGTCTGACCCACGTTTCCTCGAGACAAAACACCAAGCTCACACCACACGCACACCACAGAACAAAGAATGAGTAAAAAGGGCACACACACACTTTTTCAGTTTTCACCAAACCAGAATCAAAACCAAAATCGGAGTATCCAGAAATCCAAGCCAGGTCAAACCAAAACCAAAGTATCAAGCAATTCAATTCAAGTCAAAAACAAAAACCAAAGTGCCAGTACAGGCACGCCGTGGGTGATCAGGCCACACTTCCACTCAAATAGAGTGGGCAAGTTCCAAAGACCAGTCTTACCAAGTTTCAAATGTCCAGACTCCAAGTGCCTGTTCCTTCCCGGTGTTCACCCACTATGTTGATCCTCCACCGGGGCCTACCACACACTGCTCTGACGAGGCATTCCACCGGGTCAATTGCCTACCCAGGAGAGCTCTCAGGATCCGCGTCGCTCAAACTGGCAGGAGTCCCCCGCAGGGATGCTCCACAGGGCAGGCCTAAGCCGCCTAAAGGGCTGCCTCAACTGCCGTCAATTACCTCGCTTCCCGGTCAGGGAACCAAGACTAGGGTGGGGGCAGTCTTTAAAGCTGTCTTCAAGGAACAGAAAGAGGAGTGGGGAAAGGATTTAGGATCTATGGGGTCAGCTAGGTTTCCTTTTGTGAGTTTATATAATGGTTTTGTTAGGATGGCAAAACCAGATATCTAAAGGTGAAAGTATCCAACCATGCACAGGAAGGAAAGGAGTTGTTGTTTTGTAGAAGGGGTTGGGGTTTGAGAGATGAGTCACACACGATCGGCAGAGAGAGCACGTGTGTTTTTATGAGAATTATGCTGAGATAGGTAACAGATAAGGGAGAAATTTGGGCTTGACTGAAGTAATGGGGGCTGTCTGTGAAGCTTTGCGACAGTACAGCCCAGGTAATTTGCTGAGCTTGATGGGTGTCAGGGTCAGTCCAAGTGAAAGCGAAGAGTGACTGGGATGAAGGGTGCAAAGGAATAGTAAAGAAAGCATGTTTGAGATTCAGAACAGAATAATGGGTTGTGGAGGGAGGAACTGAGGATAGGAGAGTATATGTGTTTGGCACCTTGGGGTGGATAGGCAAAACAATTTGGTTGATAAGGCACAGATCTTGAACTAACTTGTAAGGCTTGTCTGGTTTTAGGACAGGTAAAATGGGGGAATTGTAAGGAGAGTTTATAGGCTTTAAAAGGCCATGCTGTAGCAGGTGAGTGATAACAGGCTTTAATCCTTTCAAAGCATGCTGTGGGATGGGATATTGGCATTGAGAGGGGTAAGAGTGATTAGGTTTTAATGAGATGGTAAGGGGTGCATGATAGGTTGCCAAGGAGGGAATAGAGGTATCTTCTACTTGTGGGTTAAGGTGGGTGGCAATGAGATGTGGCTGTAGTCCAGGAATAGTCAGGGAAGCAGATAATTTAGTTAAAGTGTCTCAGCCTAATAAGGGAACTGGGCAGGTGGGGACAACTAAAAAGGAGTGCTTAAAAGAGTATTGTCTAAGTTGGCACCAGAGTTGGGGAGTTTTAAGAGGTTTAGAAGCCTGGCTGTCAATACTCACAACAATTATGGAGGGAAGGGAAACAGGCCCTTGAAAAGAAGGTAATGTGGAGTGGTTAGCCTCCGTATTGATTAAGAAGGGGATGGACTTATCCTCCACTGTGAGAGTTACCTAGAGCGTCTGTGATGGTCCTGTAGGCTTCCGAGGTGATCTATCAGGCAGTGTCAGTCTTCAGCTGCTAAGCCAAGAAGATCTGGGAAGGAATCAGTCAGAGAGCCTTGGGCTGGAGTTCCAGGGGCTCTAGGAGTGGCTGCCAGGTGAGTTGAACAGTCCGATTTCTAGTTGGGTCTCGCACAGATGGGACATGGCTCAGGAGGAATCCCGGGCTGCAGGCATTCCTTGGTCTGGTGGCCAGATTTCTGGCACTTGTAGCAAGCTCCTGGGGTAGGTGGTTCTGGAGGAATGCCTGGCCACTGCGCTTTAGGCGTTTGGAAGTTCTTGTGTGCTGGAGATTTGGCTGGGCTTTGTCTCACAGTGGAGGCAAGGAATTGCAACTGAGAAATATGTTGCTGCTAGGCTGCCTCTACTCCATTATTGTACACCTTGAAGTTGAGGTTAATTAAGTCCTGTTGTGGGGTTTGAGGGCCGGAATTTAATTTTGGAGTTTTATTTAATGTCGGGAGCAGATTGGGTAATAAAATGTATATTGAGAATAAGACGGCCTTTTGACGTTTTAGGGTCTAGGGCTGTAAAGCATCTCAGGGTTGCTGCCAAACGAGCCATGAACTGGGGTGGATTTTTATATTTGATGAAAAAGAGGCTAAATGCTATCTGATTTGGGATAAAGAAAAAGGAGCATTAACCTTGACTATGTCTTTAGCTCCAGGCACCTGTTTAAGAGTAAATTGCTGGGCAGGTGGGGGAGGGCTAGTCACGGAATTAAACTGTAAGCCAGACCCAGTGTGAGGAGGGGAGGTGATAAAAGGATTATAGGGTGGAGAAGTGGAGGCTGAGGAAGAATTGGGACCTAGCTCAGGCTGGCCAGGATGGGAGAGGTCAGATGGGTCTGTAGAAAAGGAAGATTAGAAAGACTCAGCGACACTTGGGGTTGGGACTGAGGGGACAGGTGGGAGGGAAAGGAGGAAGATTTCGGATGAGTTGCACTGGGAACAGAGACTAGGGAGGGACCAATGTGTAAAAGAATGCCTGGACATCAGGCATCTCAGATCATTTGCCCATCTTATGACAAGAAGTATCTAGATCTTGTAGGATGGAAAAATTGAAAGTGCCATTCTCTGGCTATTTGGAACCACTGCTGAGTTTGTATTGGGGTCAAGTAGCATTGTAGAAGAAAATAAGGCATTTAGGTTTTAGGTCAGGTGTGAGTTGAAGAGGTTTTAGGTTTTGAAGAACACAGCTTAAGGGAGAAGAAAGGGGAATGGAAGGCGGAAGCTTGCCCATAGTGAAGGAGGCAAGCCTAGAGAAAAGAGAGTAGAGACATGGAGAGAAGGGGTGGAGGGTTCTTGCCTTCCAGAATAGAGGGAAAGGGTTGGGGGCACAGAAATAAAGGGTTGGGGTGCAGAGATAAGAGGTCAGGTTGTGGAAATAAGGGATCGGGACACAGAGATGAGGTCAGGGCATGGAAATAAGGGATCGGGGTGCAGAGATAAGAGGTCGGGGTTCCTGTCCCTCCCCCAGAAAAGTGGGACATGCTGCTAAGGGTGAAGGAGAAGGGGTTGAGGGGTTCTTGTCCCTCCCCCAGAAAAGCAGGTCTTGCTGCTAAGGGTGAAGGAACAAGGCAGGCATCCCTGCATGGTCTGACACCTCTGAAACCTCGGTGAATAATCAGAGAGGTGTCCCTGCAATGATTAAACACCAAGGAAAGGCTGCCTTCCCTAGTCCGTGACTGGTGCCAGAGTTTTGGGTCCACAGATAAAACGTGTCCCCTTTGTCTCTACCAGAAAATGAAAGGAATTGAAATTAAGAGAAGGGAGAGATTGAAGTGTGGTGCCAAGATTGGGAGGAGAAAGAGGTGGAGGGATAGTGAGGGAGGTTGGAGAAGAGAGTAAAAAGAAGCCGCTTACCAGATTTGAAATTGGTGAGATGTTTCTTGGGCTGGTCAGTCTGAGAACCTGAAGTCATAGGTGGATCTTTCTCACAGAGCAAAGAGCAGGAGGACAGGGGATTGATCTCCCAAGGGAAGTCCCTCGATCCCAGTCACGGCACCAAATTTCACATGCATCCATGTGAAGAGACCACCAAACAGGCTTTGTGTGAGCAGTAAAGCTGTTTATTTCACCTGGGTACAGGTGGGCTGAGTCCAAAAAGAGAGTCAGTGAAGGGAGATAGGGGTGGGGCAATTTTATAGGATTTGGGTAGGTAAAGGAAAAAGGGGGGTTGTTCTCTGGCAGGCAGGAGTGGGGGCCACAAGGTGCTCAGTAGGGGAGCTTTGGAGCCAGGATGAGCAAGGAGAAGGAATTTCACAAGGTAATGTCATCAGTTAAGGCAGGAACCGGCCATCTGGATATGTACATGCAGGTCACAGGAGATAATGATGGCTTAGCTTGGGCTCAGAGGACTGACACTCTTCCTCCAGAGGAGGAGACCCAGACAGAAGAGGAGGAGGCAAGGTGATCACAGAGGCAGAGATTGGATCATGCAGCCACAAGTTGAGGAATTCTAGTAGCCTCTACAAGCTGGAAGACGCAAGGAATGGATTCTCCCCTAGAACCTCTGAAGGAGCATTCTCCTGCTGACATTTGATTGATTTTGGACTTCTGGCCTCCAGACAATTAATTTTTTTTTTTTTTCTTTTTTTTTTTCAGACAGAGGCTTGCTCTGTTGCCCAGTCTGGAGTGCAGTGGCATGATCTCAGTTCACTGCAACCTCCACCTCCCAGGCTCAAGCCATTCTCTTGCCTCAGCCTCCCAAGAAGTGGGGACTACAGGTGCCTGCCACCATGCATGGCTAATTTTTGTATTTTTAGTAGAGACGAGGTTTTGGCATATTGGCCAGGCTGGTCTCGAATTCCTGGCCTCAAGTGATTCACCCAACTCAGCCTCCCAAAGTCCTGAGATTACTTAGGTGTGAGCCACGGCACCTGACACAGACATTGTTTGAAGCCACCCATTTCATGGTTCTTTGCTGCAGTGGTTGTGGAATATGAATGCACTCGTGCTGTTGGTTAGACTTTGCTGACCTTGTGTCTGTTATTCCCTGGCAGTTCTACAAGGCCTGGAGCTGATAGGAAAAACCTCCCTTCTTTCCCAAATGGTCCCCAGCTGCCCCGTTCACTGAAGGCCCTGCAGTCAGGAACGGTCAGGACTTCACACCCAGTTGTTGTGGGTGTTTGGCCGACACGACACTTCCTCTTGTGTGATTCATGGACCCGCAGCATTGCGTCACCTGGGAGCTTTTGGTATTGAAGACTCTCAGGGCTCACCCGGAAGGACCTGCTGGGCCAGAATCTACATTTTAACAAGATGCCCAGGTGATTTGCATACACGTTCAGATCTGAGAAGCGCTAGTAGGTGAGGCTTTAAGGTGGTAATTAGATCTTTTCTCCACCTGCAAGAATCTTAGTTTCTTCATGTTAAATCTATTAACTGTGGCAATGGCATGGGGGGTTATAAAACAAAACAAAATCCTTACATCAAGAATGCACCCTGGTGTGTTATGGATGTGGGTGAAATGAAATGTCTGGAATTTGCTTTAAAATATCCTAAAATAGCAAGAAGGAAAAGAAAAGTGGGAACTGGAATGAGATTGGCGAAATGTTGACAAGTTCTTGCAGTGGGATGATGGGTGCATGGGGGTTCATGGTGTAATTCTCTCCCTGATTTTTGTGCATATGGAAAATTTCCATAATGAAAAGTTAGAGGTCAGGCACGGTGGCTCATGCCTGTAATCTCAGCATTTTGGGAGGCTGAGGTGGGTAGATTGCTTTAACCTAGGAGTTCAAGACCATCCTGGACAACATGGTGAAATCCCATCTCTACTAAAAATGCAAAAATTAGGCATGGTGAAAACATGCCTGTAGTCATGTTGAGGTACGAGGTTGAGAACTGAGAATCACTTGAACCAAGGAGGCGGAGGTTGCAGTGAGCGGAGATCCAGTGAGCTGGAGATCACTCCAGCCTGGGTGACAGAGTGAGACTTGGTCTCAAAAAAATTTTTAATTTTCTTTTCTTTTTTTTTTGAGATAGAGTCTTGCTCTTTTGCCTAGGCTGGAGTGTAGTGGCGTGATCTTGGCTCACTTCAAGCTCCACCTCCCGAGTTCACTCCATTCTTCTGCCTCAGCCTCCAGAGTAGCTGGGACTATAGGCACCCAGCACCATGTCCGGCTAATTGTTTGTATTTTTAATAGAGATGGGGTTTCACCGTGTTAGCCAGGATGGTCTCAATCTCCTGAACTCGTGATCTGCCCACCTCGGCCTCCCAAAGTGCTGGGATTACAGCCATGAGCCATCGTGCCTGGCCTTAATTTGGTTTATTTTTTTTCTTTTTTGGGACAGGATCTGTAGCCCAGGCTGGAGTGCAGTGGTGCGATCCCGGCTCACTGCAGCCTCTACCTCCTGGGTTCAAGTGATCCTCCCACCTCAGCCTCCCGAGTAGCTGAGACCACAGGCATGTATTACCACACCTGGCTAATTTTTTCCCTTTTTCTAGAGGCAAGGTCTTGCTACGTTGCCCAGGCTGGTCTTGAACTCCTGAGTTCAAGCAGTCTTCCCGTCTCAGACTGGGAGTAATCCCAAAGTGCTGGGATTACAGGTGTGAGTCACTCTATCCAGCCTCAACTGTTTTTCATGACTCCACTTTTTCTCTCCTCTTGGAAATGTGTAGTCTTTGAGGGAATGTCATTTTGTCTCAATCTCTGGTTTCTTTGCTCAGTGCACCTGTGTTTGGGGCTTTGTTGATCTCCAGGCCTTTTTTCAGCAGCGTTGTCCCTGGAGAGCAGGATGGGAGCTGATGGCTTCTCAGCATCTTTTAACTCAGTTTAAAGATGACTATCAACAACATCTAGTCAGCATCTGTTGCTCTAGGCAACTGGGACTTCATTTCCTTTCTCTTTCTCCACCTCTCTAACCTCTTTAAGACTCTGTCTTTGTCATGGGTACAGCATCACCTGTGTGGCCCTTAGGCTCCCTTACTTACATGTGATCTGCATATTATGTCTTTACTTCAGGGCTTTTCAGCCAGGGGGTGATTTTGCCCCCCAGAGAACACGTGGCCATGTCTGGAGACAATTTTGGTGGTTGCGGCTGGAGGAGGTGGTGCTACTGGCAGCTAATGGGTAGAGGCCAGCGATGCTGCTAAGCATCCTACAATGCCCCGGACAACTCCCACTAAGACAAAAGAATGATCCAGCCCCAAATGTCAATAGTGCTGAAAGTGAGAGACCCTGATTCCATCTTAGAGATCATCCAAGCACACTTGGCCAAATTGTTTTTGCTACTGTCCCATGAAGAAAAGGCAGACTCATTACCGATGGCAACATCGATGGGAGTTTTGCTTAGCTCTTCTTTGTGGACTTTGGGATACGGTGTCTTACCATTTGTGCAAGTTGTGCATTGCTTACCTCCAGGGGGCGCCACCCACATATTTATGAAAATGCCACCCCGGGAGTTGCACAGTATATAGTCTATATGGAAATAAGCAGTTGCTCTGGTTTTGGGGTTATCCTGGGGTGCTCTGGAACTGGGAGGAACTTTATTTCTGGCCATTAGAGGCCCTGAGCATGATATTCAGTATCCTTTCAAGAAAGGAGAAATGTTGAACAGAGAGGACCTCATTTTTATAACTCTTGACCATCATCTAGTTACGGAGCATCCACTTTTCACCCCTGGGCCATAACCATTTGACGCATGAAAAATCATCAAATTATAATATCATGGCTTATACTTTTGATAGCTTCTGCCCGGAACATGGCGGTAAGAGCTTCTCATTTTCAATTGATTCATTGGGGGAGAAAATATACACGGCTGTCCTAAGACTTTCTATGACACACAATTTGCTTGACGGGATTTCTTTAGTTTCTGCAGCATAACTTATTCTAACTGGTCCTCAATCACTTTGCAATAAAACCTGAGATTGTGAAGATGTTCATTGTCATTACCAGTGACGGAGCAGTAAGTACAGAGTTCTGGAGAGGGAAGGAATCGAGAGAGTTAAACTAGCAGAATGAGCCGCTCACCCTCAGAATTGCTTTTAGTCTTGGTGAGAACTGAGGGGAATTTTGACAGGGTTCAGGGGGACTGCGGGGAGTGGGGCTGGGAGGTGGCTGTTTGCACATGTGGTCAGCAAATCCAGTGAGGCGGTCCATGTACTGTGGGCAGCCCCATAGATGGAGTTGGGATTGCCCTGGACTGAGTACTGTGTCATCAGTACTCAAGACATCAAGGCCCAGGCTGGTGCAGGAGACACATTGCACTGTGTCAGCCTTTCTTCTATCGCTCCTCTCCAATGATAGTTCCTGATTTTCCGCTGAGGAGTCACTAGTCCCCAACGGCATGTGTGCCACTGGCCATTCCCCACCCTGATCTGGATCTGGGGCATGTGGTCCCAGCCTGGATGCCAGTGTCCTTCCACCACCCTGGCCACAGTGATTGGGTCTGAGAAGCAGATTAGCCAAAGGAGAGACAATCTTGGAAATTTCATTTTCATGCTTAAGAAAGTAAAATGGAAAGCGGGGGGAGGGTGAGGGGGTCATTCTGATGATATAGTTTTAGGACCTGGATGTAGCCACACCTGTAGCTGTCACCTCTGTGCTATAGTACTGCTTTTTTTTTTCCTTCAAATTTAAATACTTTCTAAAGGCAAGGTCTTGCTATGTTGCTTAGGCTGGTTTTGAAAACTCCCTTTTGGGGGGATGCTTTCACTGCTTCACTTCCTTTCTATGAGAGCTCACGGAATCAGAAGACAAAGGAGATGACTTTTTTTTTTTTTTTTTTTTGAGACAGGGCTTGCTCTATTGCCCAGGCTGGAGTGCAGTGGTGCAATCACAGCTCGCCACAGCCTTGATCTTCTGGACTCAAGCGACCCTCCTGCTTCAGCCTCCTGAGTAGCTGGGACTGTAGGCCGCTACCCCCATGCCCAGCTAATTATTATTATTATTTTTTCTTTAGAAATGAGATCTCACTATGTCACCCAGGCTGGCCTCAAACTCCTGGGCTCAAGTGATCGTCCTGCCTTAGCTTCCCAAACTTACAGGTGTGAGCCCCCACACCAGTCAACGCTGTGGTCTTATGCACCTGGTGTCCCCTATGCCCTGAGCAATGATCCTCCTGCTTCAAACTCCGAAAGTGCTGGGATAACAGATGTGAAGCAGCATGTGTGGCCCACATAGTATTCTTATGGGTTAAATTGAGTCCTCCTCAAAACATGTTGAAATCCTAAATTCTAGTAGCTCAGAATGTGACCTTATTTAGAAATAGAGTTATTGCGGGCCGGGCGTGGTGGCTCATGCCTATAATCCCAGCACTTTGGGAGGTCGAGGCAGGCGGATCACCTGAGGTCAGGAGTTTGAGACCAGCCTGACCAACATGGAGAAACTCCGTCTCTACTAAAAATTCAAAATTAGCTGGGTGTGGTGGCACATACCTGTAATCCCAGCTACTAGGGAGGCTGAGGCAGGACAATCGCCTGAACCCACGAGGCGGAGGTTGCATTGAGCTGAAATCGTGCTATTGCACTCCAGCCTGGGCAAAAAGAGTGAAACTCCGTCTCAAAAGAAAGAAAGAAAGAGAGAGAGAGAGAGAGAGAGAGAGAGAGAGAGAGAGAGAGAGAAAGAAGAAAAAAAAGAAAGAAAGAAAGAAAAGAAAGAAAGAAAAAAGAAAGGAAGAAAGAAAGAAAAAGAAAAGAAAGAAAAGAAAGAAATAGGGTTATTGCAGACGCTATTGATTAGGATGAAGTCATCTTGGAGTAGGGAGGGCCCTAAGTCAACGACTGGTGTCCTTATAAAAGACGAGAGGACACGCCGAGTCACAGAGACACAGGGAAGGCGTCCATGGATTGGCCGGAAGATTGGACTGATGCGTATGCAAACCAAGAAACACTGAAGACTGCCAGGAGACCACAGGAAGGTAGGAAGAGGCAAGGCAGGACTCCCCGACAATCGCAGGAGGGAGCGTGGCCCTGCTGGCACTTCCATTTCAGACTGCTGGCCACCAGAGCCACAAGACAATCAGTTTCTCTGGTTTCAAGTCACGCAGCTTTTGGTACTTGGTTGTGGCAGCCCTAGGGAATGAACATAAGTACTTTCTTTTTTTTTTCTTTTTTTGAGACGGAGTCTCGCTCTGTTGCCCAGGCTGGAGTGCAGTGGCGCGATCTCGGCTCACTGCAATCTCCGCCTCCTGGGTTCACGCCATTCTCCTGCCTCAGCCTCCTGAGTAGCTGGGACTACAGGCACCGGCCACCACGCCCAGCTAATTTTTTGTATTTTTAATAGAGACAAGGTTTCGCCGTGTTAGCCAGGATGGTCTCCATCTCCTGACCTCGTGATCCGCCTGCCTCAGCCTCCCAAAGTGCTGGGATTACAGGCGTGAACCACCACGTCCGGCCGAATACAAGTACTTTTAAATTAACTCTCCTCTTCTCTCCATCTTCTTCTAAATCATCATTTTTGCCTAAGCAACAGCTAGGGTCTAATACAGATGTGACGACTCACTTCAAAGTGGGGGAAGCCCCCATGTGCACCCAAACCTCCTGCTGCCTTGGCCCAGGGTTCAGAGACTGGACCATCATTCTGGAGGCTTGCTGGAGATCTGAGCCAGGGCATCATTCTCTGTTGCCTTTAAACAAAGGCTGGTGCTCGCCCAGGCTCGTGAGCTCCACCGAGGATCTATTTGGAAGGCAGAATTCTGAGATGACCCCTTAGGTTCTTGCCCTGGATAAATGCCAGGTGTAATCTCCTCTCCCCTGGAGTGTAGGCAGGACCCGTGGCTTGCTTCTAATCTATACCTATGGAAAAGTTGAAGGGATTTTGCAGATGTAACTAAGCCCCTAATCCATTCACTTTGAGTTAATCAAAAGAGAGATTATTCAGGGTGGGCCTGACATCTTCAGGTGAGATCTTCAATGAGGGTCTGGAGGAGAGAGACTCCTTCCTCCTGGTTTTTGGTTTTTGTTTGTTTGTTTGTTTTTGACATGGAGTCTCACTCTGTTGCCCAGGCTGGAGTGCAGTGGCACGATCTCGGCTTACTGCAACCTCTGTCTCCTGGGTTCAAGTGATTCTCCTGCCTCAGCCTCCCAAGTAGCTGGGATTACAGGCGTGCACAATCATGACCGGCTAAGTTTTGTATTTTTAGTAGAGATGGGGTTTCACCATATTGGCCAGGCTGGTCTCGAACTCCTGACATCAGGTGATCCACCTGCCTCGGCCTCCGAAAGTGCTGGGATTACAGGCGTGAGCCACCATGCCTGGCTGGTTTTGAAGAAGCAAGCCACATGAGTTCCACAGTTGCATGGAAATAAATTCTGCCAACAACCATGTGAGGTTGGGAGAAGACCCCAAGCCTCATATGAGACACTAATTCCAGCCAACACCTTGATCACAACCTTGTAAGTACCTAAGCAGAGGGCCCAGCTAAACTGCACCCCCAGACTCCTGACCCACAGGAAAGGAGAGGTAATAGATGGATGTTTTAAGCTGCTAAATTTGTGTTGATTTGTTATGCAGCTTAGAAAATGAATACATCATTCCATTTTTAAAAAATCATAAGCTAATCACACCATTCGATTTCTTTTTTTTCTTTTTTCTTTTTTTTTCTTTTTTTTTTTTGAGACAGAGTCTCACTCTATCGCCCAGGCTTGAGTGCAATGGCGCAATCTTGGCTCACTGTAACCTCTGCCTCCCAGGTTCAAGTGATTCCCTTTCCTCAGCCCCCCAAGTAGCTAGGACTACAGGCAAGCACAACCAAACCCAGCTAATTTTTATATTTTTAGTAGAGATGGAGTTTCTCCATTTTGGCCAGGCTGGTCTCGAACTCCTGACCTCAAGTGACCTGCCTGCCTCAGCCTCCCAAAGTGCTGGGGTTGCTGACATGAGCCACCGCACCTGGCCTGACACACCATTCAGTTTTAATGAACTTCCAGGTGCTGTGGCCACGCCCCTCTTGTGTGGCATGCAGGTTGGGAGAGATGGGTTGGAAGATGACTGGATGGGGGCATGGAGCTAGGTGGGAAGAGGAAAAGTGTCTTGAAGGAAGTAAGTCCCTTCAGATAAGGGAGGGAGAAGCTTGATCAATATGCAGACTTTCACAGTCCTTCAGTCCTGGGGATACTGGTGGAGAGACAGGTCTTGCCTTATATTTGAGAGTTACCATCCCAGGCAGAGGCCCTACTTCCACCTTCTTGCAGGTGGGGCTGGGGAGCAAATACTTAGAGGAGAAACGAACACCCTTTGTAAGCATGTGAAAAGTTTCTGGAGTAGAGAGATGATGAAGCAGGATATTGGGAGTCAACAGCCGAAGTTTTTATCTTATTTTTTATTTTGTACTATACCTTAAGTTTTAGGGTACATGTGCACAACGTGCAGGTTTGTTACATATGTATACATGTGCCATGTTGGTGTGCTGTACCCATTAACTCGTCATTTAACATTAGGTATATCTCTTAATGCTATCCCTCCCTCCTCCCCCGCCCCCACAACAGGTCCCAGCGTGTGATGTTCCCCTTCCTGTGTCCATGTGTTCTCATTGTTTAATTCCTACCTATGAGTGAGAACATGCGGTGTTTGGTTTTTTGTCCTTGCAATAGTTTGCAGAGAATGATGGTTTCCAGCTTCATCCATGTCCCTACAAAGGACATGAAATCATTGTTTATGGCTGCATAGTATTCCATGGTGTATATGTGCCATATTTTCTTAATCCTGTCTATCATTGTTGGACATTTGGCTTGGTTCCAAGTCTTTGCTATTGTGAATAGTGCCACTATAAACATACGTGTGCATGTGTCTTTATAGCAGCATGATTTATAATCCTTTGGGTATATACCCAGTAATGGGATGGCTGGGTCAAATGGTATTTCTAGTTCTAGATCCCTGAGGAATTGCCACACTGAATTTCACAATGGGTGAACTAGTTTACAGTCCCACCAACAGCGTAAAAGTGTTCCTATTTCTCCACATCCTCTCCAGCACCTGTTGTTTCCTGACTTGTTAATGATCGCCATTCTAACTGGGGTGAGATGG
This sequence comes from Homo sapiens, assembly GCF_000001405.40. NCBI lineage: Eukaryota > Metazoa > Chordata > Mammalia > Primates > Hominidae > Homo > Homo sapiens. The sequence continues at coordinate 5,187,752 of NW_018654717.1, forward strand.
TATCACATTGTTGTTTTGACTTGCATTTCTCTGGCCAGGGATGATGAGCATTTTTTTCACGTGTCTTTTGGCTACATAAATGTCTTCTTTTGAGAAGTGTCTGTTCATATCCTTTGCCCACTTTTTGATGGGTTGTTTGTTTTTTTCTTGTAAATTTATTGGAGCTCATTGTAGATTCTTGATATTAGCCCTTTGTCAGATGAGTAGATTGCAAAAATTTTCTCCCATTCTGTAGGTTGCCTGTTCACTCTGATGGTAGTTTCTTTTGCTGTGCAGAAGCTCTTTAGTTTAATTAGATCCCATTTGTTAATTTTGGCTTTTCTTGCCATTGCTTTTGGTGTTTTAGACATGAATTCCTTGCCCATGCCTATGTCCTGAATGATATTGCTGAGGTTTTCTTCTAGGGTTTTTATGGTTTTAGGTCTAACATTTAAGTCTAATCCATCTTGAATTAATTTTTGTCTAAGGTGTAAGGAAGGGATCCAGTTTCAGCTTTCTTCATATGGCTAGCCAGTTTTCCCAGCACCATTTATTAAATAGGGAATCCTTTCCCCGTTTCATGTTTTTGTCAGGTTTGTCAAAGATCAGATGGTTGTAGATATGTGGCATTATTCCTGAGGGCTCTGTTCTGTTCCATTGGTCTATATCTCTGTTTTTGTACCAGTACCAGGCTGTTTTGATTACTGTAGCCTTGTAGTATAGTTTGAAGTCAGGTAGTGTGATGCCTCTAGCTTTGTTCTTTTGGCTTAGGATTGACTTGGCAATGCGGGCTCTTTTTTGGTTCCATATGAACTTTAAAGTAGTTTTTTCCAATTCTGTGAAGAAAGTCATTGGTAACTTGATGGGGATGGCATTGAATCTATAAATTACCTTGGCCAATATGGCCATTTTTACGATATTGATTCTTCCTACTCATGAGCATGGAATGTTCTTCCATTTGTTTGTGTCCTCTTTTATTTCGTTGAGCAGTGGTTTATAGTTCTCCTTGAAGAGGTCCTTCATATCCCTTGTAAGTTGGATTCCTAGGTATTTTATTCTCTTTGAAGCAATTGTGAATGGGAGTTCACTCATGATTTGGCTCTCTGTTTGTCTGTATTGGTTTATAAGAATGCTTGTGATTTTTGCAAATTGATTTTGTATCCTGAGACTTTGCTGAAGTTGCCTATCAGCTTAAGGAGATTTTGGGCTGAGACAGTGGGGTTTTCTTGATATACAATCATGTCATCTGCAAACAGGGACAATTTGACTTCCTCTTTTCTTAATTGAATACCCTTTATTTCCTTCTCCTCCCTGATTGCCCTGGCCAGAACTTCCAACACTATGTTGAATAGGAGTGGTGAGAGAGGGCATCCCTGTCTTGTGCCAGTTTTCAAAGGGAATGCTTCCAGTTTTTGCCCATTCAGTATGATATTGGCTGTGGGTTTGTCATAGATAGCTCTTATTATTTTGAGATACGTCCCATCAATACTTAATTTATTGAGAGTTTTCAGCATGAAGGTTGTTGAATTTTGTCACAGGCCTTTTCTGCATGTAATGAGATAATCATATGGTTTTTGTCATTGGTTCTGTTTATATGCTGGATTATGTTTACTGATTTGCAAATGTTGAACCAATCTTGCATCCCAGGGAGGAAGCCCACTTGATCATGGTGGATAAGTTTTTGATGTGCTGCTGGATTCGGTTTGCCAGTATTTTATAGAGGATTTTTGCATCGATGTTCATCAGGGATATTGGTCTAAAATTCTCTTTTTTGGTTGTGTCTCTGCCCGGCTTTGGTATCAAGATGATGCTGGCCTCATAAAATGAGTTAGGTAGGATTCCCTCTTTTTCTATTGTTTGGAATAGTTTCAGAAGGAATGGTACCAGCTCCTCCTTTTACCTCTGGTGGAATTCGTCTGTGATTCCGTCTGGTCATGGACTTTTTTTGGTTGGTAAGCTATTAGTTATTGCCTCAATTTCAGAACCTGTTATTGGTCTATTCAGAGATTCAACTTCTTCCTGGTTTAGCCTTGGGAGGGTGTACGTGTCGAGGAATTTATCCATTTCTTCTAGGTTTTCTAGTTTATTTGCATAGAGGTGTTTATACTATCCTCTGATGGTAGTTTGTATTTTTGTGGGATTGGTGGTGATATCCCCTTTATCAATTTTTATTGTGTCTATTGGATTCTTCTCTCTTTTCTTTATTAGTCTTGCTAGTGGTCTATCAATTTTGTTGATCTTTTCAAAAAACCAGCTCCTGGATTCATGGATTTTTTGAAGGGTTTTTTGTGTCTCTATTTCCTTCAGTTCTGCTCTGATCTTAGTTATTTCTTGCCTTCTGCTAGCTTTTGAATGTGTTTGCTCTTTGCTTCTCTAGTTCTTTTAATTGTGATGTTAGGGTGTCAATTTTAGATATTTCCTGTTTTCTCTTGTGGGCATTTAGTGCTATAAATTTCCCTCTACACACTGCTTTGAATGTGTCCGAGAGATTCTGGTATGTTGTGTCTTTGTTCTCGTTGGTTTCAAAGAACACCTTTATTTCTGCCTTCATTTCATTATGTACCCAGTAGTCATTCAGGAGCAGGTTGTTCAGTTTTCATGTATTTGAGTAGTTTTGAGAGAGTTTCTTAATCCTGAGTTCTAGTTTGATTGCACTGTGGTCTGAGAGACAGTTTGTTATAATTTCTGTTGTTTTACATTTGCTGAAGAGTGCTTCACTTCCAACTATGTGGTCAATTTTGGAAGAAGTGCGATGTGGTGCTGAGAAGACTGTATATTCTGTTGATTTGGGGTGGAGAGTTCTGTAGATGTCTATTAGTTCCGCTTGGTGCAGAGCTGAGTTCAATTCCTGAATATACTTGTTAACTTTCTGTCTTGTTGATCTGTCTAATGTTGACAGTGGGGTGTTAAAGCCTCCTATTATTATTGTGTGGGAGTCTAAGTCTCTTTGTAGGTCTCTAAGGACTTGCTTTTTGAATCTGGGTGCTCATGTATTGGGTGCATATATATTTAGGATAGTTAGCTCTTCTTGTTGAATTGATCCCTTTACCATTATGTAATGGCCTTCTTTGTCTCTTTTGATCTTTGTTGGTTTAAAGTCTGTTTTATCAGAGACTAGGATTGCAACACCTGCCTTTTTTTTGTTTTCCATTTGCTTGGTAGATCTTCCTCCATCCCTTTATTTGAGCCTGTGTGTGTCTGTTTTTTCCCCATCTTTGTGGCTTTATCTACGTTTGGTCTTTGATGATGGTGACGTACAGATGGGGTTTTAAGTGTGGATGTCTTTTCTGTTTGTTAGTTTTCCTTCTAAGAGTCAGGACCCTCAGCTGCAGGTCTGTTGGAGTTTGCCTGGGTGTCAGCAGTTGAGGCTGCAGAACAGCAGATATTGTTGAGCAGCAAATGTTGCTGCCTGATTGTTCCTCTGGAAGTTTTGTCTCAGAGGAGTACCCGGCCATGTGAGGTGTCAGTCTGCCCCTACGGGGGTGTGCCTCCAGTTAGACAACTCGGGGGTCAGGGACCCACTTGAGGAGGCAATCTGTCCATTCTCAGATCTCCAGCTGTGTGCTGGGAGAACCACTTCTCTCTTCAAAGCTGTCAGACAGGGATATTTAAGTCTGCAGAGGATTCTGCTGCCTTTTGTTTGCCAATGCCCTGCCCCCAGAGGTGGAGTCTACAGAGGCAGGCAGGCCTCCTTGAGCTGAGGTGGGCTCCACCCAGTTGGAGCTTCCCAGCTGCTTTGTTTACCTACTGAAGCCTAGGCAATGGTGGGCGCCCCTCCCCCAGCCTTGCTGCCACCTTGCAGTTTGATCTCATACTGCTGTGCTAGCAATGAGTGAGGCTCCATGGGTTTAGGACCCTCTGAGCCAGGCATGGGATATAATCTCCTGGTGTGCCGTTTGCTAAGACCATTGGAAAAGTGCAGTATTAGGGTGTGAGTGACCCGATTTTCCAGGTGCCATCTGTCACCCGTTTCTTTGACTAGGGAAGGGAATTCTCTGACCCCTTGCACTTCCCAGGTGAGGCAATGCCTTGTCCTGCTTGGCTCATGCTCGGTGCACTGCACCAAGTGTCCTGCACCCACTTTCTGACACTCTCCAGTGAGATGAACCAAGTACCTCAGTTGGAAATGCAGAAATCACCTGTCTTCTGGGTCGCTCACGCCAGGAATTGTAGACTGGAGCTGTTCCTATTCGGCCATCTTGGCTCCACTCCGGCTATTATGATTCTTACACAGAGTCCTTTGCTTTCCAGCAGCCTCCTCTTCCTCCTTTTTAGGTTGGAATCCCTCTATTTTAGTGGCCATTGGGATTCTGAAATGACCAGGTCTTTGTCTCAGAGACCTCACACATGCTCTTCCCTCGCCTGGAACACTTTTCCTTCCTCTGGTCCCCTGAGATCTCTTTCAGCTCAACTGCCCCATGCTCAGAGACCCCCTTTCTCCCTCTCTAGTTTGAAACCAGTTTACGCCTGTAGTCTGTGCCTGGAAAACTCGTTTTCCTCCTTGATGCCTCCTGAGTTGTTACAGGATGTATGTGCCTGTTTGGGTGTCTGGTGTCTGTCTCCCCGACTGGACTGTATGCTCCTGGTGAGCTGGAGGGACTGGACTAGCACAGGCCAAGGCCCTGGGGCTTGAGGGAGCAGGGCAGAAGGCACAGGCAAAGGCCTTTGTGATCCGGAAGGAAGTGAAGGAGAGGGAGAGAGATGAGAGAGGCTGGCAGAAGATAGGCCAGGGGCCAGGCTGTGTGGGATCTTTTGGGCCACAGAAAGACATTTGAATTCTTATGTAAGAGAACCAAGACACCATTGGAAGGTATGAGTCACCTCATCTAACTGAGCTCTGTAAATGTCAGTGTTTTATTATTTTTATACAATTATTTAAAAGTGATTTTAGTTATTTACCTTTTTATTTTTATTACTTTTGTTTTTTTTTTGAGACAAAATCTTGCTCTTTTGCCCAAACTGGAATGCAATGGCATGATCTCGGCTCACTTCAACTACCACCTCCTGGGTTCAAGTGATTCTCCTGTATCAGACTCCAGAGTAGCTGTGGTTATAGGCATCTGCCACCACGCCCAGCTTATTTTTGTATTTTTAGGATAGGTGACGTTTCACCATGTTGGGCAAGCTGGTCTTGAACTCCTGACCTCAGGTGATCCACCCACCTCAGCCACCAAAAGTGCTGGGATTACAGGGGTGAGTCACCATGCTCGGCCTTATTTACTTTAAAAAAAAAGAATAGGCCAGTCACGGTAGCTCATGTCTCCAATCTCAGCACTTTGGGAGGCTGAGGTGGGATGATCACTTGAGGCCAGGAGTTCAAAACCAGCCCAGGCAACATAGTGAGACACCCCCTGCCCCAGTTTCTAAGAAAATGAGAAAATCAGGCATGGTGGCTTGTCTGTATCCCCAGCTACTGAGGAGACTGAGCTAGGGAGGACTGCTTGAGACCAGGAGCTTGAGGCTCCACTGAGCTGTGATTATGCCACTGAGCTACAGCCTGGGCAACAGAGTGAGACCCCGGAGCAACCTCAACCTCCCTAGAGCTGACCGAGCTTTTGCTTCTTATCACAGGGAATGACGGACGCTGGGGATTTGATGGGCATCGGGTGAAATGGGCAGAGTGGCGCTTACCTGTGATGGCAGTGAAGTGGGACGGGGAGGTCATTGTCACAAGGGGCGGCATGAGGTACTTGGCCTTGACGCCCTCCCTGGCCAGATGGTCCAGGTTGGGGGTGTTCACATCCTGATCCTAGTCCCAGCGGAAGCCCTGGAAGGAGATCAGCAGCAGTTGTGAGTGCTCTTCTTCCCTGCGAGGGGGTGGCCGCCCAGCAGGACAGGCGGTGGCAGCAGCAGCTGGAGGGCGCCGAGTCATGTCATCCTACAAGCACCTGTCATGCACTCCTCACAGAGTTCATGGGCTTCTCCCTCTTTAGTCCGTTGTTAAACAAAGTCCGCATTAGTAATTCAGCCCAGTTCTGTTGTGGGACAAACAACCTGGAGTGTAGCAAGGTGCTGCAAATTTGCAGGACAGTATGAAAGCGTTCTGGAGATGGATGGGGGACATGGCTGTACAATGTGGGGGATGCACTTAATACCACTGAATTTTTCCTTTGAAAATGGCTAAAATAATAGATTTTGTATGTATTTTACCACAGTAAAAAATCAAGCTGGCCGGGCATGGTGGCTTACACCTGTAATCCCAGCACTTTGGGAGGCCAAGGCGGGTAGATCATTTGAGGTCAGGAGTTCAAGACCAGCCTGGCCAACATGGAGAAACCCCATCTCTACTAAAAATGCAAAAATTAGCCAGGCGTGGCGGTACATGTCTGTAATCCCAGCTACTCGGGAGGCTGAGGCAGGAGAATTGCTTGAACCCGGGAGGCGGAGGTTGCAGTGAGCTGAGATTGCTCCACTGCCTTCCAACCTGGACGATGGAACGAGACTGCATCTCCAAAAAAAAAAAAAAAAAAAAAAAAAAAAAAATCAAACCACATGAAATATTTTGGACTCTTATACTAATTCCAACACTTTGAAGATCTGGGGAGAACAAACTAGATTGGTGCTTTCCTTGGCTTAGTATGTTCTGTTTTTATAGGGAGAGCAAATTATTGTTCACCAGCACTATTAAAATAGCTACAACAGGATGGGCATGGTGGCTGACACCTGTAATCCCAGCACTTTGGGAAGCTGAGGTGGGAGGATCGCTTGAGCCCAGGAGTTCGAGATGCCAGCCTGGGCAACATGGTGAGACCCTGCCACTACCAAAAAATATAACAACAACAACACAAATAGCTAGGTGTGATTGTGTGCATCTGTAGTCCCAGCTACTTGAGAGGCTGAGGTGGGAGGATCACTTGTGCCCAGGAGGTTGAGGCTGTAGTAAGCCATGATTATGCCACTGTACTCAGCCTGGGTGACAGAGTGAGACCCTGTATGGAAAAAGAAATAAAAAGCTGCAGTGGAGTCATTGATCATGAGGCCAGGCACTGTATACATGTACATCATCTCATTTAATTTTTTCTCTTGTTTAAAATTATTTTTTCCTCTAATCCCCATGTTGATCGACATTTTTTTCAATCCTAGGAATTAGTTGAAAATTTTGCATAAGAATTGAAAATTGCCTGGCCTGATGTCTTACACCTGTTATCCCAGCACTTTGGGAGGCTGAGATGAGAGAATCACTTGAAGCCAGGAGTTTGGGCCAATCTGGGCAATATACTGAGAATGCAACTCTATAAAAAAATTTAAAAAGCTGGGTGTGGTAGCGTTCACCTGTAGTCCCAGCTACTTGGAAGACTAGGTGGGAGGATTGCTTGAGTCCAGGCGGTAAAGGCAGCAGTGAGCTATGACTGTGACATTGCACTGCAGCCTGGGTGACGGAGTGAGACTCTATCTCTAAAATAAATGAATAAAATTGTGGTATAATATATGCAACATTTATCATTTTGTGCATCTGAAAGTGTACAATTCAGGGACATTTTGTACATCTATCATGTTGTGCAATTATCACCACTACCTAGTTTCAGGGCTTTTTCAACACCTCAGTTGGAAGCCTCATATCCATTCAGCAGTCACTCTGCATACTCCCTCCTGCAGCCGTTGGAAACCTCTCATCTACTTTCTATCTCTGTCGATTGGCTTAGTCTGAACATTGCATATAAATGGAATTCTACAATATATGACCTTTCATGTCTGCTTCTTTCACTGACCCTAACGTTCATCCATATCACAACATGGATAAGTTTTATTTTCTTTTTAGACCCTATCTAGAAAGAAAAAAAAAATTTGTAAAACAAAAATAAAAACAAAAAAATATATAGGATGGAGATCAGATGAGTCCTGAAAAGTTTATAATATTTACTATCTAGCACTTTACATAGAAGCTTGCCTACCTCTGAAAGATAGGCAGGTACAGAGATGACATTTATCTTGACACTTATAGAAAGACCTATAAATTGTATAAAGACATCATCATTGGATCTCCAGTAACAAGAACTGGCAAGACATGACAGTGTGTCCAGGTGTTCAGGTGAAGTGTAGGGAAGGTCTTGTCTTGACGAGGTCGGATGTGAGACCCAGATGAGATAACCCCATTTCCCCTGCTGAAATTGCCTGAGAATTTCATTCCAGTTATTTGCGTAGTTTGATTCTTTCGGTGGGGGTGGGGGTGGGTGAGGAGGTGGGTGAGGAGGCCGAAGGTCATATCTCAGCTCTGCAACTCATTATCTATGATGCCTTGGGGCAGGTCCCATAACTCTCCAAGCCTCTGTTATATATTCCATAGGGTTGTGAGGTTCAGATGAAATAATGCATGCTGGCAGGAATGGTTACTGCTCATGGGATTTCCATCTGCTCCCTGTATTCCCCAGACCCCCGTAGTTAGATGGATCCATGCCAGGGTCCAATGCTCTATAAGTGGAAGTCACTGACATCACCTCTAGTCTACAGCTTTTGAGGGCTTGGAAATAACTATCTCATTCTCTCATCTCCTGGTGCAGTAACTAGGGGAGAATCCTTACATTAAGATGGTAGAATTTCCATCATTCTAGGTCTTTGAGTGGCCATATGGAGCACACCATACCCAGCCAACCCATTGTGGACATGGAATGTAAGAAATCAACCTTGGTTGCTAAGCTGCTGAGACTCTGGGGTTAATTTGTTACTGCAGCATAACCTAGTCCATCCTGATGCATGTAGCATGCAAACCACTTATGTTGACCCTTAGTCATGGTCAGTGCTCCACAGATGTTGGTTACTTTTGGTAGGAAGATAGATTGCCTCTGAAAGTTTTGTTAGCTGATCTCATGATGCCAATGTTGCTATTTTGTAATTGGATAAATTGGACTTGGCTCTCTTTCCAGCATGTGGGAGAGAAAGATGACTGAGAGACAATAAGGCACTATTATCTTCAGTTTCTGTCCTTGGATACCCTTGGTGGCAATGAACAATGCATGCCCCTCTGAGAAAGCTGGACCTAAAGGAGAATGGGAGGTGATACCAGAATTGGGAAAGTCCAAGGCCCCAGGCATTCCCTGGTCTGGAGACAACTTTGAGTCCTTGGTGGGAAGATTCTCCAAGGGAACATAAATGCTTCTACTATCTAGTTTGTCTCTTTGAGAATTAAAACTTTTTTTTTTTTCATTCCAGTAGCTTTTGGGGTACAGTTTGGCTCTTTGAGAATTGCATACTAATTAATTTTAGGGGCCATCTGTACACATCTCTATATTCCTGAAACATGGTAGAAACAGCCAGCAGTCAGGCGACAATCTACGATGACCACTAAAATATCCCCAAAGTGAAACACTAGATGTGATCCACTAGGTTTAGTGGAGGTGGCTGGCTCGAGAGTTGATTATATTTATTATTGTCACTGTGGTGATTATGGCCACAACATTGTCATGCGTGTTGGTCTTCTTTTGGTGAGTTTCAGTTTGGAAGGAATAAATCCATTTTTTTTTTTTTTTGAGTCTTGCTCTGTCACCCAGGCTGGAGTGCAGTGGTGCCATCTCAGCGTGCTGTAAACTCCGCCTTCCAGGTTCAAGTGCTTCTCCTGCCTCTATGGCCAGGCTGGTCTTGAACTCCTGACCTCAGGTGATCCACCTGCCTCAGCCTCCCAAAGTGCTGGGATTACAGGCGTGAGCCACCATGCCTGGCCCCATTATTCATTTAACCAATATCTGTTGAGCACATTGGGTGTGCTGGAGGATGAACTGCAGGGGAGAGAGGAAGCCTCCTCCTGCCACTATGTTTTCAAGTTGTCCTAATACTCCACCATGACACGCAGGCTTGTGGGTCCCAGAGATCCAGAAGCATCTCCCGACCACAACATCCTGACCCAGATTCTACTGAAAAATACGCGAGTCTAGGAGAGCCATCTCTGACACTTCCCTTCTTTTGAACGGCTGATCTGTCAGTCCTGGGGAGCCCTTATGAAAGTGCAGTGTGTTTTGTGAAACTTGAGGTTGATCAAAGAATACCACTTTGTTAAGAAATCTACATATTGATGACATATGCAGTGGGGTGGAGGTGGGGAAATTCCCAAATACATTTTAGGAATTATCTCAGAAGGAGGTAATAGTCAGAACTCTTGGTTGTCAGTGACAGAAACTCATCTTACTAGTGTGGAGTGGAAAAGGGATCATGTTTTTCTCTGCACTCCCCAACCCCAACCCCAAGCAGATCCTGAAAGAGGGACAGGATTGCAAGTGGATTATTTAGGAGATGATTCCAGGGGACACCAATAGGGGAGTGAGGAATTGATTCATGGAAAGGTAGGAGGCCACACAGGGGGCTTCAATGAGCAGCTTACCACTCTAGGCAACTAGGATTTGACCCCACTGGGGACCTCTGAGAGGTGATGTGGAATACATTTCAAAGTTGTTCCATCCAGGGGGCAAAGATATTGAAGCATTTATAGCCTGGCTCCCATCCGTCACTGGCTGAGGACTGGTCCCAGGGCATCAACTCTCTGGCTTTGCTTTCTTCTTCTTCTTTTTTTTTTTTTTTGAGACATAGTCTTGCTCTGTCACCCAGGCTGGACTGCAAAGGCATGATCTCGGCTCACTGCAACATCTGCCTCCCAGGTTCAAACGATTCTCTTGCCTCGGCTTCCTCAGTAGCTGGGATTACAGGCACCTGCCACCATGCCCGGCTAATTTTTTTATTTTTTGTAGAGACGGGGTTTTGCCACGTTGGTCAGGCTGGTCTCTAACTCCTGACCTCGTGATCCACCTGCCTCGGCCTCCCAGTGTTGGGATTACAGGAGTGAGCCACTGCGCCCAGCTTCTGTGGCTTTTCTGACATACTCCATGCCTGACTTTCAGAAAGCCCTCAGGTGAAAGTCTTGGTTGTATGCAGTATCGAGCATGTACTAAAATGACAAAAACCAAGGGGCTTACCACAAGATCTCTCTCTCTATCTCTGTCTCTAGCTTTGTCTGCATACTGGCTTAATTTCTTCTTACTCAAGCCTTTTCTCCATAAGGTGAGAAACGTGTCCACAAAAGCTCCTGTATTTCTCACTACACACAATTCCTGTCATCACAGAGAATGATTAACTTGGTCTAGTTCCAGTTTGGAAAAATATTCAAGGGAAGAATTCTGATTGGCCAATTTAGGCCAGATGCTCATCCCTGGACCAATCAACTGAGGCCAGGGAGGTGGAGTCATTTGAGAACATGGCAGCCCCCATGAGATCCACATGACTGGAGTAGGAAGTGTGACTCTCTATAGAGGGGAGGGCTGCTAGGCTGAAAAGGCAATAGATGTCTGCAGTGAAAGGAATAGATCAGGAGATACATTCTGTTAAACCTGTTAATTATTTGAAAAAAAGAGAAACTTTCAATATATTGTCACAGTATACGTGAGCCGGTGGCTCACGCCTATAATCCCAGCACTTTGAGAGGCTGAGGTGGGCAGATCAGAGGTCAGGAGTTCGAGACCAACCTGACCAACATGGTGAAACCCCGTCTTGTGCACCTGTAATCCCAGCTACTCAGGAGGCTGAGGCAGGAGAATTGCTTGAACCAGGGAGGGGGAGGTTGCATGAGCTGAGATCATGCCACTGCCCTCCAGCCTGGGCAACAGAGTGAGACTCCTCAAAAAAAAAAAAAAAAAAAGTTACAGTGTCGTTCCCCCAGCGTGATTTATCAGAAAGGAAAAACTTACAATATGCATATTTCCTATGCATAGGCTACTGCTATGAATTGAAATTCTTAAATTCCAAAGATTAATTAAAATGTTTCTCAAGACACATAAACTGTTAGAATCTGCTTATAATGAGGCTGAAGTTGAGTAAGAAGAGAACTGGCATTTAGGACGCTACTTTTCTTCTGTCGAGTACTGTCAAGTTTTGGTTCTGCCTGGAAGTAGATGCACCTCAAGGGAGGGTTGCATGTAAAGGGGTGTGTGTGTGTGTGTGTGTGTGTGTGTGTGTGTGTGTGTGGTAGTTTCCAAAGATGGGTACAACTTTCTGCAAATGTTCGTGCAGTATAATTGAACCAATCTTTCCTTAAAGAGGGAAAATTTATACTCCTCTACATGAATCTGGGCTGCCTATGACTTGCTTTGGTCAGTGGAATGCTGCCAAATTGATGGTGACCAACTTCTAGCCGTAAAAGGAAAATAAACCTTGGGGCCCCAAGATCACTAAGCTAGGCTGGGCTCCGTGGCTCACGCCTGTAATCCCAGCACTTTGGGAAGCTGAGGCGGGCAGATCACCTGAGGTCAGGAGTTCAAGACCAGCCTGGCCAACATGACAAAACCCCATCTCTACTAAAATATATGAAAATTAGCCAGGCGTGGTGGCAGGCGCCTGTAATCCCAGCTACTTGGGATGCTGAGGCAGGGAAACTTCTTGAACCCTGGAGTTGGAGGTTGCAATAAGCCGAGATCGTACCACTGCACTCCAGCCTGCACAACAGAGCGAGACTCTGTCCGCCCACCCAAAAAAAAGTTACTAAGCTAAAGAGAAAAGTCAAGCTGGGAACTGCTTAAGGGAAACCTGCCTCCCATTCTATTCAGTTAACCCTTTGCTTACTGAGATGAATGTATATCTGATTGCCTCATTTGGAGAGGCTAATCAGGAACTCACAACAATGCAACCATTTGTCTCTTAACTACCAATGACCTGGAAGCCCCTTCCCCTTGTCTCACCTTCACTTTCACCTGGAGTTGTCCCGCCTTTCCAGACTGAAACAATGTACATCTTACACATATTGATTGATGTCTCATGTCTCTCTAAAATGTATCAAACCAAGCTGTGTCCCCACCACCTTAGGCCCATGTTGTCAGGACCTCCCGAGGCTGTGTCACAGGCGTGAGTCCTTAACCTTGGCAAAATAAACTTTCTGAATTAACTGAGACCTCATATTTTTGGGGTGCAAATAGTCTTAGGTCTTGAGAGCCCTCTCGTAGTTTCCATATTTTTGCCCTCTTGGATGCTGGCACCAAGCAAACCTTGGCTATCCTGCTTAAAGGGACATTTGGAGAGGGGTTCTGGAGGGCGAGGGGCCACATGGAGGAAAACAAGCTTCCCCGGCTGACAACCAGCACCAACTGCCAGGCACATGCATGAGGCCATCCTGGATGCTCCGCCCAGCTGGCCCTCCAGCTGCAGGTAGCCACACAAATGAGCCCAGGTTAAACCAGCCAGGAAGTCCCCATGCAACTCACAGGGTCATGAGCAATAATGGCTTCTGGTGGTTTAAAGTTTCTAATTTTAGGTGCAATAGGTAACTGAAACAGCCCACAAGGGTGTGAGCCTGTGGAGGGTGCATTTCCCACCTGCTGAAGCTTCTCAATTCCCAGGATCCAATCCAGATAAGACTCTTGTTCTCAGTGTCCTTGATGGAAATGGCAATGAACTTTTTGCAGATTGGACCATCTCGGGAATCCCAAAGATCGGAAACTATTTTCTTTCTCAGAATCTTCCACAAAGCATTGAGCCTTAGGAATTTCTAAGAAGGATCTGGAATGAAAAAAAATCTTTTGAAAAGGTATTTGTATAGCTTCAGTTCAGCAAGATTCATGGTGGGTGTTAGAGTAAGTGCTGGTGTTAAGCCAAGCCATGTTTTTCAAAGACTCATCTGGCCTCAACGTTGGCAGGATCAGAGTGGCCTCCCAGGATCTATCACATCCTCAGAAGAGTTGGTTCAACTGGCATGTACCCAGATCTCTTTGAGCTAGTATGATACTCCCTTAAGTCAAAGGCTGCCACATCACATCTCCTTTAAGTCCCCCTAAGTACGACCCCAGAAGTATTGACAAAATAGTGCAATTCCTGAAGATTTCAGGAGGACATAAATGAAGAGACTAAACTGCAAGGTACCAAAACTTCCATCTTTGCTAAAGACCCTCATCCAGACTGGGCACGGTGACTCACGCCTGTAATCCCAGCAATTTGGGAGGCCAAGGCTGGTGGATCACCTGAGGTCGGGAGTTCAAGACCAGCCTGACCAACATGGACAAACACCATCTCTACAAAAAATACACAATTAGCCGGGAGTGGTGGTACATGCCTGTAATTCCAGCTACTAGGGAGGCTGAGGCAGGAGAATCGCTTGAACCTGGGAGGCGTAGGTTGCGGTGAGCTGAGATCGTGCTATTGCACTCCAGCCTGGGCAACAAGAGTAAAACTCCATCTCAAAAACCAACAAACAAAAAGCCCTTATCCAATGGTCATGCCACTCTATCTGGCCATGTAATTTCTCCTCCTGTCTTTCTGTAGCAACAGCCTTCTGAAGAACCTCACTCTGCCTTTCAAAACCCCTTCAACTTGTACCCTTCATCAGCAAAGTACTTAGCTCAACATGTATGCCTCTGGGGGTACTCATCCACATGCCATTTAAGGATATTTCCAGCATCATCATCTTCACTACCCCAGGATGGCATTTTAGAGTGGATTACGTGCCTGCTGGATGTGTTGTACTTGAACGAGCTAGAGAAAATGCCACACTTTAAGACGAATTAAGAGTCTGTTCATTTAGCCGGCGGCTAAGAAATGGCTAACGTTTAAAGTTCTCTCGGCCTCGAAGAAGGGGCTAGATTTTCTTTTATACTTTCGTTTAGAAAGGGGAGGGGGGTCTAGTTAAAACAATTTTACAGAAGTAGGCAAAAAAGTTAAAAGGATAAATTGTTGCAGGAAAGTAAACAGCTCTAGGTCTAGGGGCTTTAAGACTATTATGAGGTGATAGACGCGGGGCTTTGGGCGTTATCAATTGGACGAATTCCTGGGAACTGCGGATATTGCTCACCACAGTATCTTATCAGTTAATTGCATTCTTCGATGTGCTGGGCGTCAGCTTGCACAAGTTAAGTCCTTGAGGAAGGGGCTGCCAGTGAAAGAGCCAAGATGGAGTCTGTCTGCCTCTCTTAGCTAAGGGAGAGTCAATTCAGGTGGAAACAAGGCTAGGTGATTAAAAGAAAGGGAGAGTCTAAGAACAGGGTTAGTAAAAACAAGGTTGGGCATTACATTCCTCACTTGTATTTTTGGGGAATCAAATCGTTGATTCTTCAGTTATAACGAGGGGGTTATTTTGAGTCTTAAGATACATAAGTTTGACAGAAGGTATGCGTTGTTTTACAAAATTAATAAACTAATTTAATATACAAGGTCCAAAAATTAAACTTAATAGTAGGATGGGGAGGGGGTCTGGCTAACTTAGTAATTAGAATAGTTAGCTCTGGGTTCTAGTTGAACATGCTTTGATACTAGGGGATGTTATTTTCTTGTTCTTGTTGGCGCTTATCTAGATTTTCTTGCACTTTCTGGAGTGTATCTTTTATGACTAAGAATGGTGGAGGAACAGTTGAATCAACTTTCTCAGGGTGTTTCTGGAACATAGGGTTACTTAGATCAGTTAAAGGCCTGATTGGCTTGGGTGGGCTTTATGAGACTAGTTTTTTTTTGGATGGTGAACATAGACTTAACATTAAATCCTGGGATATAAAATCTTAATCTTCATGACATGCCATGATACTGTTGTGTTGAATTAAGGTCATGGACAGTTATAGTAAGAGGATTACAATTTCTTCTAGTATATAATTTAGGATGAGAAGCAGGACTTATGGAAAGAGTTGAAGATCTGGTTGATCTTTTAGAGCAGGTGGCTAAAGTTACACATGTCTAATCAGGACAGGAAAACTGATAAATATCTTGACAGCTAGCATCAGGGTGATTTCTAGGACAGAGGTAAAAGTAAATATTTTGGAGTCTTTTTTCTGCACTTTTGGAGCTTCTATACTTAGTTTGGCTCTTGGAGTGTCTGAGTCTTGCTGCAAAGTCGACACTTCCTGCTCCTGGAACTGGCAGATTGTGTTGCTTTTCGTGGGTATGGGCTGGCTTTGGGAAGAGTACAAATAAGTCAACTGCAGAGGACACTTCCTTGGAGGTACTGGCCTTCTAAGTGGTGTTTGCAAGTACAAGTCCTGTTGTGAAAGAGGTGAGGAGAAAGGAGTAGGAAGGCACAGAGGATGTAACGGGCAAAAACAAGTGAGTGAGGTAGATAAAAAGAATGAATCTAATGGCTTCACCTGACTTAGGTGCAGTTTTAAGGGGCCTGACTTAGGCTTGGGGACTTATGTTTTTAGTTGGACTCTGTTGGCCTTTTTGATGCGGGAGTGATGAATGTAAGCAGGAATGCCATCTACTTTCAGAGCCATTGGAGTCGTGAGGATGACGTTGTGAGGTCTTTTCTAAGCAGGAGTGAGTCTTTCTTTTTGGAACTTTTTAACAACACTAGGTCTCCTGGCTGGAACGAATGGCAGGACTTTGGTCAGGAATTGGATTGGGATGGGCTCCTGGAACAAGTGGCAGGATAATATCTTGTACCTGTTGGAGAGACTATAGGTACTGTAATAAATTAGTTTGTGATATTTCTGCTAATTTGGCATCTCTTAGCTTAGGCAAGATAGGCGGTGCCTTATTATACATAATTTCAAAAGGTGAGAAATTAGCCTGGTAAGAGGTGCACCTTAATTTAAGTAGGGCTAAAGGAAGGAGACTTACTTAATTTACACTGTTTTTTTAAGATTAATTTTATAAGAGTGTTTTTTAGGGTGTGGTTCATGCGTTCTACTTGCCTGGAGCTCTGGGGTTGATAGGCACAATGGAGCTTCTTTTGAATGTTTAACGCCTTACTGACTGACTGAGCTATAGGCGAGGTGAAGGCTGCTCTATTATCAGACTTTATGGCAGCAGGCAGCCTATATTGAGGGATGATTTCATTGAGTAAAAACTTAACTACTATGTTGGTGGTTTCGTTTTCGGTAGCAAATGTCTTAGTCTATCTGGAGAAGGTGTCTACTAGTACTAGAAGGTATTTGTACTTAGCCTGGTGTGGTTTGACTTCTGTAAAGTCAATTTCTTACTTTTTTCTTGGCGACTTTTTCCAGAGACAGTGGCCTGGGCTGGGTTTAGGACTTTGTTTGGCATTTACTTGGGCTCAGGTTGTGCACTGGAGAGCTGCTTAATCTTTAGGCTTTGAAGACCGGGGATCTTAAAATGGCTCTGGAGGAGCTGAGGTAGCTTTGCTCTTCTTAAATGGGTGATAGACTGTACGTAACTGGTTAAAGTTTGTTTAAGAGTTCAGGGTATGAAGATTCTAGAGTCAGGAAGAATCTACTAACTTTCCTGATTTTTATTGGCTCTGAGATCCGAAGCCAGTTGTTGTTGTTGTTGAGTATACGGGATTGTCAGGCAGATCTGGCTGTGGAAAGGAGACTGTGGGCAGCAAGTTTAGAGGCGTGACTGAAAGTCTTGCTGCGACCTGAGCTGCTGAATCAGCTTTCTGGTTACTATGGGCCACGGCCGTGTTTTCTTTTTGATGTCCTTTGCGGTGGATCACAGCTACCTGCTGAGGTGAGTAGCCTGCTTTCCTGGTAGATGGCTTTATGTACATGCACAGCAGCAAAGGCGTACTTGCTGTCAGTGTAAATGTTAATAAGTTTATTCTTACTTTATTGGAGAGCCTGAGTGAGGGCGATCAATTCAGCCTTTTGTGCTGAGGTGTTCGCTGGTAAAGCTTGAGCTTACAACAAATGTGTCTCCGTGGTAACAGCTGCACTGGCTCTTCATATTTCCTGCTTGAGGAAGCTGCTACCGTCTGTGAACACGGCGGCATCTGCCTTTTCTAGGGGCACAGCTTGAAGAACAGATAGGCCAGTTTCGATAGTTTCTAACAGTTCTTGACAGTCATGAGCAGGAATAGTGGAGTCTGAGTCAGGAAGTAGTGTAGCTGGATTGAAACACTTTGTGGGAGAGAAAGTCAAACGAGGCTGATCTAACAGTAAACTTTGATACCGCAAGATGCGAGCATTTGACATCTATTTGCCAGAAGCATTTTGTAGTAAGGTCTTTACGGCGTGAGGAGCTGTAAGGGTTAAATTTTGGCTTAGAGTTAACTTATCATCTTCTTGGGCCAGGCTTGCTGTAGCCGCTAAGGCTCGAAGACAACTTGGCCATCTAGAGGCCACAGGATCTAGCCTCTTAGACAAATAGGCCACTGGGCGGCTTTAGGGTCTTAAAGTCTGAGTAAGCACGTCTTTAGCAACTCCTTGGCTTTTATGGAGATATTAGGGAGGGCTAAAGCAGGGGCTTCAGTTAATGCTAAATTAACGGGCTACTTCATTCTGTACTTCTTGGATAGCTGCCACTAAGATTTTTGTTTGTCTTCTGAATGCTTTATCAGCGGCCTTTCCAGTTGCCTGTGTTGCTTTTGTTTTTTAAGCTTTTGATTATCAAAAACTTTTTGGGCTATTTCTAAAAGCTGACTGATATTTATTCTAGAAAATCTTTTTAGTTTTTGGAGTTTCTTTTTAATATCCTGGGCTGCCTGAGCCACAAATGCTAAATTAAGAGCAAGGCTATTTTCGGGAGCTGCCGGGTCAAAAGGGGTGTAAATCCGATAAGCCTCCTGGAGGCGCTCTAAAACGTTCTTGGTGACTTATCGGGCTTTTGGACAACGTCGGTCGTCTTAGACAAGTTGATGGGTTTCTGAGAGGCTCTTTTAATACTTGCGAGGAGATACCGGTGAAAATCGTCTAAAGCTCCCTTTCTACTTGAGGAATGTGGGTCCTGGTTAGGCTGGGTAGAGGGAAAGACATCCTCAAGGAGGTCTCTAGCTTCTTCTTCCGGTCCGTTGGCTGATGTGAGGAAGTACTTTTTGGCTTCTTTTTGGATACGTTCCTTCTTTTCAGAGGTGAAAAGGGTTAAAAGGAGCTGTTGGCAATCATCTTAGGTGGGCGGGCGGGTCCGGAGTACAGACTCTGTCAGAGAGGTCAAAGCCTGGGGCTTTTCAGAGAAGGGAGGATTATGGGTTTTCTAATTATATAAGTCAGAAGTAGAAAAAGGGACACAAACTAAGAAGGGTGCTGAGCGCTCGTCACCTGGAGGGACTTGTGCCTCTCTCAGTGGTAGTAGAGGGACTACTTCTTCCTGCCACGGTCATGACTGAGAGGCAATGGGTGGCGAGGCTACAGGGGACGTCGTCGAGGAGACATGGGATAACTTTAAGGGAGAAGGTTGGTTGTAAGGCGGTGGGATTGGGTGAGGGGGACTCTCCTCTTCTTCAGAGGGAGGCAGTACAGGGGAAGCTGAACCGACTGAGGGTTGAGGCGAAAACGCGGTCTGGCTTAGGAGGACCTTGGAGGTAGAATTATGAATGGCGCATGAACGGAGCCATGGAGAGTGGATCCTGACTAAACGTAGCTAATGTAGGGAAACTGATCAGGGTGACTAGGAGTTTCAGTAACAACCTGCCACACAGCTTGAACAATTGTGAGGTTCAATGACCCTTCAGGGGGCCACTTGACTTTAAACTTTGGCCATTTTATTTTGCAGAGTGTCTGGAACTTGCCTTTTTTAGGCGGACTTTATAATCCTCTGAACTGAGAGAAAAATTCTGCAGCATACATTGGAGAGGGCTTTAACTTTACAAGGCTGGGAGGAAGTGTTTCTTATTTTTATTTTTTTTGAAGGCAATTTAATAAGATTTGAGCATAGATATTAAACTTAGCATGGACAGAGAAACTTATTTCTTGGGGGACTGGCATAGTGAAAGAACAGAATCAGTATGACCAGAGAGAGCAGAAAAACTTACAACAGCTAATACTACTTGCTACCTTGCTGTAGCTTTAAGATTGAGGGAGGAGGACTAGAGCCAGCCTGAGATCTTCTGGGTCAGTTTGATCTAGGCGTTCTTCTTCTTCTTCTAGATCTGCACTTTAAATATTTTTGGTGTCTTTATGACTTAAATGCAAATAGCTTAAACTTAGCTTTTTCTTTTAAGGGTTTAAGGAGTGAGAGCAGAGCCAAGTCCTGGAGATGGTAAACTTGCTGTCGCACCGTAAAACGAGATGTGCGGGATAGGGGGCAGGGACAAGGCAGAAAAGGACTACTCGGATCATTTTTAAGATGGGACAGTAGCCACAGAGGAACAGAGTAAGAATCTAAATGAAGTAAAGCAGTACGGGCGTACATTTCTTTACACAGTGTTCTACTTAAGGGCACAGGAAAAGTTACAGAATGACGAGAGAGGTGAGCAAGGAAATTTGCAGGGTGGCTGTTTTGAACTCACTACTGGTTTAGTTTAGAGGAGGTCTAATCACCTGGACGTGGAGTATGACGATCTAAATACTTACAACTTTCATAGTGCTAGAAATCTTAATCAGGCAAATGTTTTTCACACTTGTTCTTGTAACAACACTTGACTTGCTTCTGGCAGAAAAGACAGGACTGTGGTCGCCAGCCTAAAAGATTGATGAGAAATTTAACCTCCTGTGACAAAAAATCAGCACTAAGGGCTTTGAAGAAGTTTTTACTTAGACGTCTTGGCAATATCAACGTCTTGACATGCAAAACTCTGACAACTACTAACAAGACAATAGACACTGAGCAGAACAATCAATATAAAACAAACAATTGACTTTAGTGCATGTAAACAGTTACGACAGTTTCTTCCTTTTTTTTTTTTTTTTTTTTTTTTTTAGACAGACAAGGGGAGGGTTTCCTGTGATAGGATCAGTCAGATAACTGCCTGGCCCCTCCCCCTGAGGGGACTTGGGCTCCTCTTAGCATTGGCAGGCCGGTATAAACTTCCGGCTCAGATCAAGCTATGCCTGATGCTGCCTTAAGCCTTATGGGGTCGCCACAGAACCGCAGGTGAGGTGAGGGCCTACTTGAACTCCGTAGCTTTCGCCGTGGAGCTACAAACTGGAGGACAAGCGCGAGCCCTTGTCCTCCCTCACTCATTCATTATTCACACAGAGTATATAACAGTTTTTTTTTTTTCTTTCTTGGAGATTCTTCAAGAAACTTGAACAAGAGAAAGATGAGAGATAGAAACAGAGAGAGAGAGAGTGACCGGTCTGCCGGAAACCAGGACTCAGTCCTCCAGCATCCTGGGATGTGGACTGAGTCAAGGGAGGGCCCCTGTCAGGGCCACTTCCCTCCTAGAAAGAGACACAGAGGTGCCTAACAGAAAACCAGGGCTCTACCTTCTAGCGTCCTAGAGAAACATGCAGAGTCGAAAGAGGGACACCCTCATCAGGGCCGCTTCCCTCTTCCTAGAACTGAAGTCAAATCTGACCCACGTGACCTCAGGGTCAGAAGTCGAGGACTCAGAGGTGGAATTTTTATGGGCACCCACCGGGTAGTCGATCCGCTCTCCTCTGGAAGACGGTCACTTTTCGAGGACCTGAAGGTTTTTTTTTAGGTGGCACCCCCCACAAGCCGGCCGTCCTTCCGGGGGAGCCCGGCTCTCTCCTCATGGCGTTTCTCGCTGGGGCCTCCAAATGTTGTACTTGAATGAGTTGGAGAAAATGCCACACTTTCACATGAATTAAGAGTCTCCTTATTTAGCTGGTGCCTAAGAAATGGCTAACTCTTAACGTTTTCTTGGCCCCGAAGAAGGGGCTAGATTTTCTTTTATACTTCAGTTTAGAAAGGGGAAACAGGTCTAGTTAAAAGAATTTTACAGAAGTAGGCAAAAAAGTTAAAAGGATAAATTGATACAGGAAAGTAAAGAGTTCTAGGTCTAAGGGCTTTAAGACTATTACAAAGTGATAGACGTGGGGCTTTAGGCATTATCAATTGTACAAATTCCTGGGAACTGTGGATATTGCTCGCCCCACAGTATCTTATCAGTTAATTGCATTCTTAGATCTGCTAAGAGTCAGCTTACACAAGTTAAGTCCTTGAGGAAGGGGCTGCCAGTGAAAAAGCCAAGATAAAAGCTGTCCCCAGTGTTAGAGGTGGGGCCTGGTGGGAAGAGATTGAATCATGGGGGTGGATTTCTCATGAATGATTTTGCATCATCCTTTTGGTCCTGTCCTTGCAATAGTGAGTGAGTTCTTGCAAGATCGGGTTGTTTACGAGTGTGTCGCACCTCCCTCCTTACTCTCTTGCTCCCGCTTCACTTTCTGCCATCATTGTAAGTTTCCTGAGGCCTCCACAGAAGCTCAGCAGATGTCAGTGTCATGCTCCCTGTATAGCCTACAAAACTGCGAGCCAATTAAACCTCTTTTCTTTATATATTACCCAGTCTCAGGTATTTCTTTATACCATGAGAACAGCCAAATCCAGCAGCCGTAGACAATATGTAGCAAATGTGCATGGCTGTGTTTCAATAAAACTTTATTGACAAACACATGTGCAAGCAGGTCAGATTTGGCCCATAGGCCATAGTGTCCCAATCTCTGCTCTGGAATATTCTGTCCAGCCTGGATGGACATCTCTAGGTTGTTTTTTTTTTTTTTTTTTTTTTTTTTTTTTTGAGACGAAGTCTCACTGTTGCCCAGGCTGGAGTGCAGTGGTGCAATCTTTGCTCGCCAGAACCTCTGCCTCCTGGGTTCAAGCAATTCTCCTGCCTCAGCCTCCCAAGTAGCTGGGATTACAGGCACCTGCCACCACACCTGGCTAATTTTTGTATTTTTTAATAGAAATAGGGTTTCACCATGTTGGCCAGGCTGGTCTCAAACTCCTGACATCAGGTGATCCACCCACCTCAGCCTCCCAAAATGCTGGGATTACAGGTGCCCGCCACCACACCTGGCTAATTATTGTATTTTTAGTAGAGATGTGGTTTCACTATGTTGCCCTGGCTGGTCTCGAACTCCTGATCTCAAGTGATCCAC
Organism: Homo sapiens; assembly: GCF_000001405.40. Lineage (NCBI taxonomy): Eukaryota > Metazoa > Chordata > Mammalia > Primates > Hominidae > Homo > Homo sapiens. Next base: position 5,210,362 of record NW_018654717.1, read on the forward strand.
CTGCCTCGGCCTCCCAAAGTGCTGAGATTACACGTGTGAGCCACTGCAGCTGCCCTCTAGATTTTTTTTTTTGTTGACCATTGCTTATTTGGTTTGACTTTCATTTTCTTCCCCATTGTGGTAGTCATTTTCTGAATGCCTGTTAGTTTGTCCATCTCTCTCCTCTGTAGTCCCTAGAGTCAGATGAACTCCTCTGCAGGTGCAATGGTGTAACACTCTCTAGTGCTGAATTCTGAGCAGGAGAAAGAGAGCAAGAGTGACCAGTACCTTTGGAAACTCTGGCCTCCTGAGAATTTGGTGTCTCCTCTGCAAAGGTTGCATACCTGTTAACCCACAGGCAGGAGAGAGAGACAAGCCAGAATCATGATCTGTTGAGCTTGAGTTTAATATCTGATGCACAGAGATCACTGAGTTTTTTGATAAGAATTAGAGGGGGAAGAAATGGTCACAGAGAACAATTTCTATCTCCAGGTGAGGATTCAGGAGATAATTCTGTGAACAGAACTTCCTGAGAACTGAGATGCGGGAAATAGCTGGTATTAGAAGAGTGAAAATGTCAGTAATTATGGCTACGACTGTGCTCTTAGAGGCAAAAGAAGAAAATGAGACTGCCAGGCATGAATAATGAGAAATCTTTGATGGAATTAGCCATGCAGAACAGATACTAAATGCATCCTCATTCTTCTCATAGTCAAAAGTTTGTGCTTAAGCTGGATGGGAAAAAGAGAATCCCATTTCACTAAGTATAAAAGAGGGGATTTTAGAGAAGGTCTCAGAAGAAAGAGATGTGGGGGTTTGGTGAAACTCACCAGAGGCTGAACCCTCTCCAGCATAACACAGGGATTGGGAGGAGCAGGGCGGCATTAGGCCAGATGTATAGCCCAGTGCTGCTCTCTCTGGACTTGTTTGCTAGCTGAGCTCATCCATTTACATAATTTTCAGTGCCATTTCTCAGCTAATGAGTCCTGAACTTTTGTCTTGAGGCTAGAATTCTCCTTCAAACAGCAGTTTTAACACTCAACTTCTTTCTTGTTTTTTCCACTTGTCAACTCATGAACACCTCAACCTTGTTACATCCAAAGCCAAACTCATGGCTTGGAGTGGTAGGTGATGGCTGTAATCCCAGTGCTATGGGAGGCAGAGGTGGGAGGATTACTTGAGGCCAGGAGTTGGAAGCCAGCCTGGAAAACAGAGTGAGACTCCCTATCTACAAAAAAAAAAAAAAAAAAAAAAAAAAGCTAGGCATGGTGATGTGCATCTGTAGGATCTGTAGTCCTGCTACATGGCACGCTGAGGCAGGAGGATCACTTGAGCCCAGGAGTTTGAGGCTGCAAAGAGTTATGATTGCACCAATGCACTCCAGCCTGGGTGACACAGCCAGAGACCCTGTCTTAAAAAAAAAAAAACCAAAGCCAAACTCTCTTTTTCCTCCTCCTTCTCCATGGGCTCTGTCCATGTCATCTCTGTTCTGTAAATGGCACCACCCCCTGCTGAGCTGCTCAAGGTGGTCATAACTCATGTGTTGTGCTAACTCTTCTTTTGCCCTCTTCTCCAGTCAGCAAGTCCTGTGATTCTAAACTTTATCCAACTTGTCCACTCTCTGTAGCTTCACTGTCATTATCTTTGCCTAGGACACCACTATCTCAGCTGGGCTACAGCAGCCTCCTAACTGGTCTTAACTGGTACTCTGCACCTGCTCTCCATGCTCAGCAATCCATTTCCTACCTGGCAGCTTCAGTGATCTTAAGGCTTCCATTGAGTCTCATCCCTGCCTTTCCTGCCCATGGTACATAGAATAAAATCGAGACCCCGAGTCTTCTGCCTGTTCCTGCCACCTCTCCAGCCCTCTCCTATCTCCTGCCCTTGGCCTACTCTATTTCAGCCACTATGGCCTCCTTTTGTTTTCTTGGACTTTCAAACCTTTTTCCACAACACGGCCTTTGCACTTGCTGCTTCAGCCTGGAATGATTTTCCCTGCACCTCCCCAAATTAGACCATCCTTCAAGTGTCAGCTAAAATGGTGCTTCCACAGACAGCTCTTCCCTGACCCCTTTATAAAGTGGACTTACCTGCTCTTCTCCACCTTAACCTCTTATTGTTTCTTGTTGTGGGAAGTCAGGGACCCCAAATGGAGAGGGACTGGCTGGAGCCATGGCAGAGGAACATAAATGGTGAAGATTTCATGGACATTTATCAGTTCCCAAATAATACTTTTATAATTTCTTATGCCTGTCTTTAATCTCTTAATTCTGTTATATTCATAAGCTAAGGATGTACATCACCTCAGGACCACTGTGATAATTGTGTTAACTGTACAAATTGATTGTAAAACATGTGTGTTTCAACAATATGAAATCAGTGCACCTTGAAAAAGAAGAGAATAACGGCAATTTTTAGGGAACAAAGGAAGACAACCATAAGGTCTGCCTGCCTGCAGGGTTGGGCAAAAAGAGCCATATGTTTCTTCTTGCAGAGAGTCTATAAACGGATGTGCAAGTAGGAGAGAGATCGCTAAATTCTTTTCCTAGCAAGGAATATTAATAGTAATACCCTGGGAAAGGAACGCATTTTTTGAAGCCCTTAATAAAAACTTGCTCATCTGAGACTCAGGGGGCATCACGGTCCTACTGATGTGTAATGTCACCCGCAGCAGCCCAGCTGTAAAATTCCTCTTTGTAGTGTCTCTCTTTATTTCTCAGCTGGCTGACACTTATGGAAAACAGAAAGAACCTACATTGAAATATTGGGGGCAGGTTCCACCTATACTTCTTTCATAGATTTACTTATTTTTTGTTTGTCCCCCTCTGTATCCTAGAAACTCCTGGAGGGCAGAGGCATGCCTGCCATCTTCATCATTGCATTACCACCACCCAACACTATCGGGGGACCTGCCCTGATAATCAGGTAGGTTCTTTTCTATTTTCCTAAGCGTCGACTGGCTTGAGAAATAAAAGGACAGAGTACAAAAGAGAGAAATTTTAAAGTTGGGTATCCGGGGGAGACAACACACATTGGTAGGATCCGTGATGCCCCACAAGCCACAAAAACCAGCAAGTTTTCATTAGGGAGTTTCAAAAGGGGAGAGAGTATATGAATAGGAGTGGGTGACAGACATCAAGTACTTAACAGGGTAATAGAATATCACAAGGCAAGTGGAGACAGGGTGAGATCACAGGACCACAGGATGGAAGTGAAATTAAAATTGCTAATAAAGTTTTGGCACCATTGTCATTGATAACATCTTATGAGGAGACAGGGTTTTGAGATCAACCCGTCTGACCAAAGTTTATTAGGCGGGAATTTTCTCTTCCTAATAAGCCTGGGAGTGCTGTGGGAGACTGGAGTTTATTTCACCTCTGCAATCTCGACCATAAGTGACAGGTACGCCCCGGGGGGCCAGTTCAGAGACCTACCCCTAGGTGCGCATTCTCTTTCTCAGGGACGTTCCATGCTGAGAAAAGGAATTCAATGATATTTCTCCCATTTGCTTTTGAAAGAAGAGAAATATGGTTCTGTTCTGCCTGGCTCACCGGCGGTCAGAGTTTAAGGTTATCTCTCTAATTCCCTGAACAATTGCTGTTATCCTGTTCTTTTTTCAGGGTGCCCACATTTCATATTGCTCAAACACACATGATGTACAATTTATGTACTTAACGCAATTATTACAGGTCCTGAGACGATATACATCCTTCTCGACTGACAGGATTAAGAGATTAAAGTAATGACAGGCATAGGAAATCACAAGGGTATTGATTGGGGAAGTGATAAGTGTCCATGAAATCTTCACAATTTATGTTTAGAGATTGCAGTAAAGACAGGCATAAGAAATTACAAAAGTATTAATTTGGGGAACTAATAAATGTCCATAAAATCTTCATAATCCACGTTCTTCTGTCATGGCTTCAGCTGGTCCCTCCATTTGGGGTCCCTGACTTCCCGCAACACAGCACAGTGCCTGGCACAAAAGAGTTGCTCAATAAATAAATCAGGATGAATAGATAAATACACGGATAGGCACTTTGAACTACAGATGAGCTTAAATACTTTGTGTTTTTCTTAGTCAAACATGTGCAATGAAGCATGTGATAAATGTTATGATGAGCATACCTGTGTCTTGCCTGATGTTCTTTGCAATCACTAAATGAAGTCAATTGTGCCTGTTTTGACAGTTCTATTTTCAACCTAATGATCTGTTTATTTTAACTTCTGGCTGTTGGCTTTGTTTGGGTTTTTTAGCCTGACAAAGTGGTAGATATTGGTATTTGCTCTTTTGTTTAAATGTCACGAACTTTAAAAATGCCTTTGCTTTTGGTAAGAAACCCTAGTTAGGACACCCTAGCGGTCAGGATGATTTGGGTTCTGGTGCAGTAACAACAAACCCCAAATCTCAGTGGCCTCATGCAGTGAGGTATTTGTTTGTTTGTTTTTGAGACAGGGTCTCACTCTGTCACCCAGACTAGAGTGCAGTGGTGCAATCTCAGCTCACTGCAACCTCTGCCTCCCAGACTCGAGTGATTCTCCTGCCTCCTGAGTAGCTGGGATTACAGGCCCATGCCACCACTGTCTGGCTAATCTTTGTACTTAGTAGAGACAGGATTTCACCCTGTTAGCCAGGTTGGTCTTGAACTCCTGACCTCAAATGATCCACCCACCTTGGCCTCCCAAAGTGCTGGGATGACAGGCATGAGCCACCATGCCTGGCCACAGTGAGGCTTATTCTTGGTCACGTTGCATGTCTGGGCTGTGTTAGGGCATTCTGGGGTGGTCTGTTCATTGTGTTCACTCAGGGATCCAGGCTGACAAAAGCCCCATCTCTGCATGTGTCCTTGATCTCCACTTCAGGGCAAAGGGAATGTGGTGGATCATAGAGCAACCTCTTAACACTTCCACCTGGAGGTGACTCAAGTTGCTGCTGCTCATGGTTCATTGGACAAAACGGATCACAGAGTCATGGGCAACTTCTCTGTGCCTGGAAGGGGAAACAAAATATGAATAGCCACATTGATTTTCCCTAGATATTACACAGAAGGCCTCATTTAAACACTGTTACTTATTTGTGTTTTGAAGCTAATTGTAGTCCATCAAACTTCACAGAAGATATGTGCACTTCCAAGCTATTATTAAGCACAATTCTTTTTTTTTTTTTTTTTTTTTTTGAGACAGAGTCTCACTCTCTTGTCCAGGCTGGAGTGCAGTGGCATGATCATGGATCGCTGCAACTTCTGCCTCCTGAGTTCAAGTGATTTTCATGCGTCAGCCTCCCAAAATGCTGGGATTACAGACACCCACCACCACGCCTGGCTAAGTTTTGTATTTTTAGTAGAGATGGGGTTTCACCATGTTGGCCTGGCTGGTCTGGAACTCCTGACCTCAGGTGATCCACCTGCCTCGGCCTCCCAAAGTGCTGAGATGACAGGCGTGAGCCGCCGCACCCGGCCTTGAGTACGATTTTTGATTTGGAAGGTCAGAGTTAGGGTTTTAGTCTGAGGACTGTATGATGTGAAGGTGAAAAGCAGAGCTTGGCTGTGAGTTTGCTGGGATTCCTGTGCTGCTTCTACAGCTCTTTGGCTGTGTGACCATCACTTTTGGCAAGTTCCTTTACCTTTCTATGTGTTGGTTTCCTCATCAATAAAATGGAAAAACTAATCATAATCATAATAGCTATTGGTGTTGGGATAGCCCAGTGGTTGACACATAAGGACTCAAACATACATTTTTTTTTTTTTTTTTTGAGACGGAGTCTTGCTCTGTTGCCAGGCTGTAGTGCAGTGGTGCAATCTCGGCTCACTGCAACCTCTGCCTCCTGGGTTCAAGCGATTCTCCTGCCTCAGCCTCCCGAGTAGCTGGGATTACAGGCGCCTGCTACCACTCCCAGTTAATTTTTGTATTTTTAGTAGAGACGGGGTTTCACTATGTTGTCCAAGATGCTCTCGATCTCTTGACCTCATGATCCGCCCACCTCAGCCTCCCAAAGTGCTGGGATTACAGGTATGAACCACCGTGCCCAGCTCAAAAATACTATTATTAATTTTGGGGGGCAGTTATTATATTTTGTGAAAATCAGAGTTCAGTACCTTGTAACACTGAGTTGGGATCTATCCCTGAAGGAACAGGCTTCTAAAGAGGAAGGCATCGAGAGAGGGGCAAAATTTTAGTGGACGCTGTAATGACTTTAGGTATATGGACCTGGGGCAGAGTTCTAGCTGGGGCCACCAGGTAGCAAGGTGGACTTTGCTAAATTCTATCACTTTCCTGGGCCTCAGACTCACTTGTTACAAATGGGATTAAAACATCCCTCTTTCAGGGCTAAGATAAAGATGATTAAGTAAGAGGGAATGAAAGCAACTTCCATCAATGGTCAAAAGTATTCATTTAACTTTTTTTTTTTTTGAGATGGAGTCTCTCTCTGTTGCCCAGGTTGGAGTGCAGTGGCATGGTCCCGGGTCACTGCAACCTCCACCTCCTGGGTTCAAGTGATTCCCTTGCCTCAGCCTCCTGAGTAGCTGGGACTACAGGTGCATGCCACCACGTCTGGCTAATTTTTGTATTTTTAGTAGAGACGGGGTTTTACCATGTTGGCCAGGATGGTCTCGACCTCCTGACCTTGTGATCCACCCACCTTAGCCTCCCAAAGTGTTGGGATTGCAGGCATGAGCCACCATGCCTGGCCCATTTAACTTCTATATTATTTTCCTGTTGGTGGATTTACCAGTGCAAACTGAGCAGCTTAAAACACCATCCAGTTATTATCTGTTTCCATGAGCCAAGGCTCTGGGCAGGGTTTAACTGGGTCTTCTATTCCGGGTCACAATACTGCAACCAGAGTGTCAGCTGGGGTCTCATCAGATGCTCAGTGTCCTCTTCCAAGCTTATTCAGTTTGTGGACTGAATTCAATTTCTTGCAATTGTAGAACGAAGGCCCTCAGCTCCTAGAGCTGCCACCTCCAAAGACAGTTCACAGCATGGCCATTTTTGTCTCCTTGGAGGCTAAGGGTTGAATCTCTGAAACTTCACCTTTAAAAGACTCACCTGATTAGGTCTGGCCCACCTAAGATCATCCTGCTTTGGATGAACTCAAAGTCAGCTGAGCAAATGTGCTTAACAAAGCAAGTGTGACCATAATCACATTTGCAAAATTCCTTCCCCTTGGCCAAATCACAAGCTCTGCACACACTCAAGAAGAGATGATACAGGGAGCAGATATAAGGGAGTGGTTCTCTTGGGGGCTGTCCTAGAACTCTGCCCATTACAACTTCCTTCCTCGAGGAACAGCAGGCCTGGGGAGAGATGATCACGGATGAGAGCAGCCCACAGGTTGTGAGCGCCAGGTGCTGGAGTAGGATGCAGGAGGCTGACAAGCAAGTATGAAAAGCCTTCACTGGGCTGGGTGGAGTGGCTCACACCTGTAATCCCAACACTATGGGAGGTCGAGGTGGGCGGATCACGAGGTCAAGAGATCGAGACTATCCTGGCCAACCAACATGGGGAAACCCCGTCTCTACTAAAAACACAAAAAATAGCTGGGAGTGGTGGCACACGTCTCTAACAACCCAGCTCCCCAAGTAGCAATTCCTGTCCCTTTTAAGGGCTCACAACCCTAAGGGGGTCCGCGTGAGCGGGTCGTGATCATGAGAGTCGTGATCGATTGACCAAGAAGGGAGTACGTGACTGGGGGCTGCATTCAGCAAACCCCATCTCTACTAAAATAGCAAAATTCAGCAAAGTCTCAGGATAAAAATCAATGTGCAAACATCACAAGCATTCGTATACACCAATAACAAACAGAGAGCCAAATCATGAGTGAACTCCCATTCACAATTGCTTCAAAGAGAATAAAATACCTAGGAATCCAACTTACAAGGGATGTGAAGGACCTCTTCAAGGAGAACTACAAACCACTGTTCAAAGAAATAAAAGAGGATACAAACAAATGGAAGAACATTCCATGCTCATGGGTAGGAAGAATCAATATCATGAAAATGGCCATACTGTCCAAGGTAATTTATAGTTTCAGTGCCATCCCCATCAAGCTACCAATGACTTTCTTCACAGAATTGGAAAAAAACTACTTAAGTTCATATGGAACCAAAAAAGAGCTGGCATTACCAAGTCAATCCTAAGCCAAAAGAACAAAACCGGAGGCATCACGCTACCTGACTTCAAACTATACTACAAGGTACAGTAACCAAAACAGCATGGTACTGGTACCAAAACAGAGATATAGACCCATGGAACAGAACAGAGCCCTCAGAAATAATGCCGCTTTATCTACAACTATCTGATCTTTGACAAACCTGACAAAAACAAGAAATGGGGAAAGGATTCCCTATTTAATAAATGGTGCTGGAAAAACTGGCTAGCCATATGTAGAAAGCTGAAACTGGATCTCTTCCTTACACCTTATACAAAAATCAATTCAAGATGGATTAAAGACTTAAATGTTAGACCTAAAACCATAAAAATCCTAGAAGAAAACCTAGGCAATACCATTCAGGACATAGGCATGGGCAAGGACTTCATGTCTAAAACACCAAAAGCAATGGCAACAAAAGCCAAAATTGACAAATGGGACCTAATTAAACTCAAGAGCTTCTGCACGGCAAAAGAAACTACCATCAGAGTGAACAGGTAACCTACAGAATGGGAGAAAATTTTTGCAATCAACTCATCTGACAAAGGGACCAATGACTTTCTTATAACCAAGAGAATATGGCAGAGGTGATGGGATGTAGTGATTATGTTAGATAGGATGTTAAGTTGTCTTGCTAGGAGGTTATCTTGCTGGCTTTGAAGATGTGAGCTGCCATGTCATGAGTGGCCAGATGGAGAGGCCCATGTGGCAAGAAGCTGAGGACAGCAAGAACCTGGGGCCCTGAGTCCAGCAGCCTGCAAGGAACTGAATGCTGCCAACAACCAGATGAGCCTGGAAGCAGATCAATCACCAGTCAAGCCTCCAGATGAGAACTGAGCCCTGGCTGACATTATGGTTGTAGCCTTGCACTGAACCCAGCTGAGTCACGCCTGGATTCCTGACCCACAGAAACCACATAGTGATAACTGTGTGCTGTCTCAAGCCACAAAGTTTGCAGTAATATTGTTGCACAGCAATAGATAACTAATATGAAAACTGTCCTACATCATGTACATTACTGAGTGAAATGTAGAACCTGGATTTAAGCTCTGATTTCAGAGTTGTGGTTTCAGTCTCCCCAGGGAGACCTGTCCTGGGAGACAGTTATGCCAGGCTGTGATGCTGTGATGATTGTTCTCTTCCTACCCAGAAGCTTTCAATAGGCATGTCAAGCATGTGACCCCAGCTACATATACCAAATATATTTCTGACAAATGACAGGACATCATGAGCTTTCTTGTTTTACTGAGAGCTCCATAAAGGAAGGATCATCTCTGTCTCTTTGTTTTTTAAGAGTCTCACTCTCACCCAGGCTGGGGTGTAGTGGTGCGATCTCGGCTCACTGCAGTCTCTGCCTCCTGGGCTCAAGGGATTCTCCAGCCTCAGCCTCCTGAGTAGCTGGGATCAAAGGTGTGCATCACCGCACCCAGCTAATTTCATATTTTTGGTAGAGACGGGGTTTACTCATGTTGGCCAGGCAGATCTTGAACTCCTGGCCTCAAGCGATTCGCCTACCTCGGCCTCCCAAAGTGCTGGGATTACAGGCATGAGCCAATGCACCTGGCCTGTCTTTTTTATGTTATGTCCATGTGAAACAGCCCAGTGGTCAGCACACAAAGGGGTCCAAATGTGAAAGGAAAGGGCAAACACGGGAAACCTAGGGGTGTTCAGAAATAGTTCCCAGGTCATTGCCTGTTTCAATATGTACAGTCCTGGGCCACACGCACAAGATTCTGTCTTAGCAGGTCAGAGTTAGAGATGGGGAGCTACCTGGTTACGAGGGATCCCAGTGCATTTTGAGGCAGCTGGTTGTTAAGACTGCATTGTAAAAATTACAACCCAAAGATGTGAACGGAAACAGAAAGACATTGGCAGGCTAGAAAACAACACAAGTAAAACATGAACAAGTTCATTCCAGAAGGAGATTCTCAACCACAGCTGCACATCAGAATCACCTGGGGAGATTTTAAAACCCCCAATGCCCGGGCTCTGCAGCCCAGATCAATTATTAAAGAATCTCTTGGGGATGAAACATGGGCATCAGTATTTTTGGTTTGTGTGTGTGTGTGTGTTTTTTTTTTTTTTTTTTTTTTTTTTGAGATGGAATCTTGTTCTGTCACCCAGGCTGAAGTGCAGTGGTGCGATCTCAGCTCACTGCTACCTCTGCCTCCCGGGTTCAACCCATTTTCCTACCTCAGCCTCCCAAGTAGCTGGGATCACAGGTGTGCACCGCCACGCCTGGCTAATTTTTGTATTTTTAATAGAGATAGGGTTTCACCATGCTGCCCAGGCAGGTCTCGAACTCCCAGCCTCAGGTGATCTGCCCACCTTGGCCTCACACAGTGCTGGGATTACAGGCATGAGCCATTGCTCCTAGCAGTATTTTTTTAATGAGGCAAAATTCACATAACATACAAGTCCCTGTATGAAACCATACACTTCAGTATCATTAAATACATTCACAATATTAAGCAATCATCATCTCTGTCTAGTTCCAAAACATTTTCATTAACACCCCCGCCCCCCCAAAAAATAACCCTGTATCCATCAAGCATTCTCCATCCCCTCCCCTTTCCCCCAGCTCCTGGCAACCACTTACCTGCTTTCTGCCTCTATAGATTTGCCTACTCTCGGCCTTTCACATAAATGGAATCATGCAATATATATAATAACCAAAAGGTAGCAACAACCAAGATGGCCATTTGGTTGACGAATGAACAAACAATATGTGCGGTATCCATACAATGGAAATATTGGTGCCTACTACATGTGGATGGACCCTGGAAACATCATGCTAAGTGAGAGAGAGCCTTGGTATTGTCTCTTCTCCCCAGGAGATTCCAAGATGCAGCCAAGGTTGAGACCCACTGACAAGCAATGGATACGATTGGGTGCAGATGAAATAAGGCAGCCAGGGGCAGGAGGGACGTCTCATTGAAGACGACTATTTGTGGATGCCTAGCAGGGGTGGGGAGGAGGTATGATAACAGCAACCCCAATCCCAACACTGCGTGACCGATTTTATCTTCAGCCAGCTGATACGCCTCATGGGGTTTGGACACAGGACAACTCTGCCTCCCAGGTTCAAGCAATAACACCTGCCTCAACCTCTTAAGTAGCTGGGATTACTGGCATGTACCACCACGCCTGGCTAATTTTTGTATTTTTAGTAGAAACGAAGTCTCGTCATGTTGCCCAGGTTGGTCTCGAACTTCTGGCCTTAAATGATCCACCCACTTCAGCCTCCCATAGTACTGGGATTACAGGCATGAGCCACAGTGGCAGCCTCCAAATTGTATTTGAAGTTTGACTTTCCACCTCCAGAAAATCCAACCTTTTCCCAAGTCACAGTGGGACACCCCGGAGATAATTTGAGAGAAATATGCTTTTAAAAACAACTCAAGGCCAGGCGCAGTGGCTCACGCCTGTAATCCTAGCACTTTGGGAAGCCGAGGCGGACAGATCACGAGGTCAGGAGATCAAGACCATCCTGGCCAACATGGTGAAACCCCGTGTCTACTAAAAATACAAAAAATTAGCCGGGCATGGTGGCACATGCCTGAAAGCCCAGCTACTAGGGAGGCTGAGGCAGGAGAATCGCTTGAACCAGGGAGTCAGAGGTTGCAGTGAGCCGAGATCGCACCACTGCACTCCAGCCTGGCGACAGAGAGAGATTCCGTCTCAAAATAGATAAATAAAACCCTCCGATATGAACACCAAACTAGAATCATTCCACTGATTTCCCTCCGCCAATCAGGGGGAGTTATGGTGATGGTGCATGAGTGTCTATTTGCATTGAGTCTTAATGGAAAAAAAGGTTGTGTCACTCAAAGGAAAAACAAATCACAGCCCAGACTGGAGCTGTGGATTAATAACATGGCTGAGTGTTGGTACAGGCTTTCCACAGCAATATTAAAACTGAAAAAATCAGCAATGAAGCTCCCAGCCACATTTCTGCCAAATGATTTGGGGGAAAACAACAGAGGCACTCCTCAACTTTTCCTTCGCTGCACAAAGTGGGTTTGGCTGGAAATGCCAAGTGTACTTGTTGCTAGGATCTTTCAAATGAAAGCAAGCTGGGAGTCAACCTCCTGCAGCCGCAGGTCAGAAATGGGTTTAGACCAAACTAGTATAGTAACACTGGTGCACATCGAAACAGATTTAACTCCCTCCCAGCAATCCAGATTAATTTAATATGCTTTCTTATTGGCATTCTGCATTTTTCATTAAAGCAAATAAACATCCATCCCTCTGTGATAAGTTAGGGCAAAAAAAAAAAAAATTCATATGTTTAGGTCATAGGGAAGGAGGAATTGTTGGCTGTTAAAAAAATACTGCAAATGGCCTTTGAAAGTCTAGACATCTTCATCATAAACACAAACATTCCTCTTCACAAAGGGACTTCAAGTAACCTTAGGCTGGAGGGCCCACTTGAGTATGTTTTTCTTCTCATTCTTTCTTACCTTCCCTCCAGCCAACCCAACCCACATTCAGTGACCAAGTCACGTGGGTTTTACCTCCTAAATCTTTTCAGATCCGTTCACTGCTCAGCCACTCTCCTGACACCACCATAAACCAAGCCACCATCACCTCCAGCTGTTTGACTGCAAAGGCCTCCTCACTGGCCTCTGTCTTCCCCTGGCCCTGTGACAATCTGCACTCCTCACAGGGACCAAAGCGATCACTTCAGAAGGTGCATCCAAACCGATCACTCGCTTTCAATGGCTCCCTCTGCTGTGTGGGTTGACAACGATAAAAGCTCGGCCGGGTGCGGTGGCTCACGCCTGTAATCCCAGCACTTTGGGAGGCCAAGGCGGTCGGATCATGACATGAGGAGATCCAGACCATTCTCCCTAACACGGTGAAACCCCGTATCTACTAAAAATACAAAAATTTTAGCTGGGCGTGGTGGCGGGCGCCTGTAGTCTCAGCTACTTGGGAGACTGAGGCAGGAGAATGGCGTGAACGTGGAAGGTGGAGCTTGCAGTGAGCCGAGATCGCGCCACTGCACTCCGGCCTGGGCGACAGAGTGAGACTCCATCTCAAAAAAAAAAAAAAAAAAAAAAGATAAAAGGTCACCTTTACTGAGCACACCCTATCTCAGTCCATCCCTACATCAGCCCTTTATTTCACCAGTGGGGAAGCTGGGACACAGAGTAGTTAGGTGGGATGCCCAAGGTGGGACCACTCGTGTGAAGTTTCCACACCCTAATGTGAGACCCTCCATGACCTAGCCCCTCTCTTTCTCCAGCCTCATTTCCTGATTCTCTCGCTTGGCCTGCAGGCTTCAGCCACACAAACTTCTTTAAAGTCCCTTAAATCTGGCTGAGCGCAGTGGCTCACACCTGTAATCTCAGCACTTTGGGAAGCTGAGGCGGCTGGATCACCTGAGTTCAGGAGTTCGAGACCAGCCTGGTCAACATGGTGGAACCCCATCTCTACTAAATATCCCAAAATTAGACAGGTGTGGTGGATGGCACCTGTAATCCCAGCTACTCGGGAGACTGAGGCAGGAAAATCGCTTGGACTCGGGAGGCACAGGTTGCCATGAGCCAAGATCGCACCACTCCACGCAAGCCTGGGCGTCAAGAGTGAAAGTCCGTCTCAAAAAAAAAGGTCCCTTAAATCTGCTCTATGCCTACCAACCTCAGGGACTTCACTATGCTGTTTCTCACCCTGAAATGCTGTTCCTCATTTCTCTACATAGTGAACTCATCCCACCCTCTAGGCCTCTCCTTAAGTGGCATCACTTCAAGGAAGATTTTACTTTTTTAATATAACTATTAAAATATAATTCAGGTACCGTATGATTTGCCCATTTAAAGTGAACAAATCAATGGTTTCAGTGCATTCACAGAGCTCGGCAACCACCATCATGATCAATTTTAAAACATTTTCATCACCCCAAAAAGAAACCCTGTATCCATGAGCAGGTTCCTGCCATTTCCTCCTCCCACTAAGCCCTGACAATCTACTTTTTTTTGAGATAGAGTATCTGTCACAGGCTGGAGTGCAGTAGCACAATCTCGGCTCACTGCAACCTCCGCCTCCCGGGTTCAAGCAATTCTCCTGCCTCCAGAGTAGCTGGGATTACAGGGATGTGCCACCACGCCCATCTAATTTTGTATTTTTAGTAGAGGCAGGGTTTCTCTCTTCATAGATTTGCGTGTTCTGGACATTTCATATAAATGACATCTTAGAATATGTGACCTTTTGTGACTGGTTTCTTCCACTTAGCTTAATATTCTCATAGTTCATCCGTGTTGTAGCACGTGTTAGTACTTCATTCCTTTTGATGACTGAATAATATTCCATTGCATGGTCAAACCATGTTCTATTTCTCCACTCATCAGTAGACAAGCATTTGTGTTGTTTTCACTTTGGCGCTATTATGAATAATGCTGCTATGAGCATTTGTGTACAAGTTTCTGGACGGACATATATTTTCATTTCTTTCATAAACTGGAGTGGAAGTGCTGGGTCATACAACTCTGTGTTTAAGCTTTTGAAGAAGTGCCAGACTGTGTAAGAAAGAAAGCCTTTCCTCACCCTGTGAGACTGAGCTCCCTCTCTCCATTTATACATTCTCTTTAAGCCCTTTGCTTCTCTTTCAGAGCAATTCACGTTGACCTGGGTCACCCTCAACTTAAGGCTCATAACTCCCCTAGATCCTCAGGGTCCACACTAAGTGTGATGAAATATGATGCAAGCCACATATTTACATTTGCATTTTGTAATAACCACATTTTAAAAAGTAAAACAAAAGAAGTGAAGGTAATTGGAATAATATCACAGATTTAAACAAATCTATCCAAAATACCAGGTCTACATGTATAAAATTTTTTAACAGTAACAAAATACTTTGCTTTCTTTTTATATTAAGTCTTCACAATCTAATGTGTATTTGACACTTCTCGCACATTTCAGAATGATGGCAGCAGCCCATATGGGGGGCCCGCCCATGATGCCAAAGATGGGCCCTCCTCCTCCTGGGATGATGCCAGTGGGACCTGCTCCTGGAATGAGGCCGCCCATGGGAGGCCACATGCCTGTGATGCCTGGGTGCCCAATGATAAGACCTCCTGCCCGTCTCATGATGGTGCCCAGTCAGCCCAGAATGACTCGACCAGACAGATAAGGATAGAGGGGAGGCCTCATTGCATCAGTGTTGTTTTGTTGTTGTTATTGTTGTGTTTTTTTGTTTGTAATGTTTTGTTTTGTTTTTGAGACAGAGTCTTCCTCTGTCGCCTAGGCTGGAGGGCAGTGGCATGATCTCAGCTCACTGAAACCTCCACCTCCCGGGTTCAAGCGATTCCCCTGCCTCAGCCTCCTGAGTAGTGTGGGACTACAGGCGTATTCACCATGCCCGGCTAATTTTTTTTATTTTAGTAGAAACGGGGTTTCACCATGTTGGCCAGGATGGTCTCAATCTCCTGACCTCGTGACTCGCTCGCCTCAGCCTCTGAAAGTGCTGGGATTACAGGTGTGAGCCACTGCGCCTGGCCTATATGAATTTTATATTTACCTGCTCCCTTCACCAGGAGATCATGCTGCTGTGATGTCGAGTTTTCTTAACAGCATAAGGAAGACTTGCCCTCTTGCCCTATCAAAGAGAATAGTTTTGGAGGGGAGAAGTGGGACCAAAAAAGATGCAGTTTTCATTTGTATTGGGAAATGTGAAAATAAAATTGACAACTCTTTTAGTTAAAAACAAAAAAAAGAAAAGGAAACAAGATGTGGGGCTGCCATATGTAATACCGTGGATTCCACGGATCTTCTACTCTGGAGGCAAATATTATCTTTGCTGAAGCCAGACCAACCTGACACAAAGACCTTTTGTTTTTTTAATGTGACTGTGTTTTATTTTAGAATGTGTAATTCACTTTAGAAGGGCAAAGTGCCTGTCTGGGGAAGACTATTTAATTTCCTGCATTTATTTAGAATGTTGGCTGATGTTATTATGAAGGGAAACAGCTCTAACAACTGAGTGCCCCCCACATAGCCACAGCTCATGAGTTCACGGGGCAAAGGAAATGAACAGCAGCCTCCTAATAGCCAGCCTTCTTTGTGATGTGGAAATAATTATCAGCATGTAAAAGACTATATATATATTCAACAATTCTGATCCCCTGAAAAATTCAAATCTACAACTGATTTGCTTCCTGGGCTCCTGAAAACAACTTTGTCAAAATTGTTCAGAAATATAATCAGCCAATCGTTGCCCCTTGGGGACGCAGGATAAAGCAAGTCAGCCATGACCAATGAGGAGTCGGCCGTGCACAATTACATGCAGACCTGCAGGACATCGAGTCCCTGCTATGGTCCCTCCCCAGTCAGGCCCCCATTGCCTGGGCTGCAGCCAGAAGCATTCAGGCACAAGTGCATTCAACAAATACTTATTTAATTGTATTGGTGGTTAGAGGGTTGCGATTGATTAAGGTACATTAATGGATCCGTGTCCTCCCTGTATCCAAGATTCTGCCATTTGTCTCTGCAGTTCCTCCCACTGAAGAATCGGAGTATATTTCTCCAGTCCCTAATGTTGGGTTTAGTCATGTGTCTAGCTTTGGCCACTGGAATATTAATCTGTATGACCAAAAACTTGGAAAGTGTGAATTCATTTCTGCTCACTCACTCCTGCTATCACCATGAGAACAAGCCCAGGCCAGACTGCTGCTTCCAGCAGAAGAGACAACAAGAGCAACGTCGAGCTTCCCAGACATGCTCATGCTAGATTGACCAATCCTCAGCTGACCCATAGATCCATGAAAATAAACGATTGTTATATTAAGCCACTGAGATTTGGAGTGACTTGTTATGCAGCATTTTGTGACAACAACTAACTGACACAAGAGTCACCGTCCTTTATCTCTGTAGATTTTAACCAATTTTAATAGCTAGATGGAGATCTTCTAGTTGCCTTTATTTATAATGAATATGACTGTAGAGCTAGTTTGGCCTGACACTACCAGTAACCTACCCAGAAATTCAGAAATACTTTCTTCTCCAACCCGCCCCAACCAACTTTTTGTTTGTTTGTTTTTGGGTTCTCCCTCTTTGCCTAGGCTAGAGTACAAATGGTACAGTCAGAGCTCACTGTAGCCTCAAAATCCTGGGCTCAAGTGATCTTCCCCTTCAGCCTCCTATGTAGCTAAGACTACAGACATGTGCCACCATGCCTGGCTAATTTTTTTATTCTTTGCAGACAGAGGGTCTCACTATATTGCCCAAGTTGGTTTCAAACTCCTGGCTTCAAGCAGTCCTCCTGCCTCACCCTTCCAAAGTGCTAGGATTATAGGCATGAGCCACCACACCCAGCCTCTTCTTCTTTTTAAATAGAAACCTTGTTTTATTCTGACAGTGGGTTGCTTTTTTTTTTTTTTTTTTTTTTAAAGAAAAAGTTGGCCCAGCCCCAGGGAATAAATTTTGACTGCTCTAAACAACCACAGACCAAGGGCCAAATCTGGCCCTCTGACTGTATAAATTAAGTTTTACTGGAATAAAACCAGGTCCATTGATTTATCCATTGTCTACATACGCTTTTAGGCTACGATGGCACCACTGTGTCACTACAAAAGAGGTTATCTAGACAAAAAGCCTAAAATATTACCGTTTGCCTCTTTATGGAAAAAGTTTGCCATTCCCTAGTCTAAGGTTTAGATTCTGAGCTTATCATGTTATCCTACCCCCCCTCACCAGTGACTGGCTCAAAACAAGTCTGTGATTCCATTCTGACTGTTCTACTGAGGGAATTCCGCCTTCTTCTCATGCAGAGCTGATGAGGGTAAGTTGTATTAATAGGACATATGCTCAGGTTTTCTGAAAAATACTTTTATCTAGAAATGCATAGGAATATGCTGGTGCCTGAATGTACCATCCGGGGACCTGGAGATTGACTCACCTGCCTCCAGAGCTGGTGCTCACACTTACTACTGAGAGGCCTGAGGAAACGCCTGCCTACCCACCACCAGAACCTGTATAGGTCACCTGGAGAACTAGAGATCAGCCTGCCACACACACCACCCAGGAGCCCAGTGGTGCACCTGCCCATCTGGCCCACTGCCAGTAACCAAAGAAGCCACCTGGAGTCCCAGGGATTGGCCCACACAGACAGGCTATCATCAGTGCCCACAAACGCTGCCCATGGTCCCTAGTATTGACACACCTGGTCCACCGCCACTACCACTGATGCTGAAGGACAAGACTTCCTGGCATCCCCATCCTCAGCAAAGCCTCACCACAGCCTCCAATAACAACTGCAGTCTGGCCAAGTGTGGTGGCTCACGCCTGTAATCCCAGCACTTTGAGATGCCGAGGCGGGTAGATCACGAGGTCAGGAGTTCGAGAGCAGCCTGGCCAACATGGTGAAACCCGTCTCTACTAAAAATACAAAATTTAGCTGGGCATGGTTGCACGTGCCTATAGTCCCAGCTACTCAGGAGGCTGAGGCAGGAGAATTTGTTGAACACGGGAGGCAGAGGATACAGTGAGCTGAGATTGTGCCACTGCACTCCAGCCTGGTGACAGAGCTAGACTCCATCTCAACAACCACCAAAAAAAAACCACTGCAGTCTAAGCCACTGAATGACTCACAGGCACCACCCATGCCAATTACAGCTGAAGGAATCATATGCAAACTATACCACTGTACCCACCCAGAATCAAAGCCAAAGTGTGATATCCAATGAACACTGTAGATACAGCTGTAAGAAAAGGTCTTTCCCATATAAAAGCCAATCCATAAAATTGGAAGAAATGACTGTTATGTCAGAGGCACAGATAGTCACATAAGGATGCAAGAAATATGAAAAAGGAAACATAACATCTCAAAGAAGCACAATAATTCTCCAGCAACAGATCCAATGAAAAGAAAATCTATGAAATACCTGAAAAAAATTCAGAATAATGTTATTAAAGAAACTCAGGGAGATACAAGAGAACACAGATAATGAATACAAAAAAAAAAAAAAAACAGGAAAACTATTCATGATCTGAATGACAAATTCAACAGAGATAGACAGCATAACAAAGAACCAAACACAAATCCTGGAAGAGAATAAATCATTGAAATAAATACAAAAGATAATTGACAGCTTTAACAATAGACTAGATCAAGCAAAACAAAGAATTTCTGAACCTGAAGACTAGTCTTTTAAAATAATCCAGTCAGACAAAAAGAAAGAAAAAAGAATGAAGCAAGGCTACATGACATATGGGACACATATGTGACCAAAAACTGAAATTCTGGGAGTTCTGGATGGAGATGAGATGGGTAAAGGCATAGAAAACCTATTTAATGAACTAATAACTGAAAACTTCCTGAATGCTTCCAAATGCAGGAAGCTCAAAGATTACCAAGTAAATACAACTCAAAATGGTCTTCTCCAAGGCACAATATGGTAAAATTGTCAAAAGACAAAGAGAAAATGCTAAAAACAGCAAGAGAAAGGCATCAAGTCACTTATAAGAGAATCTCCATCAGGCTAACAGGGAATTTCTCAGCAGAAACCTTACTGGCTAGGAGAAAAGGGGATGTATATTACAAGTACAAAAAAAAAATAATAATAAAAAAATGTAAGCCAAAAATACTCTACCCAGCAAAGCTATCCTTCACAAATGAAGGAGCCTGGCACAGTGGCTCACATCTGCAATTCCAGAGACTCAAGGCTGAGGCAGGAGGACCATTTGATCCCAGGAGTTCAAGGCTGCAGTGAGCTATGATCATGCCACTGTACTCCAGCCTGGGTGACAGAGTGAGACTCCATTGCTAAAAAAAAAAATAGTAATAATAAAAGGGAAAAAAGTATTTCCCAGATAAGCAAAAGACTGTTTGTTTGTGTCTTGTTTGTTGTGGTCCTATAAGAAATGTTTAAGGGAGTCCTACATTGGGAAGTGAAAGAACAATATCTACCATCATGAAAATACATGAAAGTATAAAACTCACTGGTAGTTCAGACACACAAAGAAGAAAGGATTCAAACATCACCACTAAAGAAAACCACCAAACTGCAACCATAAATAATGAGAGAAAAAAGGAACAAAGGTGTATTAGTCTGTTTTCACACTGCTGATAAAGACATACCTGACTGAGACTGAGCAATTTACAAAAGAAAGAGGTTTAATGGACTTACACTTCCACATAGCTGAGGAAGCCTAAGAATCACGTTGGAAGGCAAGGAGAAGCAAGTCATGTCTCACATGGATGGCAGCAATCAAAGATAGAGCTTCTGCAGAGAAACTACCCTTTTCAAAACCATCAGACCTTGTGAGACGTATTCACTATCATGAGAACAGCATGGGAAAGACCTGCCCCCATGACTCAATTACTTCCCACCAGGTCCCTCCCACAACATGTGGGAATTCAAGATGAGACTTGGGTGGGGACACAACCAAACCATATCATTCTGCCCCTGGCCCTTCCCAAATCTCATATCCTCACATTTTGAAACCAATCATGCCTTCCCAACAGTCCCCCAAAGTCTTAACTAAGTTCAGCATTAACTCAAAAGTCCACAGTCCAAAGTCTCATTTGAGACAAGGCAAATCCCTTCTGCCTATGAGCATGTAAAATCAAAAACTAGTTAGTTACTTCCTAGATACAATGTGGGTATAGGCATTGGGTAAATACAGTCATTCCAAATGGCAGAAAATTGCCAAACAAAGGGGCTACAGGACCCATGCAAGCCCAAAATCCAGTGGGGCAGTGAAATCTCAAAGCTCCAAAATGATCTCCTTTGACTCCATGTCTGACATGCAGGTCATACTGATGTATGACCATGGCCTTGGGAGAAAAAAGGCCACAGCTCCACTCCTGTGGCTTTGTATGGTTTAACCCCCCTCCTGGCTCCTTTCACGGGTTGGCATTGAGTGTCTGCAGCTTTTCCAGGCACACAGTGCAAGCTGTCAGTGAATCCACCATTCTGGGGTCTGGAGGATGGTGGCCCTCTTCTCAAAGCTCCACTAGGTGGCGCTGCAGTAGGGACTCTATGTGGGGGCTCCGACCCCACATTTCCCTTCTGCACTGCCCTAGTAGAGTTTCTCCATGAGTGCCCTGCCCCTGCAGCAAACTCCTGCCTGGGTATCTAGGAATTTCCATACACCTTCTGAAATCTAGGCAGCAGTTCCCAAACCTCAATTTTTGACTTCTGTGCACCCACAGGCTCAACACTATGTGGAAGCTGCTAAGGCTTGGGGCTTGCACCCTCTGAAGCCACAGCCCAAGTTGTACCTTGGCTCCTTTTAGCTGCAGCTGGAGTGGCTAGGACTCAGGCACCCTTGGCTGCTCACAACAGGGGTCCCTGGGTCCAGCCCACAAAACCATCTTTTCTTCCTAGGCCTCTGGACCTTTGATGGGAGGGGCTGCCATGAAGACCTGTGACATGCCCTGGAGACATTTTCCCCATTGTCTTGGGGATTCACATTTGACTCCTCGTTACTTAAACAAACTTCTGCAGCCAGATCGAATTTTTCTTGAGAAAATGGGATTTTCTTTTCTATTGCATTGTCAGGCTGCAGATTTTCCAAACTTTCATGCTCTGCTTCCCTCATAAAACTGAAGGCCTTTAACAGCACCCAAGTCATCTCTTGAATGCTTTGCTGCTTAGAAATTTCTTCTATCAGATACCCTAAATCTCAAGTTCAAATACCCTATCAGTTACCCTAAATCTCTCAAGTTCAAAATTCCACAAATCTCTACAGCAGGGGCAAAAAGCCACCAGTCTCTTTGCTAAAACATAACAGGAGTCACCATTGTGCCAGTTCCTAACAAGTTCCTCATTTCCATCTGAGACAACCTAAGCCTAGACTTTATTGTCCATATAACAATCAGCATTTTGGGCAAGTCTCTAGGAAATCTCTTCCAAATTTTCCCACATTTTCCTGTCTCCTTCTGAGCCCTCCAAACTGTTCCAACCTCTGCCTGTTTCCCAGTTCCAAAGTCACTTCCACATATTCAGGTATCTTTTAGCAACACCCCACTTCTGGTACTAATTTACTGTATTAGTCCATTTTCACACAGCTGATAAAGACACATTCAAGACTGGGAAATTTACAAAAGAAAGAGGCTTAATGGACTTACAGTTCTACATTGCTGGGGAGGCTTCAAAATCATTGCGGAAGTCAAGGAGAGGCAAGTCACATCTTACAGGGATGGCAGCAGGCAAAGAGAGAGCTTGAGCAGGGAAACTCCTCCTTTTAAAACCATCAGATCTCATGAGACTTATTCACTATTAAAAGAATAGCATGGGAAATACCTGCCTCCATGATTCAACTACTTCCCATTGGGTCCCTCCCACAACACATGGGAATTCAAGATGAGATCTGAGTGGGGACACAGCCAAACCATATCAAAAGGATATACAAAATAACCAGAAAACAATGAACAAAATGACAGGAATAAATCCTCGCCTATCAATAATAACTTCGAATATGGGTTAAATTACCTACCTAAAAGATACAGTCAGGCTTAATGGATAAAAAGTGACCCAACATCACTTCCCTTGTAAAGACACACACAGACTGAAAGTGAAGGGATGGAAAAAGATATACCACACAAACAGAAATCAAAAATAATCAGGAGTAGCTAAACTTACATCAGATAAAACAGACTTTAAGTCAAAAACTGTAAAAAGGACAAACAAGGTCATTATATGGTAATAAAGGGATCAATTCAGCAACAAAGTATAACAATTCCAAATATGCATGCAACCAACACAAGCGCATCCAGAGACATATAGCAAATATTATTAAATCTACATGGAGAGATAGAGTCCAATAAAATGATAGTTGAGAACTTCAATATCCTACTCTCAGCATTGGACAGTTCATCTAGACATAAAATCAACAAAGAAACATTAGATTTAAGCTGCACTTTGGACCAAATGGACCTAACAGATATTTTCAGAATATTTCATCCAGCAGCAGCAGAATATACAATCATCTCATCAACACATGGAACATTCTCCAGGATAGACCATATGTTAGGACACAGAACAAGGCTCAATAAAATTTTAAAAATTAAAATCATATCAAGTATCTTCTCAGACCACAATGGAATAAAACTTGAAATCAATAAGAAGAAGAAATTTGGAAACTGTACAAATATATGGACATTAAACATGCTATTGAATAATCATTGGGTCAATGAAGAAATTAAGATGGACATCAAAAAAATTTTTTAAACAGAAAATGGAAACACATCATGCAAAACCTATGGGATACAGCAAAAGCAGTACTAGGAGGAAAGTTTATAGCAATAAATGCCTACACCAAAAAAGTAGAAAGATTTCAAATAAACAACCTAATGATGCACCTCAAGGAACTCAAAAAGCAAGAACAAATCAAACACACAATTAGTAGAAAGAAAAAATATAAATAACATAGCAGAACCAAATGCAACAGAGACAAAAAAAATGCAAAGAATCAACAAGATAAAAGTTGGTTTTTTGAAAAGTTAAACAAAATTGATAAACCACTAGTGAGGCTAACCAAAAAAAAAAAAAAAGAGACCAAAATAAATACAATCAGAAATGAAAAAGGAGACATTACAAGTGTTACCAAAGAAATAAAAAGGATAATTAGAGGCTATTATGAAGAATCATATGCTAACAAATTGGAAAACCTAGAGGAAAGGGATAAATTCCCAGACATACACAGCCTACCAAGGTTGAACTAGGAAGAAACAGAAAACGTGAACTGACCCAAAATGAATAGCAGGTTTGAATCAGTAACAAAATGTCTCCCAAAGGAGAAAAGCCCTAGACTAGGCTTTTATGCTGATTTCTACCCAATTTATAAAGAAAAACAAACACCAATTCTTCTCAAACTATTCCCAAAAATTGAAGAGGAAGGAATTCTTCCTAACTCATTGTATAAGGCCAGCATTACCCTGATATCCAATCAAGACAAGGACACAACAAAAGGAGAAAACTACAGGCCAATATTCCTAATGAACACAGATGGTAAAATTCTCAGCATAATACTACCAAGCCAAATCTAATGATGAATGAAAAAGATAATATACCATGATCAAGTGGGATTTATCCCAGGAATGCAAAGGTGGCTCAACATACACAAATCAATACATGTGATACATCACATTGACAAGATGAAAGGCAAAAACTATCTGATCATCTCAGCAGATGCAGAAAAATCACTCAGTAAAACTTACCATTCCTTCATGATGAAAACTCTCAACAAATTAAGCATAGAAGGAACACTTCAACCTAAGAAAAGGCATATATGACAAATCTACAGCTAACATCCTACTCACTGGGAAAAATTGAAAAGCCTTTCCTCTAAGAACTGGAACAAGAGAAGGATGCCCACTTTCACCACTCTTATTCAACACAGTATGGGACATCCAAGCCAGAGTGATCAGACAAGATAAAGAAAAAAAAGGCATCCAAATGGACAAAAGGAAGTCCAATTGTCTCACTTTGCAAATGACATAATCGTATACCTGTAAACAGAAAAACCTAAAGACTCTACCAAAAAACTCTTAAAATAAATTAGGCTGGGCATGGTAGCTCATGCCTGTAATCCCAGCACTTTGGGAGACCAAGGTGGATGGATCACCTGAGGTTGGGGGTTTGAGACCAGCCTGGCCAACATGGTGAAACCCTGTCTCTACCAAAAATACAATTAGCCAGGCATGGTGGTAGGTGCCTGTAATCCCAGCTACTTGGGAGGCTGAAGCAGGAGAATCGCTTGAACCCGAGAAGTGGAGGTTGCAGTGAGCCAAGATTGCACCACTGCACTCCAGCCTGGAAAACAGAGTGAGACTCTCTCACAAAATAAAAAATAAAAAATAAAAAACATTTTTAAAAAAGGATGTATAATTCAGTAAAGCTTCAGGACACAAAATCAACATACAAAAATCAGTAATGTTTCTATATACCAGTAACAAACTAGCTAAAATAGAAATCAAGGAAGAAATTCTATTTACAATAGCTACAAAAATAAAATACCTAGGAATAAACTTAACCAAGGATGAGGAAAAAAAAAACCCAAAAAACCTCTACAATGAAAACCACAAAACACTGATAAAATAAACTGAGAAGGACACAAACAAATGGAAAGGCATCTTATGCTCATGGGTTGGAGTAACTAATACTGTTAAAATGACCATACTACCCGAAGCAATCTAGAGATTCAGTACAATCCCTATCAATTATATTCTTCACAGAAACAGGAAAAAAAAAAACCCTGAAATTCATATGGAACCACAGAAGACCCCAAATAGCCAGAGCAATACTGAGCAAAAAGAACAAAGCTAGAAGCCTCACACTACCTGATTTAAAAATATACTGCAAAGAGGCCGGGCGAGGTGGCTCAAGCCTATATCCCAGCACTTTGAGAGGCCAAGGCGGGTGGATCACAAGGTCAGGAGATCGAGACCATCCTGGCTAACATGGTGAAACCCCGTCTCTAATAATAATAAAAAAAAAATTAGCCAGGCGTGGTGGCGGGCATCTGTAGTCCCAGCAGCTACTCGGGAGGCTGAGGCAGGAGAATGGCATGAACCCGGGAGGAAGAGCTTGCAGTGAGCAGAGATCACACCACTGCACTCCAGCCTGGGCGACAGAGCAAGACTCCATCTCAAAAAGAAAAAAAAAAAAAAAAAATATATATATATATATATATATGTGTGTGTGTGTGTATAAATATATTTGTATATATATGTGTATATATATACGTATATGTGTGTGTATATACGTATATATGTATGTACGTATATATGTATGTATATATGTATATATGTACGTATGTATGTATATATACGTATATACGCATATATATACGTATATATGTATATGTGTGTATATACGCATATATATACGTATATATGTATATGTGTGTATATACGTATATATGTATATATTTATATGTATATATACACGTATGTGTATATATACACGTATATGTGTACATATATACACGTATGTGTACATATACACGTATGTGTACATATATACACGTATGTGTACATATACACGTATATGTGTACATATATACACGCATGTGTACATATACACGTATATGTGTACATATATACACGTATGTGTACATATACACGTATATGTGTACATATATACACGTATGTGTACATATACACGTATATGTGTACATATATACACGTATATGTGTACATATATACACATATATGTGTACATATATACACGTATATATATACGTATATATGTATATATATACACGTATATATACACGTATATATGTATATATATACACGTATATATATACACGTATATATGTATATATATACACGTATATATATACACGTATATATGTATATATACACGTATATATATACACGTATATATGTATATATATACACGTATATATATACACGTATATATGTATATATATACACGTATATATACACGTATATATGTATATATATACACGTATATATGTATATATATACACGTATATATACACATATATATGTATATATATACACGTATATATACACGTATATATGTATATATATACACGTATATATACACGTATATATGTATATATACACGTATATATACACGTATATATGTATATATATACGTATATATACACGTATATATGTATATATACGTGTATATATATAAGTATATATGTGTGTGTGTATATAGATATACATATATATATATATTACAAAGCTATAGTAACCAAAACAGCGTGTACTGGTATTAAAACAGACACAAAAACAAAGGAAACAGACTAAAGAATCCAGAAATGAATCCACATATTTACAGCTAACTGATTTTCAAGAAAGCTGTCAAGAACATGCATTGAATAAATGACACCCTCTTCATTAAATGGTGCCAGAAAAACTAGATATCCAAACACAGAAGAATAAAACTACACCCTTATCTCTCATCACTTAGAAAAATAAACTCAAAATCAGTTAAAGACTTAAATGTAACAGCCACAACTATAAAACTACTAGAAATAAACACAGGAGAAACGCTTGAGAACAAAGATTGTATGGCTAACGCTTAAAAAGTACAAGCAACAAAAACAGACAAATGGGATTATATTAAATTAAATTCCTTCTGTATATCAATTAAAACAATCAACAGAGTGAAAAGACAACACCCCTCCCTTACACCACACACAAAAATTAACTCAAGATGACCTGCAGACTTAAATGTAAAACCCATAACTATAAAAACGCTGAAGACAACCTAGGCAATACCATCTGGTACATAGTGATGGGCAAAGAGTTCATGGTGAAGATGCCAAACGCAATTGCCACAAAAGCAAAAATTGGCAAATGGGATCTAATTAAATGAAAGAGCTTCTACACAGCAAAAGAAACTATCAAAAAATAAACAGACATTTCTCAAAAGAAAATATACAAATCACCAAGTTTATGAAAAAATATTCAACATCACTAATCATCACGGAAATGCAAGTCAAAACCACAATGAGATATCATCTCACACTTGTTAGAATGGGTATTAAAAAGACAAAGCACAACAAATGCTGGCAAGCATGTGAAGAAAAGGAAATTATTGTATATTGTTGGTGGGAATGTAAATTGGTACAGCCATTATGAAAAAAAGTACAGAGATTTCTCAAAAAACTAAGAACAAATCTACCATATGATCCAGCAATCCCACTCCTGGGTATATATCCAAAAAAAGATATCAGTGTATCAACGGGATACCCATACCCCCATATTTACTGCAGCACTATTTGCAATAGCCAAGATATGGAATCAATCTAAATGTCAATCAATGGATGAATGGATAAAGAAAATGGGAATATACGCACAATGGAATAGTATTTAGCCATAAAAAAATGAAATCCTGTCATTTTCAGCTAATTGGGTGGAATTAAAGGTCATAACGTCAGGTGAACTAGGCCATGCACAGAAAGAAAACTATTGCATGTTCTCACTTATATGAGCAGCTTATGCTCCTGGAAATCAAAGCGGGGCCATATTTCAGGTCAGTAGGGTCACGGATAGAGACCACAGTTATGGACTTGTGTGCCCTGGAGCTATATAAAATTGATATCATGGAGATAAAGAGTAGAATGATAGTTACCAGAGGCTAGGAATAGGAGAGGTTTGAAAAGAGGTTGATTAATGGGTATAAAAATATATAATAGAAGGAATAAGATCTAGTGTTTATTATCACAGAAAGTGACTACAATAATTTATTGTATGTTTCTTTTTTTTAATTTCAATAGTTTTTAGGGAACAGGTGGTATTTTGTTACATGGATACGTCCCTTAGGGGTGATCTCTGAAATTTTGGCATACCCATCAGCAAAGCAGTTTACCCAATGTATAGTCTTTTATCTCTCACCCCCTCCCACCTTCCCCCTGAGCCCCCAAAGTCCACTGTTTCATTCTTGTGCCTTCGCATCATCATAGCTTAGCTCCCACTTACGAGTGAGAACATGCAATGTTTGGTTTTCCATTCCTGAGTTACTTCATTTGAAATAATGGTCTCCAACTCCATCCAGGTTGTTATGAATGCCATTATTTTATTCCTTTTTAAGGCTAAGTAGTGTTCTATGGTATACATATATATATATAACACATTTTCTTTATCCACAAATTGATTGATGGGCATTTGGGCTGGTTCTGTAGTTTTGCAACTGTGAATTCTGCTGCTGTAAACATGTGTGCAAAAGTATCTTTTTCATATAATGACTTCTTTTCCTCTGGGTAGATACCTAACAGTGGGATTACTGGATCAAATGGTAGATGTACTTCTAGTTCTTTAAGGAATCTTCATACTGTTTTCCATAGTGCTGGTACTAACTTACATTCCCACCATCAGTGTAAAAGCGTTGTCTTTCACCACATCCATGCCAACATCAATTTTTGTTTTTTTTGTTTTGTTTTGTCTTTTGTTTTTTGTTTTTTTGAGATAGAGTCTCGCTCTGTCGCCCAGGCTGGAGTACAATGGTGCCATATCAGCTCACTGCAACCTCTGCCTCCCGGGTTCAAGCAATTCTCCTGCCTCAGCCTCCTGAGTAGCTGGGATTACAGGCAACTGCCACCATGCCCGGCTAATTTTTATATTTTCAGTAGAGACTGGGTTTCACCATGTTGGTCAGGCTGGTCTCAAACTCCTGACCTCGTGATCCGCCCACCTTGGCCTCCCAAAGTGCTAGGATTACAGGCGTGAGCCACCGCGCCCGGCCCTCTTTTTGTTTATTTTACACGTGGTATTGCATTGTGGTTTTGATTTGCATTTCCCTGGTAATTAGTGATGTTGAGCATTTTTTCATATGTTTGTTGGCCATTTGTATATCTTCTTTTGAGAATTGTCTATTCATGTCCTTGGCACATTTTTTGATGAGATTATTTTTTTCTTGCTGATTAGAGTTCCCTGTAGATTCTGACATTAGTTCTTTGTCAAATGCAGTTTGTGAAAATTTTCTCCCACTCTGTGGGTGATCTGTTTACTCTGCTGATTATTTCCTATGCTGTGCAGGAGGCTTTTAGTTTAATTAAGTCCCATCTATTTATCTTTGTTTCTGTTGTATTTGCTTTTGGGTTCTTGGTCATAAACTCTTTGCCTAAGCCAATGTGTAGAAGCATTTTCCAATGTTATCTTCTAGAATTTTTATGGTTTCAGACCTTAGATTTAAGTCTTTGATCCATCTTGTGTTGATTTTTGTATAAGGTGAGAGATAAGGATCCAGTTTTATTCTTCTACATGTGGCTTGCCAATTATCCCAGCACTATTTGTTGTATAGGGTGTACTTTTCTTACTTTGTTTTTGTTTACTTTGTCAAAGATCAGTTGGCTGTTAAGCATTTGGCTTTATTTCTAGGTTCTCTACTCTGTCCCATTGGTCATGTGCCTATTTTTATACCAGCACTATGCTGTTTTGGTGACTATAGCTTTGTAATATAGTTTGAAGTTGGGTAATGTGATGCCTCTAGATTGGTTCTTTTTGCTTAGTTTTGCTTTGGCTTTGCAGACTCTTTTTTAGTTCCAAATGAATTTTGGCATTTTTTTTTTTCTAGTTCTATAAAGAATGATGATGGTACATTGATAGGAACTCATTGAATTTGGAGACTGCTTTTGGCAGTATGGTCATTTTCACAATATTGAGTCTACCCATCCATGAGCATGGAATGTGTTTCCATTTGTTTGTGTCATCTATGATTTCTTTCAACATTGTTTTGTAGTTTTCCTTGTAGGGGTCTTTCACCTCCTTGGTTAGGTATATTCCTAAGTATTTTATTTTTACAGCTATTATAAAAGGGTTTGATTTGATTCTCAGCCTGGTAGATGTTGGTGTATAGCACTGCTACTGATATGTGTACATAGATTTTGTATCCTGATAAATAGATTTATTGTGTATTTCTAAATAGCAATAAGATTTGAAATATTCCCAACACAAAGAAATGATCAATGTTTGAGGTGATTAATATCCTAAAGACCCTGACTTGATCATTACACATTACATGCATGTACCAGAATCTCACATGGACCCCATAAATGTGTACAATTATTCTCTATCAAAAACATTTTTTTTTAAGAAACATGCAGGAATACACTGTACCTCTTCCTTGCTGTGTCTGGATATTGTCACATGAGGACTTGACATGCGGATTGTGGCAGCCTCTGTGACCAAGAGCGGAAGACAACAGCAGCATAGAAACCTCAAATGAAAAATCTAACATCTCAAGCTACTAATTTAGCCAACCTTGGCATCAGCTATCTCTGGTCTTTGTATATGAGGTGATAAGCCCCCACTGTTCAAGTTGGGTGTCTATCAATTGCTGCAGAATAGAAGTTAATGAGGCTTCCTCCTCCTGGATCCCCTACTAGACCCTGACATGCCCATTCAGTCACAGGCAGAAAGGGAAGCACAGGGTAAGGAGACCTGGCTGACTGTGCCAGACGCAGATCTTACCTGTCCTGCTTAGAACACTCAAAGCTCAATTGGTTAAACAAAAAAAGGAAAAATACAATAAGGAGTATAGCACTCCCCAGATGCAACTTAATCTAACACTCTATACTTTAGATTTTCTAGACATACATAGAAATCAGACCACTACTTCTGCAGAACATTTTACTAGTAAAAATAATAGGCCACGTGAGGGAAAACTGATTTGGTGGAAAGACAACAAAAACAAAATATGGGAAATAGGTAAGGTGATAATATGGGGGAGAGGTTTTGCTTGTGTTTCACCCGGAGAAAATCAGCTTCCTGTTTGGATACCCACTAGACATTTGAAGTTCTACAATGAACCTATCAAGATGCAAATGAAAGTGCCTCTGCAGAGACAGAAAACCCGCAGTCGAGCATCATCGACTCGCAGGGTGAACAAAATGGTGATATCAGAAGAACAGATGAAGTTACAATCCACCAAGGAAACGGCACATGTGGAGAGCCAGGGAGAGGAAGAGAAAGAAAAAGAGACAGAGATCAGAGAGAGACACAGAAAGTGAGACTGGGGAGAGAGACAGTGTAAAAGAGAGAGAGAGAGAGACCGTAAAAGAAGGGAGACAAAGAGATAAAAGGTGCGAGTGAGCAGGTGAGGAGAAAGACTGAAAACTATGAGAAACAGCAACTAAGACACAAAGGAGGTGGGAGACTGCCTTGGTGCCGCAGCACCCACACCGTCCTCTTGCCCCGTCACTTGGGTTAAAACCACCGGAAATTCCACTATTGCAAATTTTTTATTAATCCTTGTATGTCTGTCCTTTCTATTTTTAGTCTACAGGTGTATCCAGCAGCTCCAGAGAGACAGCGACCAGCGAGAAGGGGCCATGATGATGGAGGTGGTTTTGTCAAAACGAAAATGGGGATATGTAGGGAAAAGAAAGAGAGATCAGACTGTTACTGTGTCTACATAGAAAGGGAAGACATAAGAGACTCCATTTTGAAAAAGACCTGTACTTTAAACAATTGCTTTGCTGAGATGTTGTTAATCTGTAGCTTTGCCCCAGCCACTTTGCCCCAACCACTTTGACCCAATCTGGAGCTCATAAAAACATGTGTTGTATGAAATCAAGGTTTAAGGCATGTAGGGCTGTGCAGGACGTGCCTTGTTAACCAAATGTTTGCAAGCAGTATACTTGGTAAAAGTCATCACCATTCTCTCGTCTCAATAAACCAGGGGCACAATGCACTGTGGAAAGCCGCAGGGACCTCTGCCCTTGAAAGCTGGGTATTGTCCAAAGTTTCTCCCCATATGATAGTCTGAAATATGGCCTCGTGGGATGAGAAAGACCTGACGGTCCCCCAGCGCGACACCCATAAAAGATCTGTGCTGAGGTGGATTAGTCAAAGAGGAAAGACTTGCAGTTGAGATAGAGGAAGGCCACTGTCTCCTGACTGCCCCTGGGAACTGAATGTCTCGGTATAAAACACGATTGTACATTTGTTCAGTTCTGAGATGGGAGAAAAACCGCCCTATGGTGGGAGGCGAGACATGTTTACAGCAATGCTGCCTTGTTCTTCTTTACTCCACTGAGATGTCTGGGTGGAGAGAAACATAAATCTGGCTTACATGCACGTCCAGTCATAGTACCTTCCCTTGAACTTCATTATGACATGGATTCTATTGCTCACGTTTGTTGCTGACCTTCTCCTTATTATCACCCTGCCCTCCTACTACATTCCTTTTTGCTGAAATAATGAAGATAATAATCAATAAAAACTGAGGGAATTCAGAGACCTGTGCCAGTGCAGGTCCTTAGCATGCTAAGCGCAGGTCCCCTGGGCCCGCTGTTGTTTCTCTATACTTTGTCTCTGTGTCTGATTTCTTTTCTGTCTCTCATCCCACCCGACAAGAAATACCCACAGGTGTGGAGGGGCAGGCCACCCCTTCAGTATGAGATTACAGGCATGAATAACCCCACCTGGCCACCTAACTCACTCTTGAGAGGCCAGAAGTGATGCTGGAACTTTCTTCCTCTGTGGGTGAAAAAGGGAAAATTAGGGAGAACAGAAGGCATGAGAGATGCAGCGATGGATATGTCTATATGGAGCTTCTGTCTGCATCCAGTAGAAAATGCATCTGTAGGCACCAGGTTTAAGAGCAAAATCCTGGAGTCTTGTCTGTTAGCATTCTCCTTCCCCACAAACCAGAGAAGGAATATATTTGCTCCAGCACACCCGGATGTAGGAAATGTCACATTCCTATTTCTGTAACTTCACTTAAATCTGCTCTGAGTCTCTGGATGCCTGGCAGGTGGAGAATTCAATCTTGTCGTTACCAGTATTCCTTTCCCTTCTCCATGGGCTTATGTAAGAATTCTGGGCTTACACACTGTTGGAAAGCCAGGTAGGAACTACATCCCCCGAACTCTCCATTCTTCCAGCTGCTCATGATCCATCAACCTTCTTTGGGCCACCTGCTATAGCAAGACCCTCCTCACAGCATCATTCCACTGACCCACAGGCTCAGCCCCAGGGACCCTCACTAGAACAGGTCTCCACTATGCATAGGAACTCACAAAAACCTTCTCTTCATCTTGGCTTCTGCTGATATCCAGCCACTCCCCCACTTCTCATCTTAAACACAGATGGCAGCTCCTTCCCATCATTCCAAAACTGGGGGATTGTCCAGCCAAATTCTCTGCAGACACCAAAGCTTCACCCGTCCTCTTCAGGGAGGTGATGCAAGGGCATCTGATTTCTTTGGAAGCCCAATTCTGGCCTCTCTTTGGGGTGGGCTGAGAGTGGGAACCAGACTCTCTTTTCCAAATGTCATGTTTATCTTGTTCATCATTATATTATCTCCAATGCCTGGCACATAGTAGGCACTACAGACTGACACATAGTAGGTGCTATTAGTGTCTGTGTAATGGGACTCTTGAGGTTGAAGCTATTAGCAGAAACCTGCCAAGCAAAAGGATGGAAAACCAACCACCAAAAAAAAAAAAAAAAAAAGAAAAGAAAAAGAAAACAATCGTGGCTTTGAGCTCTAAACACACAAGGCACCAGCCCAAGTTTGGGCAATTTTACTACAACAGCCATTTTGCCTCCAAACAAACTGGCACTGGAAACCTCCCTCTGCCTCTTAAAGAGAACCAGTTTCCCTTTCTCTAAGTGGACAGCATTTCTCCCCGGTGGCAGTACCCAGCCCACTGCCACCAGCAAACGACTGCAGCCAGGAGCCAAGAGCTTGATAGTTTAAAGAATAGATCTTATAGGGAAAAACAAAGTAACATCCACATAAATCTGGAACTACCACCACTTTCCAGAGGCCGAATCCCATTTGTAAATTCTCTTGCGTGTCAAGCACCTTGCAGTCAGCTCAACTACACACTTTTGGGATTCGTTGCAGAGAAGAGTGAAGGTTATCTGCAAAATAAAGGAACCAGGGCTCAGAATTCCCAGAGCAATCCATGACAGAGGAGGTGAGTTGAAAAGGGAAGGGTGAAGTCAAAGGAGAGAAGTCAATGAGTTGGCCAACACCAAGCAAGGATCATGGGACCCTCTCCACGGCCCCACATCTCAAATGAAGTCAACAAAACCCATCAATGCTTGGTGTAAGTGTTGTATGCTCCTGGAAATGAAAGCAGGGGCCAAATTTCAGGTCAGTAGGGTCAGGGGTAGAGGCAGCTGTCATGGACTTGTGGGCCCTGGAGGATGGGATGATTCTGAGACATTGAATCCCTACACTGATCTCAGTAGAAATCTCAGGTAGGGCTTCAACATTCGTCGACAAAGGACTCTGTGGGCATCAGAGCAACAGCCTTGGTGCATGTCCAAGCTCCATCAATCCCAACTGGGGCTTTGAACAAGTTACTTATTTTTTTTAACTAACGTTATTTTAATTGACAAATCATAATTGTACCCATGTATGTGATGTTTTGATATATGTATACAATGTGGGATGATTAGATCAAACTAATGAACACGTCCATCCCCTAATTTACTGACAATTTTCATGATGCGACATTTGAAATGTACCCACTTAGTTATTTTGAAAGATACATTATTATTGACTATAGTCACGCTGCTGTGCTATAGATTTCAAAACATATAATCCAGCAACCCAACTTCTGGATATAGACCAAAAAAAAATCAAAATCAATATGTCGAAGGGATCCCTAAATTCCTATGTTCACTGCAGCTCTATTCACAATACCCAAGATATAGAATCAACCTAAGTGTCCATCAGTGGATGAAAGGATAAAGCAAATGTACTATATACACACAAAGGAATACTATTAACCCTTAAAAAAGAAAGAAATCCTGTCATTTTCAACAACATAGATGAACTTGAAAGACATTGTGTTAAGTGAAATAAGCCAGGCACAGAAAGACAGATACTGCATGATTTTATTGTATGTGGAATCTAAAGAAGTTGAACTCACAGAAATAGAGAGTAGGACAGTGGTTATCAGGGGCTGGGGTGAAGGAAAGGGAGGGGATAGGAGACACTGGTCAAAGGGTACAAAGTTTCCAATAGGAAGAATAGTTTTAAACAAGCTAAACTCCTCTGAAAGCTCAGTTCCTCATCTGTAGAGCACGGATACATCATTAACCTTCTAAGGATGTTGCTGTGAGAGTAAGAGATGATGTTCAGCACAATACCTAACGCACAGTCAGGTCTCCTTAAGCTTGAACCTGCATCGCCATGACCTCTACATCTCAGGACAGAAAGGCTCACAGCCAGTGTCTCAGTTCCCAATGAAAAGTGGATCCCAGACCAGGCTGGACAGCAGGATCCCTAGGGGATACCCCACCCTACTGAGTCAGAATCACCAGAGGTAGAACCTGGGTATGTATGTATGTGTGTATGTGTATGTGTGTGTGTGTGTGTGTGTGTGTGTGTGTATGTACAAGAGACAGGGTCCTGCTCTGCAGTCCAGGCTGGAGTGCACTGTCACAATCATAGTTCACTGCAGCTTCAAATTACCCCTGGTCTCAATCCATCCTCCCGTCTCAGCCTTCAGAGTAGCTGAGACTACAGGCGCATGCCACCAAGCCCGGATACTTTTTTTTTTTTTTCTTCCTTTTGGAGAGAGTCTCACTCTGTTGCCCAGGCTGGAGCGCAATGGTGCAATCTTGGCTCACTGCAACCTCTGTCTCCCGGGTTCAAGTGATTCTCATGCCTCAGCCTCCTGAGTAGCTAGGATTACAGGCATACACCACCACATCAGCGTAATTTTGCTCTTTCATTGTTGTTTCTTGTTTGTTTTTCACAAATAGGACTTTTTATTTGGTACTGTTTTAAGTCTGAACTTTAAACAGATTCTTGGACTGGTGGTTCCTATCCATCAGCTCATTCAACTTTAGCATGTGTCTCGTCCCTAGTGGGTTTTCCAGAACTACTACCTCCACCACGAAGCTCCATGCCTTTCAAACCCAGGGTTCTCCAGCATTTTTACTTTTCTAATGAAGACATCATGGAGAGGATAAATTGGCAAACCTTTTCTGTATCTTTTCCAATGTTGTCTGGAATCAATTTATTGACCACTTCTTTCAAGTCATTTGTCTGCACCTCTCAGGTCATGATTTCCATCATCTTCTTCTGGATTTGGCAGACTGTTGGTGCTAAGCATAAGAGGTCTTCAGTATCTGATTGTTGTGTTTTTTAGTAAAACCAACACAAAACAGATGAAAGAAGTAACCATCGGTAGTCCTGACATCAACATGAGCTTCAACCATCGTTGAACATTTTTCAACCATGGAACATATTTTGTCACAGGTAAGACCCATGCCATAGAAATTAGTCAGGCAGTTTTTGTCCTGAACATCTTCAGTAATCAGCTTGAATTTTCTAAATGCAACTTCATCATTCTGCAAATCAGCAAGACTCACTTCAAACAGAAGACCCTTGAGACCATCAGATGCAATTTGGGTTCCTTGGGTCCTGGCGACCAAGTCTTTCCAGTATTTCTTATATTGAACATAGCAGGTGCTTTCACATCATACTGATCTTTCTTAGAGAATGGACCAACTACTTTCTTCTTAACTCCCTTTTTGCCACCTTTCATAAGGCACTTGTTCTTAACAACCGCCATGGTGCTGCTTGGAGTACCAAAAGGCTAAATTTTATATTTTTGGTAGAGACGGGATTTCAGGATGTTGGCCAAGCTGCTCTTGAACTCCTGATGTCAGGTGATCTGCCCGCCTCTGCCTCCCAAAGTGCTGGGATTACAAGTGTGGACCACTGCACCCAGCTGTTATTTATTTTTTCTTTTTTTGTACAGACAGGGTCTTGCCATGTTGCCAAGGCTGGCCTGGAACTCCTGGCTTCAAGCAATCCTCCCACCACAGCCTCCCAAAGCACTGGGATTTCAGGTGTGAGCCACCATGCCCAGCCTGGAATCTATTTTTAAAGCCAATCAAGCGTTGAATAAAATTGCAACTTGGGCTGTTTTTTCTTTGCATTTTTTACATTTCAATGGTTTTCAATATATTCAGAGATATACACAAACATTACCAGTCAATTTTAGAACATTTCATGACCTCAAAAAGAAACCTCATACCCTTTAGCTAACACCCCCATCCTCCCATGCCCCTACCACCCCTAAGCAACCACTAATCGACTTCCTATTTCTGTAGATTTCCATCTGAATGAAATCATGTAGAATGTGATCTTTCATCTGTTTTGAAGATTCATCCACGCTGTAGCGTATGTACTATCCTCCTTTTTGTGATCAAATAATATTCCACCATGTGGGTAGACAACAATAGGTGTATCTCTTCATCTGGTGACGGGCATTTGGATTAATTCTCTCTTTGGGTTATTAGGAGTGATGCTACTGCAATTATTCATGTACAAAATTTTGTGTGGACCTGTGCTTTCATTTTTGAATATGAAAATACTGCGCATCTCCAAGGAAGACATACAAGTGGTCAATAAGCACATGAAAAGATGCTCAATGAAATTCATCATCAGGGAAACAGAAATCAAAACCACAATTAGATACCACTTCATACCCATAAGCATGGCTAGAATCGAAGATAGAGAAAATTGGCCTGGTGTGGTGGCTCATGCCTGTAATCCCAGCACTTTGGGAGACCGAGGCAGGTGGATCACCTGAGGCCAGGAGTGTGAGACCAGCCTGGACAACATGGTGAAACCCTGTCTGTACTAAAAAAATACAAAAATTAGCCAGGCATGGTGGCAGGTTCCTATAATCCCAGCTACTCGGGAGGCTGAGGCAGGAGAGTAACTTGAATCTGGAGGCAGAGGTTGCAGTGAGCTGAGATTGTGCCACTGCACTCCAGCCTGGGCGACAGAGCAAGACTTTGTCTCAAAAAAAAAAAAAAAAAAAAAAAAAAAAAAAAAAAAAAACAGAAAATAACAAGTTTTGGTGAGGATGCAGAGAAACTAGAACCTTCATACACAGCTGGTAGGAATTAAAATGGTGTAGCCACTGTGAGAAACAGTTTAACAACTTCCCAAACAATTCTACATAGAGTTACCAAATGACCTAGCAATTGTACTCCTAGATATAAGCCCAACTTGGGCTCTTTCAATCTATGGAAAATGAACTGTGGGTACTTGGCAAGAACAAAGACGGAGAGAGGCAGAAATGCTGCCATGAGGGCACATTGATTGGTCTCTAGTACACATGGTTTCTACTGCAAATGGTCTCTAAATGACTTCATCAGTTGCTCAGAAAAAAAATCACCCTCTGCTCCAATCGTGGAGGAAGAAGTATGGATTGGACCTGGTGAGCCACGGTAAGACTGACTGCTAAACTTTATGAATGATGAGGGGATTTGCACGTATAATCTTAACTGTACATCAAATGTTAATTTTTTATTTTATCCACTGTCTTTGAAAACCTAACTCTTGACTAAGAACTGACTTTCCTGTACTTGTTGTTGACTCTAAGTAAATTTCCAATTCCACATAGTCCAAAGATGATGTGCTGAGAAATCTCTCAAAGGAAAAATGCTAAGAATACAGGCAGAGTTATGCGGCAAATTTTGCAGAATTAACACAAATTGCACTTGTGGGTATGAAGCACAAAACATTTTCATGGGTAAAGAAAAAAGTGTTCTTCATTCTAGTAGACGCTGCAGGATGAGGCCGATCAAGGTGTCTGCCCAGCCAGACCTTGGGCTCTTACCTAGCTTGTGTTAGAGTCAACTCTGAGAGAGTCTGTATTTCAGTCATCTTTTTTTTTGCCATGGAATCTTGCTCTGTCTCCCAGGCTGGAATGCAGCGGTGTGATCTCAGCTCACTGAAACATCTGCCTCCTGGGTTCAAGCGATTCTCCTGTCTCAGCTTCCCAAGTATATGGGACTACATGTGCATGCCACCATGCCTGGCTAATTTTTGTATTTTTAGTAAAGACGTTTCATCATGTTGGCCAGGCTGTGCTCAAACTCCTGCCCTCAAGTGATGCGCCTGCTTTGGCCTCCCAAAGTGCTGGGATTACAGGCATGAGCCACCATGTCCGGTCTCAGTCATCTTTTTATCCTCCACACCTGGCAAGTTCTAGACACACTGTGGTTCCATACAAGTTTGTTGAATAAACAGGAGACAGAAAGTGGGAATTCTGGAAGTAGAGAAGATTCCAGAAATTGTGCATATTTCCCAGAGACTGTGGCCCAATTCCTCAGTCCTGCCAGAGTTTCTCTATCTCAACTCAAACCTTATGTATGGGCCCAGGTGCAGTGGCTCACACCTGTAATCCCAACACTTTAGGAGGCTGAGGTGCGCAGATCACTTGAGGCCAGGAGTTTGAGACCAGCCTGGCCAACATGGTGAAACCCCGTCTCTACTAAAAATACAAAAATTACCCAGGCATGGTGTTCTGCACCTGTAGTCCCAGCTACTCAGGTGGCTGAGGCACAAGCATTGCTTGAACCCAGGAGGCGGAGGTTGCAGTGAGTCACGATTATGCCACTGTACTCTAGCCTAGGCAATAAAGCAAGACTGTCACAAAAGAAAAAAAAAAAAACCCTTAAGTGTGGGCCTTGTTACAGAATTAATGTTTATATGGACAATATGTACATGGGTGTATGTTAAGAGCATGAGCCATCCACAAGATTTTAGCAAAGTCCATTTGGAAAGCTCAATGCTTTGGGCTTCCACTTGCTTTGCTGCCTCTGTCCTCAGAAGGAGGCTTCATCCTTCCATGTAACCAGCAAATCCTTTATGCAGAGATGTACACAACACACTCCTCTCCTTGGCTATGACACCTTGAAATGGTCCTCTTGGTGGCCCCTGGTGCTCATTTCAGAGTAGTTCAAATTAAGGTGATCAGCTTTCATGCCAATCACTCTACAAATTACTCCTATTATGACCAATTTTTCTAAATGCTTTATTGAATTATTACTTAAAGAAATGTGCACATAGAAGAGGTCAACACAGTACTTTTCTTACAAACTGAACATACTGGCCAGAAGCAGTGGCTCATGCCTGCCATCCCAGCACTTTGGGAGGCCGAGGTGAGCAGATTGCTTGAGCCCAGGAGCTTGAGACCAGCCTGGGCAGCATAGTGAGACACTCCTCTCTACAAAAAATAAATAAATAAAAAATTAGGCAACAGTGGTGGCACCTGCCTGTAGTCCCAGCTACTAGGGAGGGCTGAGGTGGGAGGACTGCTGGAGCCCAGGAGACAGAGGCTGCAGTGAGCCATGACGGTGCCACTGTGCTCCAGCCTAGGTGACAGAGCAAGATCCTGCCTCAAAATCAACAACAACAACAAAAAAAAACTGAACATCTCCATATTACTGACACCCAATTCAAGAAACAAAATATTACAGCCCCTTCCAGGATATTCCTGGGGTCTCTTCCATCTCTACTAACCCCTGACTACAAACAGCCTCCACCTATTTCACCTGACATTGTACTTTATGAAAGCAGCAGTTCTCAGATGGGGCTATTTTGCCCCCTGGGGACATTAGGGAATATCTGGAGACACTGAGGGTTGTGTCTACTTGGGGGGAGTTGTGTTACTGCATCCAGTGAGTCCAGGGATCCAGGGATGCCGCTCAACATCCTGAAATGCACAGGGAACCCCCACACATAGAACAGAGAAATTGCTGAGCCAAAATGTCAGCAGTGTCACAGCTGACACCCTGATATACACACTATCACACAGTATCTGCTCTTTCGGGCTCAGGATCTTTTTCATTCTAATCATCTCATAGGAAACAGAAATGTCATTTAGAGGTAGGTAGAGTCCAAATCAAAGAAGAACCTGAGTTTTTTTTTTTTTTTTTTTAATCAGCCTGGTGCCTTTAGAGCTAGGATTTAGTTTCTATTCTTTCTGTCTCATTTTCAAGTGATTTTTTCTTCAAATGGCATCTACTGGGCTCAAGAACTGGAGATCCCCACAAAGCTGAGATTCACATGGGAATTTTGTACACACCCACACAGGTATACACTTCCATTTACATGCAGACTTCCACCCACAGATACACACATCCGGAGACCAAGACAGAACGCAAACTGCCCCATAAAAGCACGGTTCCCCAAACAGGAGAAACACACCATTCACTCCAGGGAGGTATCTATTTGTTTAATTCAGCCTCTGATAGTCAGGCTGTTGCCAAGCCCAGCTCTGAAACTCTTCCCCTCTAGGAAAGAAAGATGGATTTTTTCTTTACTCAAGAATATAGATCTAAAAAAAAAAAAACACTTCTGCATCTCAAAGCAGGCTCTACCTCCTGAGCTACACGTATTGATCAGCTTTTTATTGTCAATTTTCTTTTAATTGAATTGGAGAAAAATATAAATTATGTTCTTACTGACAGTTTGGAATCAGTTACACTAAATCCAATTCTCTGGGTTCTCATGATTAAGGTGTTTAATTTGGGGGACAACAAAGCAAAAGCATTGGTCGTGTTTTAATATAATTAGTACAGGATATATCTAAGGGGTTCAAGTATCACTGTAGCAAGAAGCTCATTCTGCAGTAAAAGGGGGATTCTGCCACTAGGATTGAGTGAGGGTGGTTCATGGCTGCACCGTTTCATCAATGTCTCTTCAAGAGTCCATGGAATGTGGAATGGGAAAGACTGAAATAGTGCAAGTCTTGGCTAAGCTTCTATTAAGGGGTGTTAGGAGCTGATAAAATAACCTGGTCTTTATAGACATCCCACACTGTAGTTCTCTAAGCTACAGATTCTCAGATTTTTCTATTTTATGAACGAGTAAAAATATTTTTTTAATTTGAGAACCAACATAAGGTTGCTATCTTTTTTTTCTTTTGGGTAAGAAGGAACTTTTTTAAACTACCAGTTACACACACACACACACACACACACACACACACACACACACACACACAGAAATTCCACCATGATTGGTCAGAATAGGTGAGGTTTTGCTGCAATAACAAACAACTCCCAAATCTTGGTAACTTCAAACATCAGAAGTTGTTTTTCTCACTCATGCTTCATCTGCAGGGAGGTGTGGGGTGC
The DNA here is from genome assembly GCF_000001405.40 of Homo sapiens. Lineage (NCBI taxonomy): Eukaryota > Metazoa > Chordata > Mammalia > Primates > Hominidae > Homo > Homo sapiens. Next base: position 5,252,844 of record NW_018654717.1, read on the forward strand.
TCTGTTTCCCATCAAACTTGCCCTAAGACTAAGGTTAATGGGGGTTGCAATACCTCGAGTATCACCAAGCAGGGAACAGAGGGAGAAGAATGTTAGAGAGTCTTGTACTAAGAATTAAATGCTCCAGGCTAGAAGTCTAACATTGCACCTCTGCCCCCAGCCTCTTGGCCAGTACTAGCCACATCCCCTCCCCCACCACAGGGCAATACATGAAGACAGGAGAATTGGATACATTACAAATTTCTACCCCATGGCATTTCATAAAAGAGAAAAAAATGCCAATACAAAAATGTTTTAATAGAATAGAATATATACATTTTTAGAATAAAGAACAATCCTCCAAAAAGGACAGCTGGTGGTCTCTCAACAATGGGCACATTTCTGTGACATTTTCTCTGTTTTTCCATTTTATCCTTGACCTATGAACATTTTATACAGATGGTCCAAAGAACACCATTTGGGGACCACTGCTGTAATCAGGTGATGAAAACGGCCCCAAGAACAGAGCACAGTCTCTTTAGCAAAGACCCAGCAGGGCCAGGGTGACCATGTTCTCACCATCAATGTGCAGACATCCACCTGCAGCATCCTCACATCCCAACATCAAACAGTGGCTCTTTATAGCTTGATTCTAATGCCCTTTGATCTTCATAATCATTGTAAAGCTCTCTGGCCCCAAGATCTAACATCGCCACTCTAGCTACATCCTGCAACTGTTCACCTCTCCTGCCTCCTCATCCCTCTAAACTTCTCTTCACAACCTCATGTTTCCTTCTTGCTTTACCTTCCTGCTCAGCCTGGACCTTACAGTCACCTTCTTCTTGTAATGTGCTCCTAAACTCTTTCTTCCCTTCCTTCAACCACACCCACCTGGAAAATCTCCATACTCCATTGACGACTTGCCTCGCAACTGCCCAAGGGCTGCTGAATGATACTGGAAAGAATCACAACAGGGATCTGGTAGTTCCACTAAATAATCTCACCATCCAACTCTAGGGCAGACTTCACTTCTGTTCAGCAATATTTTTAAGCATCACAAATAAATTCCAAACCATATTTGCTATAACAATTGACTGTAAACCTCTTCCATATCTCAAAGCCCCCCAAACCCAGCCCTAGGGGTTTCAGAGCCCAGAGTTGAGTTCTCTCAACTCACTTCCATCTCACCCCTAGATCACTGTATCTTGATCCTCTTCCTCTGCCTTTCCCATGTTATAAGGAGAAGCATCCTTCTCCTTTCCCAAGCTACCTTCTCCACTTGTGCCTCATTTGAGACCTGCCTTTATCACCCGTTCCCTTGGAACTCCCATGACTCACCACCTTCACTTGTCATTTCACTCATAAATATTTTGCACCGTGTATGTGCCAGGCGATTAACATATAATCATGCTTAAGTCTCCACATGCTAACAAGAAAAACCTTGATTATCCCTGCTATGCCCTCAAGTCATTACCCTCCCCGCTCCTTTCCTGTGTTCCCAAACTTTGTTGATCTTCATCAATCCCTCTGATGCAGATGGCTCCGAAGTTTGCATCCTATTAGGTTGGTGCAAAAGTAATTGCGGATTTTGCCATTAAAAGTAATGGCAAAAACAGCAATTATTTTTGTAGCAGCCTAGTATCTTTTCTCCTTCTACCAAACTTTGTCCCTGAGACATCTCATCACCTATAACTACCTCCTCCATGCAGTTGATTCCCAGATCTGTATTATTCTACTGAAAGTCCATTCCCCAATTTTCTCGGCTAGAATAACAGAAACCCAATTAGAATTCATGCTACCAGTTTCCCACCACCACCACCACCGTCGTCCTGCCATTGTTAGCAAAACCATCTCTTGAGTGGAGCTCAAAGATTTGTAATTTCCCACTCCCCAGAAAGATAACTTCAGACTCAGCTTAGAAGTAAAGATCCTCCAGATATGGCCTCAACTACCCTCCAACCCATGTCCCCAGTGCATCCCGTTGATGCCCCCTTCAGTGGAGTTAAAATGGAGTGAGTGTTTTTCTTTTCACATACTCCTGGTGTTCTTCCACAAATACAATTTTCACCTCTAGAATATTTTCAATGATTCTCCATGCTACACACAGAGAAATCCAAACTCCCCATCAGGACCCCAGTCTTCCCAAACCCTCTTTGCACTTTTCTGCCTCCATGCTTTTCCTTGGGTCATCCTCTTCTCTAATATAACCTTGTGTATTATTCTAGGTTCTCCAGAGAAAGAGCAGAGAGATAGAGGTAGAGATATACACATAGAGAGAGACAGATTGATTTGTTGTAAGGGATGGCTCACCTGGTTATGGAAGCTAAGGAGTCCTGGAGTCTGCAGCCAGCAAGCTGGAGACCCAGGACAGCCAATGATATAGTTCCAACTCGAGTCCACATGTAAAGTCAGGAGAAGATTGATGTCCCAGCTCAAATATAATCAGGTAAAAAGAGCAAATTCTCTGTGATTCTACCTTTTTGTTTTGTTCAGGCCTTCAATGGATTGGATGAGGCTCACCCACATTGGGGAGGACAATCTGCTTTATTCAGTCTACCAATTAAATGTTATCCTCATCCAGAATACCTCAGAGACACACCCAGAATAATGTGTAGCCAAATATCTGGGCACCCCACAACCCAGTCAAATTGATACATAACACTAACCATCATGTCTTGCTTCTACTCTCTCGCCATTTCTGCATGGCCAAATCTTTCCCTTATTTCAAGGCTTAGTTCAAATGTTACCTCTTAACTAAGCCTTCCCTGCTAACCCCAAATATTAATAGAATTGGTTTCTCCCTTCTCTGATGTCTCAAAATATATTGTGTTTCTCTTTTATTGTATTTATTACAAACTCCCTTACAAATCAAGACAGTGATTCCCAGACAAATTATCACAAGAGTATAAAAGAAGTCTTCTTTGAGTGTGAAATATCTCATGGAATATAGCACATGGCCTCTTCATGAAGAAACTACTGGGAGAGAAGAAGACAAGCTGGAAGAGGCCAGGGAAAGGGGGTTAGTACAAAGCACAATGGGGCTGGGCTCATACAGTGGCTCACACCTGTAATCCCAGCACTTTGGGAGCCCAAGGCCGGTGGATCACGAGATCAGCAGATCGAGACCATCCTGGCTAACACGGTGAAACCCCGTCTCTACTAAAAATACAAAAAAGTTAGCCAGGCATGGAGGTGGGCGCCTGTAGTCCCAGCTACTCGGGAGGCTGAGGAAGGAGAATGGTGTGAACCCGGGAGGCAGAGCTTGCAGTGAGCCGAGATTGCACCACAGCACTCAAGCCTGGGTGACAGAGCAAGACTCCATCTCAAAAAATAAAATAAAATAAAATAAAGCACAATGAAATGTCAGTGGATGGGTGCCTATAATTTCTAAGGGAAATAGAGTATAATCCAAGAATTTTATAGCCAGCTAAATTATTGCCCAATCAAAATAGGCAAAAGACACATGCTGAAGAACTTAAAGAATACAGTATTTCTGAGCTCTTTAAAAAAAAAAGTCTTCATAATAAAATTTAGTCAGCCAAGAAATTAAAAAATAAGCAACTTGTGAATTGAATGACCATGACAAAAGGCTAGTGATAGGACTATGATTGCAGAACAGAAAGAGAAGGTGGTCAACCTTAACAACATAAAACAACCTAGAAATAACTAGTTTCCAGAGGTAAAGAGAGGGACTGTAGGAAGTAGAATTGCTAATGCCCTTTATTAAGTCAATTAATCAGGTCTAAAATTGAAACGTGATTTTAAATATATAACTTCTTGTTTATTTTCCTCCCTAACTACCTGAGGATCAACCACCAACATGAATGACACAGTGACTACCTGGACCAGGAAGTTCATGACCAATCGACCGTTCCAGAGGAAACAAATGGTCACCAATGTCCTTCACCCCGGAAAGGCAACAAAATGTACAAGACCACAATGGATGTCATCTTCATATTAATAGTTGGACTCAGAACCCATTTTGGTGGTGGTTAAACAATCGTCACCCACATTGGAGCGCAGTGGTACGATCTCAGCTCACCAAATCTCTGCCTCCCAGGCTTAAGCAATTCTCCTGCCTCAGCCTCCCCCGCAGCTAGGATTACAGGCACGCACCACTACTGCCTGGCTAATTTTTATGTTTTTAGTAGAGATGGGGTTTCACCTTGTTGGCCAGGCTGGTCTTGAACTCCTGACCTCAAATGATCCACCCGCCTTGGCCTCCCAAAGTGCTAAGATTACAGGCATGGGTCACTGTGCCCAGCCTTTTCTGTATTAAATTTTTTAAAACACAACATTTAAAATAATCAAGTCATTCTTTTTGAATCTACTTTGTATTATAGGTATCCAAATACTCACCTATTCTCTCTCACATGATGACAAACTGGTTGAAATGTCATTTCATTTTGTGGCTCCAGCCCCAGGGATTCTGAGTCTGATTCTAAAGGGCCTGCATGCAGAGCAAGCAAGCCGCCTGGATGATTCTCTTACAGGTGTTTTAAGGGCATCAGTTTGAGACACCCTGATGCAAAAGAACGAACCCTCAAGGAAGTTGGCTGTACATGTATTTTCCTTCCTAGCACAGGAAAAGACAGAAAGATTATCCAATCAGTACCACTCCTAGCACCTGATTATATATGTATGAGGAATTCAGAAATGGTTTGATCAAGGTTGAAGACCTAAAAAGTAGCTTTTCTCTCGGACACCAAGTCCCCATCTCATGCGTGGTTGAGTTAGTAGAATCTGAGGATGATGCTTCTTCCTCCAGGATTGGTATCCTATGGTTTTTGTTGTTCAGTAAATGAAGTACCTCCATCCCCCAACATCCCCAAGCTCAATTCCAGTTTCCTCACATACACTTTTTTTTTTATTTTTTTTTGAGACAGAGTCTCGCTCTGTCACCCAGGCTGGAATACTGTGCAGTGGTGCAACCTCAGCTCACTGCAACCTCCACCTCCCAGGTTCAAGTGATTCTCCTGCCTCGGGCTCCTGAGTAGCTGGCATTACAGGCATGCACCATCACGCCTGGCTAATTTTTGTATTTTTAGTAGAGATGAGGTTTCATCATGTCGTCCAGGCTTGTCTCAAACTCTTGGCCTCAAGTGATCCACCTACCTCAGCCTCCCAAGTGCTAAGATTACAGGTGTGAGCCACCGTGCCCAGCCTCCTCACTTACACTTTTACAGAAGATCTGATCATACCCACTCCGCAGAAGTCAGAATGGCCCCCACATGGTGTTAAACGGGAGTGAAAACTTGAGTTCAATCAACTGAGGGTGACACAGAAACATTTCCCCCAAAATGCTTTTGGCAGCTCTGCTGATCCATAACCTGGCTCCATTTCAGGGCAAGACCTCCACTTAAGCTGCACTGGCTTCCACTAGAGTAAATCACATTAACTCATGGCAAACACAACTGAAGGGCAAAAAGATTCTTTTTAAAAGGATTTTAGTCTCTCACTTACCAACACACCCTGGCCTCCCTAGAGCCGGACTCCATTCAGCACCTGTTCCACTGAGCACCCACTGAAAGCTCAGCTCATGAGCTGAGATGACCCAGACATCAAGGAGTTTACAATCCAGGGGAAGAACAGACCTGAATACAAGTGATGACAATACAAGACGGAGTCAAAGAGCCCAACTTGAAGTATCAGCAGAATAGCACCAAAGACTAGTTCCCAACCCAGCTCCCAGCGCCAGAGCCAGAGCCAGGCTGGCTGCATGAGATCAGCTGGGAGCTTTTGCAAACCTAGGTCCTAGCTAAGCCCCTAATCATCAGACTGGCAGTCACTGGGAGTGAGCTCCAGGAACTCTTTTATTTAATAAGCACCCACACACACATGATTCTGATGTTCCTAAGGGTTGTAGAAACATGGAACTATAGAAAACACTTAAAAAAAAAAGGCACTAAAAGAAACCTATAAATATTCACTACAATCCCAGGCATCATGAGGACACTCCACGTGCACTATTTACAATACTTAGAATATCCTGCAAGGGAAGCATTCATTCATGACGATGGGCTTTATTGGGATCAGAGCCAGCCCTGGGAATATTTGAACCCGCGCTGAAAGTCACCCCTTCCTCCCCACAGGAGGGGGCTAACATTAAGGAGCAGGGACCAGATGGGAAATGGAGTGTCCTTTTATTATGAGACCACAGTGAGAGGCTTTTTTTTTTTTTCCAGAGTCTTGTTCTTGCCACCCAGGCTGGCGTCCAGTGGTGCAATCTCAGCTCACTGCAACTTCTGCCTCCCGGGTTCAAGTGATTCTCCTGCCTCAGCCTCCCGAATAGCTGGGACTATAGGCACCCGCCACCACACCTGACTAATTTTCGTATTTTTAATAGAGACAGGGTTTCACCATGTTGGTCAGGATGGTCTTGATCTCTTGACCTCATGATCCGCCTACCTTGGCCTCCCAAAGTGCTGGGATTACAGATGTGAGCCACCACGCCTAGCCTCAGACTTTCAAGTAAAGCCACAATGGACCACAGAGCTTAGACATCAGGGCTAACATGGAATCTCTGTCATTAAATCTTGAGATCTTACTATCTTTGGTCAAAGAAAAAAATAATCACAAATGACATTTTGAGGACAAGACATCTGAATGTAAACTTGATCTTAGAGGATATTAAGGAATTACTGGTAATTTGATTAGGTATGACAATGATCATATAAAAAGTGCCCTCATGTTTTTAGAGGGAAAGTAAATTACGTAGGGATGAATATCAGGATGCAATTACATAACTACTGTCAACTATTTTGTAAATACTTCAGAAAAACAAATGAAGTAAATATTGCAAATGTTAATAGTTTTTAAATCTATGTGATGGGTATATGATAGCTCATTAAACTGGTGTCTCTACTTTTATGTTTATTGAAAAGTTTTTGTAATAATAATAAAAAAAAAAACCTTGGCCAGGCACAGCAGCTCATGCCTGTAATCTCAGCACTTTGGGAGGCCGAGGTGGATGGAGGACTGCTTGAGCCCAGCAGTTTGAGACCAGCCTAGGCAACATGGTGAAACCTCATCTCTACAAAAAATAGACAAATTAGTCAGGCATGGTGGTGTGCATCTGCAGTCCCAGCTACTCAGGAGGCTGAGGTGGGAGGATCACCTGAGCCCAGAAGGTCAAGGCTGCAGTGAGCCAAGGTCACGCCACTGCACTTCAGCCTGGGCGACAGACCCTGTCTCAAACAAACAAGCAAACAAAAACCCTCTTGATCCCATTTCCCAAAAAACGATTTTTTTGAGATCTTATCATCTCCTGGCTTGGTGCAGAGTACAGGAAATCGAGACAAAGTACAACACACAAGGAATAAGGAGGGAGGGAAGCGTGGGGGAGGCTGACATCGTGGACTCTCCCAGCTCAGTCGACCCATGCGCCTTCCTTCATGGAAGAAAGGAATGGAAGATGAATCATGCCTTCAGCACAGAGAGACCTTCCTCACTAGTAAATGCGCCTCCAGAAATGTCCAAGAACTCAGTGCCAGAGCCAGGCTGGCTGCATGAGAATCACCTGCGAGCTTTTGCAAACATAGGCCCCTACTGGCTCCAAATGTATTCGTCTCTTGGAGAGGAGGAGAAAGGCAGAACAAGGAAAAGGATGGGAAGAAACCAGCCTTGTGCACAGGAGGATGCTGGGATTCCTCCTGCAAGTTTAGCGCAATGCAGCCTATTTTACAAGGTCACAGAAGCTCAGAGAGGTAAACCTGCCCAGGTTCTCATAGCTTGTAAGTGACAAAACAAAACCCGCCCAAATCTCTGTCTCTAGAGATATTTCCACTTGCTTTAACTCTGGAGCTGTCTTAGTTGTAAAGACAGATTCCACTCCTCACTCACTTTTGTTTGCAGATATTGCCTAAGGTCCCTTGTGAATATTTAGGTCAGGGCTTTTTTTTTTTTTGAGTTTTTTTTTGTTTGTTTGTTTGTTTTTAAAAAAGCAATCTTGTAGAAAGAACCCAAAGTGGCTCCCCATTTTAAGACTCTGCAAACAGGGAGACCAGAGTCTGGAGTCCCGGTCTGATTTCCACACTTTCCTTAGATTTCCCTGTGTGTAAAATCCAACAATAATCTTTGACAAATTGCCTCCCCCAGGGGAGAGATGGAGGAAGTGTTAACTTTGTTTTTTTTTTTCTTTTTTCAGACAGAGCCTCACTCTGTTGCCCAGGATGGAGTGCAGTGGTGCAATTTTGGCTCACTGCAACCTCTGCCTCCTGAGCTCAAATGATTCTTGTGCCTCAGCCTCCCGAATAGCTGGGACTACAGACAGATGCCACCACACCTGGCTAATTTTTGTATTTTTAGTAGAGATGGGGTTTCGCATATTGGCCAGGCTAGTATTGAACTCCTGGCCTCAAATGATCCACCCCGCTCAGCCTCTCAAAGTGCTAGAACTACTATAGTCATGAGCCACCATGCCCAGCCACTTTGCTATTTTTTTAATAGACAGCTTCGAGGTCCAGTATGATTTCACAGATTAGGAAACATCACAGGCAAAGAAGAACACTTTGCATTCAAATAGTAGAATGTTTTTGTTTTCAAGGAGCTCTCACCTGCCATCTAATCTTGTCTTCCTAGCAGTCCTGGGAGAGAAGCAGATGTGGTTTCCAATCCCACTTTCCAAAAGAGGAGACTGAGGCAGAGGCTTTGCAGATACACAGAGGACATGTGAGGACAGGTGAAGGTCATGATCATTGTCAGCGCCCTCCCCCAACTTGACATTCCCAGACCTAGTGGACTTCCAAACAGAGGAGACAGAAGAACTGATCAATCAATTCTGCCATGGGTGCCAGGACCCAATTTTTCCCTGGCTAACTCGGTCACATCCTGTCTGGGATCTCCAACTACTACCCATCCCACAAGTCTCAGCTAAAACAGGAATTCAACGGGGAACATTTTTCTGAGGCTCCAGGATTGGGCCAGGCCCTCTCCATGGCTGTCTGACCTTCCCCTAATGCAGAACTTAGCGTCTGTATGTCACTATTGGTTCAAACATGTGCCTTTCATATGCTCTCCACGTTATCTGCAGCATCTGCCAAGAATAATAATGAATGGTAAAACCTAATCTCTATTGAGTGCCGATGATGCACTTTTAATGTGACATCTTATTTAATCCTCACTATATCTGCAAGAGTAGAAGCTATTAATAGCCAATTTTCAGATAAGAAAGTCAAAGCACAGTTTCTATAACTTACCCAAGCAGCTAGCTAGGAGGCAGCTCAGTTTGAGCCCAGGGAATCTTATTCCAGAGATCATGTTCTCAATTACTAGAGCAGGTACCTCCCCAGAATCTAGCAGGTGGTTAACGAGTCTTTGTGGAATAAATGAACAGAAGGACAACAGATGGATGGATACATAGGTGGATGGGTGGATAATGGGTGGGCGGGCAGGTGGATGAATGAATGGATGGTTGAGTCAGTGAAGGGATGGCTGAGTGGGTGGAGAAATGGATGAGTGGGTGAGGGGTTGGAGGGATAAATGGATGGATGGGTGGGTGGATAGATGGTTAGATGAGTAAACGGGTGGATAGATGCATGGGTGAGTGGATGGATAGAGGGTGGTGGTGGATGGGTAGGTGGATGATAGCTGGGTGTATAAGAGACTGGGTTGGATGGATAGATTGGTGGGTGGGTAGATAGATGGGTGGGTGGTTGGATGTATGCATGTGTGGATGGATGGATGGATGGACGGATGGAAGGAAGGAAGGGTGGATGGATGGATGGACAGATGAACAGATAGACTTGGGCATTTATTCGGGGTCCTCCAAAGAATTGAGTTATTTCCCTAGGGTGTCTCATCACCTGCAGGTAGGTGGGCAAGGGGGCTTGCCTCTGTAATACTCATGATTATGGGTAGTGCTCAGCCTTAGTCACCACTCTCAGAACACTTTATTGACTAGGAAAGTCAAAACTGGCATTGATAACTAACGGAAATTGCAGCTAAAACTAACAGAAGATGTTGAGCTGATGACAGCTGGGCAACCAATAATCAATAACTTGGCTGTGTCATGTTACTGCCATGCTGGGCAGGTAGAACCAGGTGTTCCTTAATCCCTCCTTCACATTAAGGATGCTTATCAAGACTTCCCCAACCATGGAGACAGGGATATTATCAAATACTTGCAGTTCACCCCAAAAGGCTCACCCTCTTCGTTCCACCTGCACATGACCTTCAGCTCAAAGACATTTCCAGTCCTCCAGGTCAGCCCTTCTTCCAGCCTTTGAATTAACACTGATGACTGCCTGCCCATTAAGTGTCTTCACCATTCATCACATAGCCTTTTCCAAGGCTTTCCTTCAATCCAGCCCTCACTAAACGCTGGAACTGTTGTTGACAAAATCCAGAACAAGCTGGGTGGGGGATGCAGTTGGGAAGCAGGCTGTAGTAATGGGGAAAAATTCTAAGCAATCTCGAACACAGAAAATAAACTGAACAGGTAAGAGAGAGGCAGTCAAGAGAAGAAGTGTGAATTTTGCATAACTGAAGCTGAAGAAGATCGGGGGGCATGGCAGACCACAAGATAAATATGATATAGACTCCTTTTTAAAAAAGTATAAACATCCACCCTTTCCTACTGACAACTGTGCTTCAAATATTGCTAAGGTCTTTACTAAAGGTGAGTCAGAAAAACTGGGTATTTTATGCAATACAGTAAGAAGGCCCATAGGCAAGTATGTTCCTGACACCACCTTCTAGGATAAGCCCTGAGATTCTGGTTACTCCTGTCCTAAACTTGTCTCTCACTCCTGCTGTTGGAGAGCTACCATGAGAGAAGAACCATAGTGAAGTGGTTAAGAGTGTGCACCCAGCGACTGGCCAGATGACCACAAACCATCACTATCTAATACTGAGCAAGTTACATAATGTTTCCGAGCCTCAACTTTCTCATCTGTAAAATGGGTATGTTGTCATTCATTAATCAAATTCTAGGTGAGCATATACTAAACACCAGAGACACAAATGAGAATCAGAACAGGCACGTCCCTGGCCCTTATGGTGACCACAGTCTTGAAGGGGAAGGATGACACGCAGAGAAATAGGAAGCCGTAGCTGAGCTAGTTTCTACCACAGAGAGGCAGCTGGTGTCATGAAAGCAGATAACAGGGGGTTACTGGGACTGAGTCAGTGTGGCCAGAAGTCCCTGAGGATGTAGTGACTCCAGTGTCAGATGAGACCGTGACCAGGTGAAGAAGCAGGGAGAGGGAAAATTTTTCAGGCAGAAAGAGCAGGATGTGCAAAGACCCTATGGCAGAAAGAAAACAAAGGAAGTGCAAGAGCCTGAAAGAGGCCAGAGAGAGCAAGTGAAAATATGGATAATCACAGCACCGACCTCATACAGGACTTGCAAGAAATCGAGACCCTGTCTGTAACAGATTCAGCAATGACTAAATAGAAACTATCTCCTAAAAGCACACGATGAGGTTCCTTGGTGGTATTTCCCACATGGGGCTGCCATGCATTCAGAGGCCAAGTTCAATCTGTCTGTAGACAACCTCCAAGCCAGCTGGACACACATACACCCTCAGGCTCAGGATACCCAGGACAGAGTCCTGGATGCTTGAAGTCATGATAAGTATGCAGAATGACACAGAATTCCAGCCAGGCATGGTGGCTCATGCCTGTAATCCCAGCACTTTGGGAGGCCGAGGTGGATCACCTGAGGTCAGGAGTTCAAGACCAACCTGACCAACATGGTGAAACTCCCTCTCTACTAAAAATACAAAAAAAAATTTAGCTGGGTGTGGTTGTGGGTGCCTGTAGTCCCAGCTACTCAGGAGGCTGAGGCAGGAGAATCGTTTGAACCAAGGAGGCAGAGACTGCAGTGAACTGAGATTGCACCATTGCACTCCAGCCTGCGCAACAAAAGTGAAACTCCGTCTCAAAAAAGAAAAAAAAATGACACCGAATTTGCTAAAGGGGGAGAAAGGGCTTTCTTCCAAAGCTGGGCCTGGTTTCTACAGAGAGTCTTTCATATGAAAATTAAGCAGCTCTTTGCAAGCACCTCAGAGGAGAACCCCTCACCCTGATGAATCAGGCACAGGGGCGGATCCAAGACAACTGGCTGCGTGCATGTGAACAAGCCTATGGTGGAAATGCAGTGCTTTATTGTTTGGGGTGGTTTAATCACCAGGAGGGAGAAGCTTCTAAAGCAGCATTCAGAGGTGGCTGTTGCCTGGGTTTTCTGGAAGGGGGAGGTGGTGAGGATGAGGGCTTCCCTTTCATCTGCAGGCCCCTTGCAGAAGGAGCTGGGGAAAGCTTTGCAACCATCTGCACACTTTGCCATCTTGTCTGGCTGGGATGCCGAGCTCCAGATGGGGGCAGATGGGATAGCTCTTGCCACCGTATTTGGAGAGAGATGTCAGGGAAGTCAGCCCCCGTGGAGAAGACAGGAGCAGGCAAGTGCTGGACAGTGCTGCCCAGGTCCCTGGGGCTGAAGTGTCCAACCCCACAGCCTCTAGGTGCCACTAAAGCAGCCCAAGAGGATCTTCTCTGTCCATCTCCATCCTGGCACCTACAGACACTTGGAGAGAGTCCTTCACGTGGGAACTCACAAATGCACACTGATAACCCCCACACGGAACTCTCATACATAGCAAGTGAAAAGACAGGATGCCAGTTTAACTTGAATTTCAGATAAACAACAAATCATTTTTTAGAGTAAGCAGGTCCCAAATATTGCATGGGATATATTTGCACCAAAAAAAAAAAAAAAAAAAAAAAAAGGTTAATGAGAAATTCAGGTTTAATTGGACCTCCTGTATTTTACCTGGCAAGCCTAACCCTGCATAAACACAACCTCGACCTTGAAACTCACAGAGAAGACACGGCCGTGCTCACACACGTGCACAAACCCATATGCCTTACAGAGTCAACGGCTGTGATGAGGGTCCAGACCCTTGCACACTTTTCTGTCCTCTGTCTGGGCTCAGAGTAAACAGGGGGTCACCTGGAATCCACGTCTAAGCTGGGCTTGGAGGTGTCCTAATGAAGCAGGATGCTGTCCTGCAATTCCCCAGCTCAGCTAGGACTGTAGCCAGGCCTAGCTTCCAGTCTCGGGTCTAGAACACACAGCACAGCCCCAGACCTTGGCAAGAAGGTTTCATCTCAAAGGCCACTGGTGCAGGAACTATTAGAAGCCCCACTTCTTTCCTCTGTTTCTGCTGCCATTGCCCCAGTCTCTGACCCTGACACTCAATCACTCTATTATCACAGCAGGTACTAGGGGTGGCTCTGGGCTCGGCACTAAAGACATTGACCCTGGTAAAGCCACAGTCTAGCAATGACAGTCAACCACCTATCAGCAACAGCCCTGCCCCACACGTGCTGACTGCGCACAAGGCCGGCGCTATGAACGTGCTCTCAACAGTGATCTCACTGAAACCTCATGGCAGCTCTAGGATGCAGACAGTAGCATCACATTATCCCCATTTTACTTTTGAGGAAACTGAGGCCTGAAGGCGGCAAATGCAGGCCTCGAGATTTGCAGTAACATTGCCAGGAATGTTTGAGAAAGCAAACTTCTCCAGAGTGAGGCAGTCTGCCAGAGCTCAGAAGCCAGTGTCCCTGTTAGCAGGGGCTGGGGGCACTGTGGGGTGGAGGCAGACAAGCAGGTAGGGGCTGGACCCCCCAGGACACCAGGGTGCAGACTGGTGTGAGTAAAAGAAAGAGGGGCTGTCATGCCATCATCTGCAGAAGATGATGTCTACAGAGGACAGTACCATGTGAGCCCTTGGGAAGCTGGATGACCGGATGGAGTTTTGCACAGGATGCAAATTGAGCACAGATCCCCCTCTGACCTAGACAGCCCACCTCCAGGAACATCTCACAGAAATGCAGGCACAGAGCACCAAGTGATGTGTGTAAGGAAATTCATCAGAACACCGTCTGTGATTGGGAAAAGGCGGAAACCCTCCAAAGACGTATCGGTGCAGGGCTGGTTAAACGAAGCGTGGTACATCCACACGTCAGAATAACTGCAGGGAGAAGAAGGTGGTACCCAGGTTCCAATGTGAGACAATGTCAAAGACATGCTGCCTGAAAAACAGGCTTTCCAAAGAATAAATATAGCATTATTGCATTTTACTTTTTTAAAAAGATTACAATAAACACTTATGTGCAAATACATGTGCTTGTGTGCACAGAGGAAAAAGCTGTGGACAGAAACAGAAAACCAAACACGGTGTGTTCTCACTCATAAGTGGGAGTTGAACAATGAGAACACATGGACACAGGGAGGGGAATATCACACACCGGGGCCCATCGGGGGTGGGGGACAAGGCGAGGGGGAGCGTTAGGTCAAATACCTAATGCATGCGGGGCTTAAAACCTAGATGACGGGTTGATAGGTGCAGCAAACCACCATGGCACATGTATATCTATGTAACAAACCTGCACATTCTGCACATGTATCTCAGAACGTAGAATAAAAAATAAAAAGAAATCAAAGAAAAAGGTGGGGAGAGGTATACCCCAACCCTTCCCAGTGTTACCTCTGAGATGCAAGATCAAGAAAAGCAAATCAAGAGGTAGTTTTGCTTTCTGTTTTCTATATATATATATTTTTTTTTTTTTTTTTTTTTTTTTTTTTTTTTTGGAGACATAGTCTCGCTCTATTGCCCAGTCTGGAGTCCAGGGACACAATCTCGGCTCACTGCAACCTCCTCCTCACCGCAACCTCCTCCTCACTACAACCTCCTCCTCAGTGCAACCTCCTTCTCACTGCGACCTCCTCACTGCGACCTCCTCCTCACTGCAACCTCCTCCTCACTGCAACCTCCTACTCATTGCAACCTGCTCCTCACTACAACCTCCTCCTCACTGCAACCTCCTCCTTACTGTGACCTCCTCCTCACTGCAACCTCCTCCTTACTGCGACCTCCTCCTCACTGCAACCTCCTCCTCACTGCAACCTGCTCCTCACTACAACCTCCTCCTCACTGCAACCTCCTCCTCATTGCAACCTGCTCCTCACTGCAACCTGCTCCTTCTGAGTTCAAGGGATTCTCTTGCTTCAGCCTCCCAAATAACTAGGATTACAGGCATGCACCACCAAGCCCGACTAACTTTTGTATTTTTTGTAGAGACAGGGTTTCACTATTTTGGCCACCTGGTCTCAAACTCCTGGCCTGCCCTCTTTAGCCTCCAAAAGTCCTGGGATTACAGGTGTGAGCCACCACGCCTGGCCTGCATTGCTTGAATTCTCAGACCACATGGACCCTCTCATCTGGCCCAATTGCAAGAGTCCAAGGCAGGAAAGGCAGAAGGCAGGGGCTTACCCCTCCATCAGGACAACATAGAACGGAGTCAAAAAAGGAAAACATGAATGGATCAGTCAAGAGGGCCGTGCACATGCCCTCCCAGGCACCTACACCTTGCAACTTAAGCCGACAGCCTTTCAAGCCACAGAGTCTTCCTCCCCAGAGACTAGCAAGGACACAAGCCCTGGCCAGGCCCTTCCAGGAAGATGTTCTGAGGGACAAGGTGGGGGGCAGAGTCAGGGGTGGCAGGAGGAAAGGGGGACACGAAGCCAAGGAAACCAGGGCACCACATGCTTCCTGAAGGCAACTAGAACATGGCACCACACAGAGCCCCTGTGTACCTGTTTCTACAACAGCCTGAACACAAGGAAAAGTAAAACAAGGAAAATACACAAAGCCCAGCCTCACCTGGAGCAGGTTAAATAAAGGTGTGTGAATTTTCCTCATGTCCTTTGGAATTGGAAATCCAAGCTTCCTCTTCTGTGCCTTTAAGGTCCTGGCCGCTGCCCCACAGCTCCCTTCTCTTCCCTCCTCCTCCTGTCCTATTTTTTTTTTTTTTTTTTTTTTGAGATGGAATCTTGCTCTGTTGCCCAGGCTGGAGTACAGTGGCACAATCTCAGCTCACTACAACCTCCACCTTCCGGGTTCAAGCAATTCTCGTGGCTCAGCTTCCCGAGTAGCTGGGATTATAGGTGTCACCATGTCCGGCTAATTATTGTATTTTTAGTAGAGACAGGTTTTCACCATATTGGCCAGTCTGGTCTCAAACTCCTGGCCTCAGGTGATCCGCCCACCTCGGCCTCCCAAAGTGCTGGGATTACAGATGTGAGCCACCATGCCCGACCCTCTTGTCCTAACTCTGCCATCTCTTTGCAGTCTCCCCTGAGCAGCTTTTCCTGGGCCCGCACTGCCCCCCTCCAGAGCTGCACTCTCAAACCACCCCCCAATGCCCCCTGGCCCTGGCTCCTGCCCCGGGGCTCTGATCCTCAGCTGGTGAGGTCTAGAGGGTCAGAGGGAGCCAGACTCCTTAGAGAAGCTAAGGCGGGAGACCTGTGCTGGGCTGTGGTTAAACTGCCCCCTTCCAGCTGGGGCCGAATAGAAAGTGAAAGACTGCCTCCAGAATACAGGGCCCTCAGAGGCCCTGGGGATCTGTGCTGGCAGCCAGGAGGACTGTCACCTCAGTGCAGTTGCCTGCAAGGAGGGCTGTGCAGGAAGCTGCATGTTGCTCAGAGAACAAAAAAAGGAAATTAAATGCACCATCTCCTTATTAGCATGAGCTTTTGAGGCAGACACTTAAATATGCATGCCTAGACATTGTAAAACTTGGGGGAAATGTTAATTTCAATAACGCCACTTCTTGTGCTTGCAGAAACCATTCTTTTATCTCCCTTCCTAGTCATTTGCGGGCTCCATCCCTCAGAGTGGCAGCGCCAAGACAGCCGGCCTCACTGGGTTTTGTAAGCTGTGCAAGGTGAGATCCCAAGCCCTGGCCTGGAGACCCATCTTAGGAAAATGTTAGAACAGGGCAACAAGTTGCCATTTCCTCCCTCCTTTCTCTTCCCCATACAAAAATCAGAAAGCACCCTTGCCCAGTGCCCAGCCACAGTGAGGAAGAAACCCCACACAAAATCCTGGGTTGTGCCCCTGATACCAAAGACCTGCAAAATTGGGCCTCACCTGCTGCAACCTCAGCCCAGACTTGTGTACATTTCAAGGGTGGCTGGACTCATGGCGGCCTGGGACGTCAGAGTGGTACGAAGTCCTCTTAACCTAAGACTGTCAGGGTACAAGGATCAGCATTTTTTTCCTTTCTCTCCAGGGCCAGATGGTAAATAGTTGAGCTTTGCAGGCCATAGGTCTCTGTCCCAAATATTCAACTCTCCATTGTAGCAGGAAAGCAGCCACAGACAATAGGTACTGAAATGGGTGTGGCTGTGTTCCAATAAAACTTTATTTGTGTGAACAGGCAGGGGGCTGGTTCTGGCCTGTGGGCTATAGCCTGCCTCCTCTGCTACAGGCTGATCTCCAAGGACCCATCCATCTTGTAGACCAGCAGCTGGCACACAGGAGCTGCTCAGATACTTGAAGGAGGAATGGAGAAGGCAAACAGCCCCCAGTGTGCAGATGTGAGGGTCTCCCAGCGGCACCATCCTTCGCCATCTCATGCCGAGGGACAAAGCCAGAGCAGGGCTCTCCACCAAGGCTGGGTTCTCCTCCAAGGAAATGTGATAACAGGACAGAAAGCATCGTGGAAGGATAGGGGCTTTGGAGTCCCACAAACCACAGTTTGCAGGACCAGGAGCATCCTGCACTTCCTTGCACACATCCTGGGTGGGTACTGGAGCATCTAGACTTAGAGTGAATCTTCTCCCCATCCTCCCCCAACTGGCCTCCATTAAACTTCCAGCAACAATGTGGTGTATGTACACAATGGAATACTATTCAGCCTTCAAAAAGAAGGAAATCCTGCCATTTGAGACAACATGGATGAGCCTGGAGGATATTATGTTAAGTGAAATAAGCCAGGCACAGAACGACAAATACCACATGATCTCACTTACATGTGGAATCTAAAAAAGTTGAACTCGGCCAGGCATGGTGGCTCACGCCTGTAATCACAGCACTTTGGGAGGCTGAGACCAGCAGATTGCTTGAGCCCAGGAGTTCGAGACCAGCCTGCATAACATAGCAATACCCCATCTCTACAAAAAATACAAAAATTAGTGGAGCATGGTAGTGTATGCCTGTACTCCCAGATACTCAGGAGGCTGAGGTGGAAGGATTGATTGAACTTGGGACGTCAAGGCTGCAGTGAGCCATGATCACAACCCTGCACTACAGCCTGGGCAATAGAAGGAGATTTTCTCAAAAAAAAGAAAAAAAAAAGAGAAGAAAAAAGTTGAATTCACAGAAGCAGAGTAGAATGATGGTTGCCAGGGTGGGGAAGTGGGCAGATGCCAAAGGACACAGAATGTCATTTTTAGAGAAGAAGAATAAGTTCAGGAGATCCATGGGACAACAAGGTACCTATAGTTAATAACAACATATCATACACTTGGAAATCACTAAGAGAGTAGATTGTTTAAGTGTTCTCACCCCAAAAAGTAAGTCTGGGAGGTGATATGTTATTTAGCTTGATTTAGCCATTTCATAATGTATACATACCTCAATCACATCATGTTGTATACCCTCTTGTACATAATTTTTGCCAATTCAATAAATTCAACAACTCCAAAAAACAAGACATTCTCTTTACAAAAATAATTATTAAAAATAAAATTCAGAATTCTATTTTATTTATTTATTTATTTTTGAAACAGAGTCTCGCTCTGTCACCCAGGCTGGCTGAAGTACAGTGGTTCAATCTCGGCTGACTGCAACCTCTGTCTCCCAGGTGCAAACGATTCTCCTGCCTCAGCCTCCCAAGTAGCTGGGATTGCAGGTGTGTGCCATCACACCTGGCTAATTTCTGTATTTTTGGTAGAGACAGTTTTGCCATGTTGACCAGGCTGGTCTCGAACTCCTGACCTTAGGTGATCCGCCAGCCTCAGCCTCCCAAAGTGCTGGGATTACAGGTGTGAACCACTGCACCTGGACAGAATATAAAAGATTGTTTAATTCAACTAAAACATTAAAACACAGATTATTTCTATAAGTGGTAATTGTTCTAACATGTTTTGGTCAAAATAGTCTCCTTACTTATCCACAATTAAATGGTTAATTGATATTTGATTAGATTTTTATAAAGTTTTCAAATCATGATTGACTTTTCCAATGTACAGTAAAATGTGTTTGAAAATATTGCATAAAAATTAATATTTAAAAATGGTCAGGCATGGTGGCTTATGCCTGTAATCCCAGCACTTTGGGAGGCCAAGGTGGGCCGATCACTTGAGGTCAGGAGTTTGAGACCAGCCTGGCCAAACCTCATCTCTACTAAAAATACAAAAGTTAGTCAGGCATGGTGGTACGCACCTGCATTCCCAGCTACTTGGGAAGCTGAGGCAGGAGAATCGCTTGAACCTGGGAGGTGGGCTCCCCAGGCTTAAAGCAAAACCTCCATCTTGTCTGTCTCCACTCTCATCCCAGGCAATCGCGGTCATTTCCACAGCCTCAACCACTGTCTACCTGGGATGCCTCCCATGCCCGGGTCGCCAGCCCAAACCTGCCTTCCTAGCCCCAGACCCATCTGTCCTGGCACACATTGCCCCCTGGGTCCCAACAACCTCAGCCAATGAGACCAATGCCAACTTCCTGTCCTTGCCTGACACTGTCAGCCCTGAGATCAGACTTGACCATTCACCTCCAGTACCTGATAGGTCTGTCAGTCCTTTGGAACATATCCCACGAACATTCCCCAAACCAGGCACCGGACTCCACACATCAACACTGTCACGTGAGTCACCAGCATCCCTGGCAGGGACCCCTGTCCCAGCCTCCAACTCATCTCCTTCCTGTCCCTTGAGTTCTGTGTCACATTCCAGAGGCCACAAGAAGAAAAATGACCACCTTAATGAAATTAAAAGAATTGAGAAGACATTTCTCTATGGTCCAAAATCTTTCCAACTAAGAAACACATATCAAGATCCAGCCTGCTGGCCCTGTGGTTAAATGTTCCTGAAATAATTAAAGCCCAGGGCAACACAGCCCCCACTCCACAAGAACTCCCAGCACAGTAAGACTTGCTTCTCTACAGGGGCTTGAAATGTCCAGTGTGTACCCTGCCCCTCTCTGTCATAGCTAAAAGGAATGTGCTCCGTGTCTTCTTCCTGCTCAAAGGACCGTCCACCAACCTGCGCAGGCAGCACTTTCGGCAAGGGGAGGATGGGAGAACATCCTACCATTTCCCACTTACGCACTGCATTCATCAGGAGCCTGCCTCACAAATTACAAGAGCGCTACGGCAGACCCACGATGTTCCAGCGGATGGCCATGTCTTCATGTCAACTTGAAAGATCATTGCCAGGGAAATATCTATATCTCGGCAGAGAGAGCTTCAGCCTGTGTAGTCCAGCTGTGCTCAAATGGAAATCAAAAAAACCAGATGTTGGTCAAAACACCCTGTCTCAGGGAGCTGGCTCTGCAGGTCCCCAGTGTGAGAGTGAACTGGGTGGGCCACCTGACCTGCCTACCCACATCCCGGCCTCCTGGAATCCTGAACCCTGAGAACCAGGGGGATGTGGTGGGGAGCAGGCAAGTCTTGTGCAGAAAGCCAAGATGCCACCCAAATCCACTCTGCAGTCTAGGTGAGCGATATTCTGGTCTGCACCACACCAGTGCACGAGGGGATGGAGGATGGAGTCTAGACAAGCCAAATGTAAAAAGATATTGTCCACGTATTTTGTGCTTTGTCTGTGTTACAATGCGATGACAAGCCCAGTGTGCTGGCTCACACCTGTGATCTCAGCAACTTGGGAGGCCGAGGCAGGCGGATCACCTGAGGTTAGAAGTTTGAGATCAGCCTGCCCAACATGGTGAAACCCCATCTCTACTAAAAATACAAAAATTAGCCAGGTGTGGTGGTGGGCACCTGTAATCCCAGCTACTCTGGAGGCTGAGGCAGGAGAATCACTTGAGCCCAGGACGTGCAGGTTGCAGTGAGCAGAGATCATGCCACTGTACTCCAGCCTGGGCAACAGAGTAAGACTCTGTCTTAAAAAAAAATTAAATAAATAAAGGCTATGCCCAGTATTTTCCATGTACTGTCTTATTATCTCAGTAAATCCCATATAACCTTCCTATGAAAGTGTATCTCATTTATCTCCATTTTATAGATGAGAAAACTGAGGCCCCTGGAGTACTATTAACTTTCCAAGACAGCATTGCTCATAAAGGGTACAGCAGGGACCCAAGGTCGACACTCTCACCCTCAAACATTTATACAAGTGTAGACCAATGGCTCTCAACTGGGGTGGTTTTGCTCACATACCACTCCCTTGCCCCACAGCATTGAAACCATCTGGAGACATCTGGGGTAGCCATAACTGGGAGGGTAGAATGGCACCTAGAGGATGGAGACCACAGATGCTGCTAACCGTCCTACAATACACAGGATGCCCCCCCACCACCACCACGAATGGTCTCACCCCAAATGTTGTGACGGTGCCAAAGCTGAGAAATCCAGGTTTCTCCTCAGCAAGAAGGAAAATACCTGCAACGTGGATGCACCTCTACAGGAGCCCCAGGCTGACAATAACCTTCCTGATCTGGTTTCAACCCTGGATGCTTTTACCTGGTGCATCCATCAGGGATTTCAGGGACTCCAGTGAGTTATCACCCTCGAATGCTCGGTTCTGCCTGACAACCCAGAAATCTCTGCCAAGGTGCCTGGTCTTGGGGAAGGCTCAGCAAGCGGTTGAGGTTGACAACCAAATACCTAGGAGAGACTTTTCTCTCTCTCCAGCAGGAGCTGTGGGTCAGACACACCCTGGGATCATTCACAAGCGGTCAATAAAGGCTTGGGGAGGGGCAGATTTTCTAGGACTTCTCAATGGGGTGGGTGTTTGTGGATACACAAGAAGCCTGTGAAACTTCTGATATTGGCAGGAAATCAATGCCCCCATCCTCCACCCCCACCCCCACCTCCCCACCATAAACACATGCCCTGTAGCAGGACTTGACACTCAGGGGCTCCTGGGGTCCCGATTTATCTGCTAAAACATCCTCTAGCCACCACCGAATAAAGCAACCCCTTGCGACCCAACCACAAGAGCACTGCCTGGAAGCAACTCCAAGGGACACCAAGTCACATTAAAACCTCAGCCATCCAGAACACCAGGCCTGGTGATGAGAAAGAACATTTTATCCTTAAAAGCATCTGAATGCCCATGCTGCTTCTTGCAGAGAAAAGTCCAAAATAATCTGTTATTAAAGAACGAGGATGGTTTTGACATTTTTACCAAGCTAGTGGTCTACGCAGACAAAATCTCATAAAAGGGCACTCTGTTCTTCTTGATCCACTCAGACATGGCCTGTGAGTGAAGAAACGGGCTCTCCTCCTCAAAGAAATCACTGCTGATCCTCACACCAGCCTGACACTGCTTCATGGGTTCTTCAAAGAGAGTATTCCCATAGGAACTAAAAGGGAAGAGGAATGTGTCTGGCGGGCATTGTGGGCAGCAGTGGGCTTTGGGCCAAATTTTAAGTTTGAAAATCAAGATTCCCTCTTTTCAAGGGGCCGCCGGACTGAGCAGATACAGGCACCGTGAAAAGAGGGTGCCATGTTCAGATTCAGGAAACAAGGATGGTTTCTGTTCAGTTCCTCCATCATCCTTCAGGTCATGCGATTCCCATTTCCCTCTGTGGACCAAACAATTCAGTGGGGTTTCTGCCTTTTAAACATTTCATTATCAACATATCATCCTTTTAGCCTCCAGAAAGCATTTTAACATGGAGATTCTGGCTTAAGACTTTTGTGGGTCTGTCTCTCTCTCTTTTCCTTGAAACGGTCTCACTTTGTCACCCAGGCTGGAGTGCAGTGGCATGATCACAGCTCACTGCAGCCTGACCTTCTAGGCTCTAGCAATCCTCCCACCTCAGCCTCCCAAGTACTTGAGACTGCAGGCACTCACCACCATAACTGCCTTTTTTTTTTTTTTTTTTTTTTTGGTAGATATGAGGCTTCACCCTGTTGCCCAGGCTGGTCTTAAACTCCTGGGCTCAAGTGATCCTCCCCTTTCGGCCTCTCAAAGTGCTGGGATTATTGGCTTCAGCCACCATGCCCAGCCAAGGACCTTGTCTCTTGTGACGTACTCCAGAACAAAACATCACTGCAAAAACACACCAAGGCATGAGTTTTAGTCCTAAGTCCCACTTATCCACCATACACTATGTGCCAGGCACAACGCTAAGTGCTTCTATGGACGAGCTTCCCTTAATCTCAGCAGCAACAACCCCAGGCAATGGAGCCTGTTGACAGATCCATTTGCCACTGAAGACAGTAAGGCTCAGAGAGGGTAAGTGGCTTGTGCCATGTCAGCCAGCTAAGGAGGGGCAGAACCAGGATGCAAACCCCAGCCGCCTGGCTCCAGAATCGCGTTCCAAAGGTCTCACTACACTTGGTCACTCCACCGCATTCTGGAATCCTGGTCTTTGGCAGAGTCCACGTAAAAGAGGGAGGTAGAGGGAGTGAGAGGGACTTCATGCAATAAAGTTTCCCGGCGTTACACTGCCACCGTAATTGTGTCCCCAACCAGGACCTCTCCCTTCTCATCCTTTCCGTGATCGGCCCTGGAAAACCTTCCAAAGAACTGTCCTCCTTCTCCCGGGATCTCAGAGAAAATTCACCTGAGTTCAGTGTCCAGGTGACCCAAGCTCTGAATGCGGTAACGTGGACGGGGAGAAGAGGATGTCACCATGAGCAAGCCTCCCAGACAGCATCCAGGAGCAACCCCAAGACTGGGCAGGGGGGCTCTGATGCCGCCCACGGCGAGGAGGGCTGCCCATGCTGCCTAAATGGGTTCAGAATGAAGACCGCCCTCTCTCCCATGTGGGGCTCATTAACCATGAATCCAATTATTAAAACAAGCTCAGCTGAGCAAATGGTCAAACATAAAAACATGTGGAAGGAACAAAGAGGTCAACCCCATTATCCATTAAAAACCATCAAGGTGGCGGCCCTCACTGAGGGGTACAGTTCTCCAGCGGGCCCTCATCTGCCCTCCAAAGCCACATGCCTCCGCAGTGGAAGGCCAGCAAAGCCACACAGGAAGAGTTGGGGTAGGAAAGCCGAAAGTGAACCCCAGGAGGCCAGCCTGGCTATGCAGCCCCATCCCACACACACTGGCCCGGTGATTCAGGGGCCAACGTTTGCAGGACACCGGGAGCTCACAGGGACAGCGCCCCGGGGATGCAAGGAACTTTGCCTCTCTGTCCCTCTCTGTAGGGATGGAAAGAGGAGAGCGATTTCTGGGGTGGAAGCCATCTGCCTCCTCTCAACTCTTGCTGCCCAACCAGAAAGGGAAGAAAAACAGGAAGATGCGGGACGGGTGAGGAGCTGGGTAAGCGCCGCCAGCCCGCAGTCCAGCAGAGCAGGGCTTGGCCAAGCCTGGCGCCAGGGACTTCCCCCCTACCCCCACCACAGGCCCCTCGCCAGGTGAGAGGCACCGACAGGGTCCCAGACAGATGCCCCAGACAGGATGCCCAGCGCAACACCCGCCACTTCCCCTGCTAGGGGCCCCCAGGACGCGGGGCTGCCCCTCTCTTTTTGGCCAGCCGCAGAGTCCAGCGGGTCTCCCAGCCAGGGACGTCGTGGGAGAATCAGGAAGTCAAAGCCACACAGCCGAGAAGCGGCAGCTGGCGTCTCGGAGGCCGTCACGCGCTGTCACTCCGCGCCCTTCGGAGTTGCCGCTAAAATACCAACTTCAACCCGGGGCCGGCCACTGAGCCTCCCGCCGCCCCTACCGGCGCCCCCGGCACCCCCGGACCCCGGCGCCCGCGTCACTTACTCCTCTGCCTTCGCCACCTGTCTGGGTGCCGGTCTCCTCCCTGCCTGGCCGCGGCGCGTCCTCCCCGTCCTCGCAGTCCTCGGGTTCTGCGCTTCCCCCCTCCAGCTACAGCCGCAGCCTCTTCTCTTCGGGAGGGACGTCGTCCTCCTCCCTCCTGGGCCGGCCATCCCTGCCTCGGGGCTTGCCAGTGGCTTCGGAGCTGCCGGAAGGGCTGGCCACGGCTGGGGGGCTCTGCCTGCACCTGGAGAAGAGGAAGGATACGGCGCGAGCGGCCTCTCGGCGGAGCTGGGGCGTCTGAGCGCGGGCTCGGTGGGTCCGCCCGGAGAGGGGCTGGGCATAGCGGCCGGCTCGGGCTCCTACGCGGGCCGCTCCTGGCTCTCGCGCCCTCTGCTGGCCGCTCGCGCGCACCGCGGACAAGCCGGGCCCTGGCCTGCGCTGCACTCACCTGCCCCCGCCCAGGCAGTCGCTGTCCCCTGCCTGTGGCCAGACCCGCTCTGGCCAGGCCCTGCACCTCCTCCCCACCCCAGCCAGGTTGCACCCCGATGGTCTCCCTGCCCAAGGAGGAGAGAAGAGAAGGGAAGCCCCGAGAGGGTGGACATCGGCCACAGCCACCTTGTCTTTGCTCTTACCGTGTGTCTTCCATGATTTGGAGGTGGTGGGAAACCCGAGGCTGCTCAAAACTCGTGGAGAATTCCGCCTGCAGGATGACATGAATGCACCTTCCCATTGCCTACCAACAGACCTTTTTTGAGCATCACTGTGGACCAGGTGTGGTGATGGGGGAGGGGATATTGTGGAGAACATGACAGGCATTGCCTTCACCCAGTGGGGCTCAGCGCTGGGTGGGAAGGCATTGAGAATGGACATTGTCAATTGGGCCAAAGGAGGCCAAGGAGAAGTGCTGGGGGCATGGGAACTGAAAAAGACAGGAGGCTCAGCAGGTCTTGGAGCTGGGAAAGTGACAGCAGCAGCGGCTGTTCCAAAGGAAGCAACAGCTGAGAGAGGTCTCGGAGAGTTGTTCTCAGCCCAGTGGAGGGTGTTCAGGCAGAGGGAACAGCGTGTGCAAAAGCCCAGAGGCTGGGAAAGAAGCAGAAAGAGGACTGTGGGGCTGGAGCATGGTGGGCAAGGGGAGGAAGGTGTGGTGGGCAGACAGATTGACTGGGACCCAGCTGTGCAGGGGCAGAGGAGATAGGGGATCCTTGCAGGCCCCCAGCCGGGGCTCAGGCACAGAGACAATGCAGGTGGGCAAAGGGAGGAGACGTGGAGAAATATTTTGGAGGCATGCCCTGATGAATGAGCCCAGGATGCACCCTTAGTGTCAGTGTGGAGCTCCTTCCTTGACTGTGTGATGAGCTGAACTCGGGGGTATTTTCTGGACATTGAGGTGCTACACCAAGAGCCCAGGACAGGCTAAGTGAGCACTAGCAGCTCCTGGCCCACCTCAAAAGCAGGAGAGACAGGGGAGACTGGGGAGGCCGGGGTGGAAGGGGAAGCCAGGGAAGCAGAGGAGGCCAGGGAGGCAATGGAGGCAGGAGAGGCTGGGGAGGTTATGTCCTTTCCATGATTCTGCCCTGGATCCTAGGCCCCTGAACTCCCTGAGCTTCCCCACCCCAAGCGCTGGAACCAGGTTGCACAATGGTCTCCCCACTAAGCTCCTGATGGCAGCCCCTACCCTGCTGTGCTCCCTATTTCAACCCTAACAGCTCTCACAGTGGGCAGCACATAGTAGGTGCTCAGGAAACACTGGTGGGAGAGCACGTGGGTCTGCTCAGCACCTTCCTCTCTCCTCCAGCTCTCCCCATCATGAAATAATTCTGATAACGACACATGGACTTTGAGACCCTCTTCTATTACTTTCCATATGCTAATGCATCTATACTCACAGCAGCCCTGGGGGTGGGTGCAATGAGGATGCCCATTTTATAGAGGAGGAGACTGAGGTATAAAGAGGGTAAGTGACATACGCACACTACAGGGGCTGGGGCCAAGTGATCAGAGCACTCAATCCCCAAAGGCAAGGTAGATGCAGTTATCATAAAAGACAGCAGAGTCAAAGCTGCAACCAGAATAGCCTGACTCCCAGCGACCTATGGTGCCTGCTGATCGTGGCTTTCCTAGAAGTGAAATAGATAAGAAGCCTGCCACATTTCACTTGATCTGTGTTTGCAGAAGAGCTCTAGGTCAAGTGAGCAGAAGTCTAATCTGAATCATAAAAACAGAGTCACAGTCCCCAGTCAATTTCCAGACATAAGCCAGTTCACAGACCTGGAGTCCCTTGTCTGAATGAGAAGCCAGGTCCCCTCCAGAAAGGACTCTGCTCCACTGCCAAAAATTTATACTGTCAGTCTTTCTCCCAACCTGCCCCCAAGGGAATACACAGCCTTTCACCAGGATGACTGAACAGGAGAAAAGGAACTAATGAGACCTGTGCAGGATCACTGGACACAGGCTCTGAACTGGCACTAGGGCGAGACTAGGTTCTACCAGTCAGAATAGGCATTTTGGAGGTCAGGTGAATGTTGGTGCAAGTTCATGTCACGGTAGGTCCATTGGGTCCCCAAATCCATCCCCTCTGGTTATATACAAAGCGGCAATGCTGAGATTCAAATTCAGGGCATCCGACATAGAGCCTGGGCTCTTACTCATGAAACATTCTGACACTAGTAACCAATTTAAAAGTGCAAACACCTCCTGGGACTAGAATGGGTCCCCAAAACAGTCATGTAAATTGGTTCTGTCAAGAATTTCCTCCCACCCCCTGCTGAGAGCCAGTTGCAAGGAGAGACTAGGGAAGGGCATTGGGTAACTTTGTTGCTAAAAGCTCTTCTGGATAAAGACGTATGGGAAAAGAAGCAAATAGAGTTCAGCAGAAGAGGTAAGAAAGTAAGTTTATGTTTGGCCAGGCACGGTGGCTCACGCCTGTAATCCCAGCACTTGGGAAGGCCGAGGCGGGCAGATCACGAGGTCAAGAGATCGGACTATCCTGGCCAACATGGTGAAGCCCCGTCTCTACTAAAAATTCAAAAATTAAATGGGCATGATGGCGCGCGCCTGTAGTCCCAGTTACTCGGTAGCCTGAGGCAGGAGAATCACTTGAACCCAGGAGGTGGAGATTGCAGTGAGCGGAGATCATGCCACTGCACTCCAACCTGGGCAACAGAGTAAGACTCTGTCTTAAAAAAAAATTAAAATAAATAAATGCTATGCGCAGCATTTTCCATGTACTGTCTTATTATCTCGGTGAATCCCATATAACCTTCCTATGAAAGTGTATCTCATTTATCTCCATTTTATAGATGAGAAAACTGAGGCCCCTGGAGTAGTATTAATTTTCCAAGACCGCATTGCTCATAAAGGGTACAGCAGGGACCCAAGCTCGACACTCTCACACTCAAACATTTATACAAGTGTGGACCAATGGCTCTCAACTGGGGTGGTTTTGCTCACGTACCGCTCCCTTGCCCCACATTATTTGAAACCATCTGGAGACGTCTGGGGTAGCCATAGCAGGGAGGGTAGAATGGCACCTAGAGGATGGAGACCACAGATGCTGCTAACCATCCTTCAATACACAGGACAGCCCCACCACCAGCACCACGAATGGTCTCACCACAAATATTCTGACTGTGCCAAAGCTGAGAAACCCAGGTTTCTCCTCAGCAAGAAGGAAAATCCCTGCAACGTGGATGCACCTCTACAGGAGCCCCAGGCTGACAATAACCTTCCTGATCTGGTTTCAACCCTGGATGCTTTTACCTGGTGCGTCCATCAGGGATTTCAGGGACTCCAGTGAGTTATCACCCTTGAATGCTCGGTTCTGCCTGACAACCCAGAAATCTCTGCCGAGGTGCCTGGTCTTGCGGAAGACTCAGCAAGTGGTTGAGGTGGACAACCAAATACCTAGGAGAGACTTTTCTCTCCCTCCAGGAGGAGCTGTGGGTCAGACACACACTGGGATCATTCACAAGTGGTCAATAAAGGCTTGAGGAGGGGCAGATTTTCTAGGCCTTCTCAATGGGGTGGGTGTTTGTGGATAAACAAGAAGCCTGTGAAACTTCTGATATTGGGAGGAAATCAATGCCCCCCCCTCCACCCTCCCCCACCTCCCCACCATAAACACATGCCCTGCAGCAGGACTTGACACTCAAGGGCTCCTGGGGTCCCGATTAATCTGCTAAAACATCCTCTAGCCACCACCGAATAAAGCAACCGCTTGCCACCCAACCACAAGAGCACAGCCTGGGAGCCACTCCAAGGGACATCCAGTCACATTAAAACCTCAGCCATCCAGAGCACCAGGCCTGGTGATGAGAAAGAACATTTTATCCTTAAAAGCATCTGAATGCCCATGCTGCTTCTTGCAGAGAAAAGTCCAAAATAATCTGTTATTAAAGAACGAGGATGGTTTTGACATTTTTACCAAGCTAGTGGTCTACGCAGACAAAATCTCATAAAAGGGCACTCTGTTCTTCTTGATCCACTCAGACATGGCCTGTGAGTGAAGAAACGGGCTCTCCTCCTCAAAGAAATCACTGCTGATCCTCGTACCAGCCTGACACTGCTTCATGGGTTCTTCAAAGAGAGTATTCCCATAGGAACTAAAAGGGAAGAGGAATGTGTCTGGCGGGCATTGTGGGCAGCAGTGAGCTTTGGGCCAAATTTTAAGTTTGCAAATCAGGATTCCCTCTTTTCAAGGGGCTGCCGGACTGAGCAGATACAGGCACCGTGAAAAGAGCGTGCCATGTTCAGATTCAGGAAACAAGGATGGTTTCTGTTCAGTTCCTCCATCATCCTTCAGGTCATGCTATTCCCATTTCCCTCTGTGGACCAAACAATTCAGTGGGGTTTCTGCCTTTTAAACATTTCATTATCAACATATCATCCTTTTAGCCTCCAGAAAGCATTTTAACATGGAGATTCTGGCTTAAGACTCTTGTGGGTCTGTCTGTCTCTCTCTCTCTCTTTTCCTTGAAACGGTCTCACTTTGTCACCCAGGCTGAAGTGCAGTGGCATGATCACAGCTCACTGCAACCCAACCTTCCAGGCTCTAGCAATCCTCCCACCTCAGCCTCCCAAGTACTTGGGACTGCAGGCACACACCACCATAACTGCCTTTTTTTTTTTTTTTTTTTTTTTTTTTTTTCTTTTTTTGGTAGATATGAGGCTTCACCGTGTTGCCCAGGCTGGTCTTAAACTCCTGGGCTCAAGCGATCCTCCCCCTTCGGCCTCTCAAAGTGCTGGGATTATTGGCTTGAACCACCATGCCCAGCCAAGAACCTTGTCTCTTGTGACGTACTCCAGAACAAAACATCACTGCAAAAAGACACCAAGGCATGAGTTTTAGTACTAAGTCCCACTTATCCACCATACACTATGTGCCAGGCACAACGCTAAGTGCTTCTATGGACGAGCTTCCCTTAATCTCAGCAGCAACAACCCCAGGCAATGGGGCCTGTTGACAGATCCATTTGCCACTGAAGACAGTAAGGCTCAGAGAGGGTAAGTGGCTTGTGCCATGTCAGCCAGCTAAGGAGGGGCAGAACCAGGATGCAAACCCCAGCCGCCTGGCTCCAAAATCACATTCCCAAGGTCTCACTACACTTGGTCACTCCACCGCATTCTGGTATCCTGGTCTTTGGCAGAGTCCACGTAAAAGAGGGAGGTAGAGGGAGTGAGAGGGACTTCATGCAATAAAGTTTCCCGGCGTTACACTGCCACCGTAATTGTGTCCCCGACCAGGACCTCTCCCTTCTCATCCTTTCCGTGATCGGCCCTGGAAAACCTTCCAAAGAACTGTCCTCCTTCTCCCGGGATCTCAGAGAAAATTCACCTGAGTTCAGTGTCCAGGTGACCCAAGCTCTGAATGCGGTAACGTGGACGGGGAGATGAGGATGTCACCATGAGCAAGCCTCCCAGACAGCATCCAGGAGCAACCCCCAGACTGGGCGGGGGGGCTCTGATCCTGCCCATGGCGAGGAGGGCTGCCCATGCTGCCTAAATGGGTTCAGAATGAAGGCTGCACTCCCAACTTCAACCCGGGGACGGCCACGGAGCCTCCCGACGCCCCTTCGTCGCGTCCCCGGCACCCCCGAGCCCCCGGCACTCCCGGACCCCCGCGCCCGCATCACTTACTCCTTTGCCGTCGCCACCTGTCTGGGTGCCGGTCTCCTTCCTGCCCGGTAGCGGCGGGTCCTCCCCGTCCTCGCAGTCCTCGGGCTGTGCGCTTCCCCCCTCCAGCTACAGCCCCAGCCTCTTCTCTTCGGGAGGGACTTCCTCCTCCCCCATCCTGGGACTGCCATCCCTGCCTCGGGGCTTGCCAGTGGCTTCGGAGCTGCTGGAAGGGCTGGCCATGGCTCCGCGGGCTCTGCCTGAACTTGGGGAAGAAGAAGGACCCGGCTCAAGCGGCTTCTCGGCGGAGCTGGGGCGTCTGAGCACGGGCTCGGTGGGTCCGCGCGGCGCGGAGCTGGGTATCGGGGCCGGCCCGGGCTCCTCCGCGGGCCGCGCCTGGCTCTCTGGCGCCCTCTTCTGGCCGCTCTCGCGCACCTCTGCCACGCCGGGCCCAGGCCTGCGCAGCTGTCACATGTCCTGGCCCAGGAGGTCGCTGTCCCTTGCCCATGGACAGGTCCGCTCTGGCAATGCCCTGCACCACCTCCCCGCCCCAGCCAGGTTGCACCCCGATGGTCTCCCTGCTCAAGGAGGAGAGAAGAGAAGGGACGCCACGATAGGGTGGACATCGGCCACAGCCACCTTGTCTTTGCTCTTACCCTGTGTCTTCCATGATTTGGAGGTGGTGGGAAACCCGAGGCTGCTCAAAACTCGTGGAGAATTCCGCCTGCAGGATGACATGAATGCACCTTCGCATTGCCTACCAACAGATCTTTTTTGAGCATCACTGTGGACCAGTCGTGGTGATGGGGGAGGGGATATTGTGGTGAACATGACAGGCATTGCCTTCACCCAGTGGGGCTCAGCGCTGGGTGGGAAGGCATTGAGAATGGACATTGTCAATTGGGCCAAAGGAGGCCAAGGAGAAGTGCTGGGGGCATGGGAACTGAAAAAGACAGGAGGCTCAGCAGGTCTTTGAGCTGGGAGAGGGACAGCAGCAGCGGCTTTTCCAAAGGAAGCAACAGCTGAGAGAGGTCTCAGAGAGTTGTTCTCAGCCCAGTGGAGGGTGTTCAGGCAGAAGGAACAGCGTGTGCAAAAGCCCAGAGGCTGGGAAAGAAGCAGAAAGAGGACTGTGGGGCTGGAGCGTGGTGGGCAATAGGAGAGAGGTGTGGTGGGCAGACAGATTGCCTGGGACCCAGCCGTGCAGGGGCAGAGGAGATAGAGGATCCTTGCAGGCCCCCAGCTGGGGCTGAGGCACAGAGACAATGCAGGTGGGCAAAGGGAGGAGACGTGGAGAAATATTTTGGAGGCATGCCCTGATGAATGAGCCCAGGATGCACCCTTAGTGTCAGTGTGGAGCTCCTTTCTTGGCTGTGTGATAAGCTGAACCCGGGGGTATTTTCTGGACATCGAAGTGCTACACCCAGAGTCCAGGACAGGCTAAGTGAGCACCAGCAGCTCCTGGCCCACCTCAAAAGCAGGAAAGACAGGGGAGACTGGGGAGGCCGGGGCGGAAGGGGAAGCCAGGAAGGCAGGAGAGGCCAGGGAACAGAGGAGGTCAGGGAGGCAGGGGAGGCAGGGGAGGCTGGGGCGGCTGTGTCCTTTCCATGATTCTGCCCTGGATCCTAGGCCCCTGTAGTCCCTGGGCTTCCCCACCCCAAGCACTGTAACCATGTTGCACAACGGTCTCCCCACTAAGCTCCTGATGGCAGCCCCTATCCTGCTGTTCTCCCTATTTCAACCCTAACAGCTCTCACAGTGGGCAGCACATAGTGGGTGCTCAGGAAACACTGGTGGGAGAGCACGTGGGTCTGCTCAGCACCTTCCTCTCTCCTCCAGCTCTCCCCATCATGAAATAATTCTGATAACGACACATGGACTTTGAGACCCTCTTCTATTACTTTCCATATGCTAATCCATCTATACCTCACAGCAGCCCTGGGGGTGGGTGCAATGAGGATGCCCATTTTATAGAGGAGGAGACTGAGGTATAAAGAGGGTAAGTGACATACGCACAGTACAGGGGCTGGGGTCAAGTGATCAGAGCACTCAATCCCCAAAGGCAAGGTGGATGCAGTTACCATAAAAGACAGCAGAGTCAAAGCTGCAACCAGAATAGCCTGACTCGCAGAGACCTATGGTGCCGGCTGATCGTGGCTTTCCTAGAACTGAAATAGATAAGAAGCCTGCCACATTTTTACTGGATCTGTGTTTGAAGAAGAATTCTAGGTCAGGTGAGCAGAAGTCTAATCTGAATCATAAAAACAGAGTCACAGTCCCCCGTCAATTCCCAGACATAAGCCAGTTCACAGACCTGGAGTCCCTTGTCTGAATGGGAAGCCAGGTCCCCTCCAGAAAGGACTCTGCTCCACTGCCAAAAATTTATACTGTCAATCTTTCTCCCAGCCTGTCCCCAAGGGAATACACAGCCTTTACCAGGATGACTGAATAGGAGAAAAAGAACTAATGGGACCTGTGCAAGACCACTGGACACAGGCTCTGAACTGGCACTAGGGCGAGACTAGGGTCTACCAGTCAGAATAGGCATTTTGGAGTTCAGGTGAATGTTGGTCCAAGTTCATGTCATGGTAGATCCATTGGGTCCCCAAATCCGTCCTCTGCTTATATACAAAATGGCCATGTTGAGACTTAAATTCAGGGTATCCAACTTAGAGGCTGTGCTCTTACTCATGAAACATTCTGACACTAGTAACCAATTTAAAAATGTAAACACCTCCTGGGGCTAGTGAGAGTCCTCCAAACAGTCATGTAAATTGGTTCTGTCAAGGATTTCCTCCTACCCACCCCCCCCACCACTGAGAGTCAGTTGCAAGGAGAGACTAGGGAAAGGCATTGGGTAACTTTGTTGCTAAAAGTTCTTCTGGATAAACAAGAGCCTTATCCAGGAAAAAGAAGCAAAATAGAGTTCAGCAGAAGTTGCGAAAAGAAGCACATAGAGTTCAGCAGAAGAGGTAAGAAAGTAAGTTTATGTTTGACCAGGCACGGTGGCTCACGCCTGTAATCCTAGCACTTTGGGAAGCCAAGGCGGGCAGATCACGAGGTCAAGAGATCGCACCATCCTGACCAAAAAGGTGAAGCCCCGTCTGTACTAAAAATTCAAAAATTAGCTGGCCATGATGGCACACGCCTATAGTCCCAGCTACTCGGGAGCCTGAGGCAGGAGAATCACTTGAACGCAGGAGGCAGAGGTTGCAGTGGGCCGAGATCATGCCACTGCATTCCAACCCGGTGACAGAATTAGACTCCATCTCATAAAACAAAACAAAACAAACAAAAAAAAGTAAGCTTATTTTTAAGCCTGAACAAGTGTAGTGGTTTAGGGGTTCTGCAAACACGGCCCCAATCAGGCTACAAGATGTTCTGGCAGCAATATTTACAGCCAGTCACTCCTGGCCGGCTGAGCCACTTTTCAAAACACCCTTGCACGGCTGTGCAGAGAGCCTGGCTCCACTGGCAGCCGGCAGAGCCATAACTCACACTGTCACCGCTGCCCTCAAACCACTTCGGTAAGCACTTTGTATTTTTGAGACGGAGTCTTGCTCTGTCATCCAGGCTGGAGTGCAGTGGCACAATCTCGGCTCACTGCAAGCCCCGCCTCCTGGGTTCATGCCATTCTCCTGCCTCAGCCTCCCAAGTAGCTGGGACTACAGGTGCCCGCCACCATGCCCGGCTAATTTTTTGTATTTTTAGTAGAGACGGGGTTTCACCGTGTTAGCCAGGATGGTCTCAATCTCCTGACCTTGTGATCTGCCTGCCTCGGCCTCCCAAAGTGCTGGGATTACAGGCGTGAGCCACCGCGCCCGGCCTGGTAAGCACTTTTAATCAATGCAACAGGAATAAACATTTGCTGCAGAGCGGCAATGTGTAGGGAAGAACATGCTTCCACTTAGGATCAGAAAGCAAAACCTCCTGGCTGTTTGCATCTATGCAAGAGCTCACAGGAAAAGCCCTCTGTGTGGCTGCCAGCCTCACACACTCCCCCCAAGGGGTGAATTTCTCTTTCCATGTTAATCTATGCTCTGACGTGCCATCTGTCAACCACCACACCATTCTCAGTTGACATTTCAAAGCATCTTTGCCCTGAGAATGGTCACCAGCTCTGCCCTGCAAGCCCCCAGGTGACAATGAACTTAAATGAGAGAGAAAACAGGTTTCGAGGTGGATTTCAGTTCAGCATCTTGGAGTCTCTGTGTGGACATGAAATCTGTCTCCCCAGCTGTGGACTGCATCCTTGTTTGTCATCTGGTTTGGTTCTTGGGGACTTGGAAACTCGTGGGCACCTTTGCAATTTGTCAAGAAGCTGCATGGCCCTTCCAACAAAAGCAAGGAATAGGAACAGAAGCCCAAGGCTTCAGATCAAGGTACAATTTAAAGCAGCCTCAGTATAAAAGCAAACAAGAGCCAGAGGGATGCCTAAGGCAGAGTCTACACCCCAGGGCAGCTATAAGGCAAAGAGAAAGAGAGAGAGAGACAGAGACAGAAAGACAGAGAGAGATGGGAGGAAACATGAGGCACCCAGGCATCTGGATCAAAATCCCTACAAGAGGGGCCTCCTAAAAATGCAGGAGGCTGAGGTGGGTGCACACAGAAGTTCAAGACTAGCCTGGGCAACACAGCAAGACCGTGTCTTTACAAAAAATACAAAAATTAGCCGGGTGTGGTGGTGTATGTCTGTGGTCCCAGTTACCCAGGAGACTGAGGTGGGAGGATTGCTTGAGTCCAGGAGATAGAGCTGCAGCAAGCTGAGATAGCACCACTGCACTCCAGCCTGGGCAACAGAGTGAGACTTCATCACAAAAAAATTTAAAAAATTTTTTAAAAAGGATCACCCCGGCTACTCGAATGGGTAATAAGAAGGTAAGAGCAGAAGCAAGGAGACCAGCAGGGACATTTTGCAGGTGGGAGTCCACAGAGGTTCAGACCAGGCTGGGGCTGAAGACTGCCTGAATTCTGTGTATATTTTGATGATGAAGCAACTCACCGACTCTTGAAGAGTGGGCTCCAGGAGATGGTATTTTTAACAAGGTCTCAGAGGATTCTAATGCAGGCTGAAGTTGAAGAACTGGTTTAGGTGAAGCTTCTGTTTCATCCTTGGGGAAGTACCTACTGACTTTTCTCTAAGCCACCACAAAAGAGGTGCTAGACAAGATGTGCTCCAATGTCTGAACATGTGTGCACAGCTCTAGAGCCAACCTAAGGACACTGAGTCAAAGGTTAGGAGTACAACAGTGAACAACCACTGTCCTCTTTTCAATAAGCTTTGCATTTAATGAGAGAAATAAAAAGCAAAAAAAAAAAAATCATTTTCAACTCAGAATGGTAAGAGTTATGGTGACAGTATGCCTGGGGCAATGGGAGCACATAGAAGGGGTACCCAATCGGCCAGGTGCAGTTGTTCATGCCTGTATTCCCAGCACTTCGGGAGGCCAAGGTGGGTGGATCACTTGAGGCCAGGAGTTCGAAAACAGCCTGGCCAACATGGTGAAATCCTGTCTTTACTAAAAATACAAAAAAATTAGCCAGATGTGGTGGGGGGCACCTGTAATTCCAGATACTCAGAAGGCTGAGGTGGGAGAATTGCTTGAACCCGGGTGGTGGAGATTGCAGTGAGCCAAGATCGCACCACTGCATTCCAGCTTGCATGGTCAGAGCGAGACTCTTTCAAAAAAAAAAAAAAAGAAAGAAAAAAGAAAAAGCTCGGAGGTGGGTGGGCATGCAATCTATATCAGGTGGTGAGAAATCCTTCTCCACCACAGGACTCCTCAGTTGAAGACTAGAAAATGGTAGGAACTAGCCAGGTCGATAGGAGAGGTGTGGAAGATCATTCTCAGCAGAGGGAAGAGCATGTGTAAAAATCGAGACGTGAGAGGGTGAGGAGCTGAGAGATGTTCATATAATTGTAAAAAGTGAGTAATATAGAGGTAAGTTGGAGCCAAATCTTAAAGGCTCTTTGTCGTGTCTATCCTGTAGAGAAAGGGAGACAGTAGATGTTTTTATGCAGGGGAGTAATGATCCACTTTGTGCTAGAAGAAGAGCAGTCTGGCTGGAGGAGAGTGGGTGGTGAGTAGACCAGGTAGGAGGCTGCAATACGCCAAGTGAGACAAGATGGTTGGCTGGACCAAGGCTGTGGCAGTGAGGATGGAGAGGAGACAGTAGACTAACTTGACTGAGAAAGAGGGAGGAATGAAGGAGGAGGCCCAGGTGATTTGGAAGCTGGGTGGATGGTGGTGTGAATCTGACGTGTTGAGCCCTGGCAGAAGAGGAAATCAGGAGAGGAAAGGTAAGATGAGGTCAATGCAAGACAGACAGCCAAGTGGAGATAACAACTGGGCAGTTGGATTCATCAGCCTGGAGTTATACAGAGAGCTCTGGAATGGAAATAAAGAGGAAAGGACTTTGGGAATAGGTGAATCCTCCCAGAATAATGTGTAAGAAAGGAGAATAGAACACAGGGGACAGAAAAAGGGAAGAGATTTGTTATTAAAACCAACCATCCATCAGACATCTTCCAATAAAACACTTGTTAGAGGTTTCCTCAGTGTGAGTTATTCAGGACCAGAGCTAAAGACCATATTCCCAATAAAATCACTGCTGGGAAGGTCTTCATGAAAACATTTAATGCTGCTTTTAAAACAACAACAATAAAAAGGCTTTAGCTACTGCACAGACCCTGGAGCAATTTTTCGGCAAGAGTCTATCAAACACGAATCTGATCTGACTCAAGGAGTTGTCATATCAAGTGTAAAAATCCAATTCCAATGTCCATAAGAGCCTTTCTGCCAGGTACAAGACCCTAATCCAGTTGAAGTGATTTTCTATTGATTAATAGGCTGGGAATACACAGGTTGTTGGTTTTTGAGATTTCCCTCCCTGTGCCTTCATGCCAGCTGTGAAAGAGTCAAAAGGCTCCTAACTGTCAAAATAAAAATGACACTTGGTCACAGAGGAAGCAGATTATAGGTCAATCACATTGATGACTTTTTAACTATGAGAAGCCATTAATGTTACTGAATAAGCAAATCTGTTTGCATAAGCAGATTTTTATAGGCTACTGGGAATAAAGGTTTTCCTAAGTGGGTGATTTGTACAACGATAGCCTTTGGGTCTCTGATGGAACAGCTCTGATGAGGAAATGTTCCTTTAATTATGTGGAAGGCCAATTACCACGTTATAGCCACATTGTTTTGCAGATTGCATATAATTTCACCATTTCCATAGTTTCAGCACTATAATTCTGGAGAAAATTCAGGCACCAAGGAGACACTTGAGGCACACTATGCTGGAGACAAAGATGTTTTAGCGAATTCAATTTAAGCTTCAACATTAAAGTTATTTTGTTGAATAAAACATAATGCAATAATGAGCTTGTGTATGTCAACTCTATAGTGCAGGTAATAATAGCTAGAGAGAGCATGTCCCGTCTCCTCTTTTTAATGCTCATTTGAGTAATACATAATGCTATAGAGAGAACTTTTCTCTAATATGTGCT
The DNA here is from genome assembly GCF_000001405.40 of Homo sapiens. Lineage (NCBI taxonomy): Eukaryota > Metazoa > Chordata > Mammalia > Primates > Hominidae > Homo > Homo sapiens. The sequence continues at coordinate 5,291,144 of NW_018654717.1, forward strand.
TCACCTCAGGCTAAGCGTGTTTTGGGCAACTGTGCTTCATGAAAAAAAGGTAAAGGATCTAATTTGGGAGCCACTCACAAAAGTGCTACCACTTGATGTTTTTTTATACTCTGAGATTTCTTATTCCCAGTGCCTACCAGGAATGGACTTTCTGGAGAAGCTCAGATTAATCACTCCTTATGAGAGGTAACAGCGTGTTGGCAGCCCTCACAGCCCTCGTTCACTCTCGGCACCTCCTCTGCCTGGGCTCCCACTTTGACAGCACTTGAGGAGCCCTTCAGCCCACGGCTGCATGGTGGGAGCCCCTTTCTGGGCTGGCCGAGGTCAGAGCTGGCTCCCTCAGCTTGCAGGGAGGCATGGAGGGAGAGGCATGAGCTGGAACTGGGGCTACGTGTGCTGCTTGCCTGCCGGCTGGAGTTCTGGATGGGCGTGGGCTTGGTGGCCCTGCACTAGGAGCTGCCGGCTGGCCTTGCCGGCCGGGGCTGTTAGGGGCTTAGCACCTGGGCCAGCAGCTGCTGTGCTCGACTTCTCACCGGGCCTTAGCTGCCTCCCTGCGGGGCAGGGCTCGGGACCTGCAGCCTGCCATTCCTTAGCCTCCCCCCTCTGTGGGCTCCTGTACGGCCCAAGCCTCCCCGATGAGCACCGCCCCCTGCTCCATGGCGCCCAGTCCCATCGACCACCCAAGGGCTGAGGAGTGTGGGTGCATGGAGAGGGACTGGCAGGCAGCTCCACCTGCAGCTCCTGTGCTGGGTCCACTGGGTGAAGCCAGCTGGGCTCCTGAGTCTGGTGGGGACTTGTAGAACTTTATGTCTAGGTAAGGGATTGGAAATACACCAATTGGCACTCTGTATCTAGCTCAAGGTTTGTAAACACACTAATCAGCACCCTGTATCTAGCTCAGGGTTTATGAATGCACCAATTGACACTCTGTATCTAGCTGCTAGGGTGGGGACTTGGAGAACCTTTGTGTGGACACTCTGTATCTAGCTAATCTAGTGGGGACGTGGGGAGCATTTGTGTCTAGCTCAGGGATTGTAAACGCACCAATCAGTGCCCTGTCAAAACAGACCACTCAGGCTCTCTGTAAAATGGACCAATCAGCAGGATGTGGGTGGGGCCAGGTAAGAGAATAAAAGCAGGCTGCCTGAGCCAGCAGTGGCAACCCACTGAGGTCCCCTTCCACACTGTGGAAGCTTTGTTCTTTTGCTCTTTGCAATAAATCTTGTTGCTGCTCACTCTTTGGGTCCACACTGACTTTATGAGCTGTAACACTCACCGAGAAGGTCTGCAGCTTCTCTCCTGAAGCCAGCAAGACCATGAACCCACTGGGAGAAATGAACAACTCCAGACCTGCAGCCGTAAGAGCTGTAACACTCACCGTGAAGATCTGCAGCTTCACTCCTGAGCCAGCGAGACCACGAGCCCCACCTGAAGGAAGAAACTTCAAACACATCCGAACATCAGAAGGAACAAACTCCAAACACGCCACCTTTAAGAACTGTAACACTCACCAGGAGGGTCCACAGCTTCGTTCTTGAAGTCAGTGAGACCAAGAACCCACCAATTCTGGACACACTTATACACTTGGCACTGGGAGGTCTGTATGGAGCAAGTGAAGAAATCAGCAGAGTGAAGATAGAAGGAGAACAACATGATGGGGGAAAGGCAAAGTTAGTGCCACATTGGTTTCAATTCTGCCACTCATGAGTGAGACCCATGACCTCCTCTCTCTAGGACTCTGTTTTTCTTATATGTAGAGTGGAGGAATAGAAGGGCCTTTTAAAGTATTAACATTTCCTGACCTATCTGTAAAACACTTTCATTCAAACTGATGGGAATGTTGACTACTTTGCCAAGAGGACATAATAATCATCAAGCTGAATGCACCAAACAGCATTGCCTGAAACTATCTAAGCAAAAACTGAGAAAGTTACACAGGACAGACAAACCTCCTATGAGAGTAAGAACTCTTCAGCACATGCTTAGTGTGTCAAAGACAATACTGTGTTCACACCATTCCTCTTCCTGGACATGCAGAAAGACTACATTTCCCAGCCTCATTTGCAGTTAGTTTGGAACCATGTGACTGCATTTCCACCAATAGGAATGTAAGAAATCACTTCTGGGCCAAGGTTATCAAAGTGTGAGCTATGTTCCCTCTCTTCCTATCCATATGGCTACAAGTGAAAAACTCTGAGATGGCAGAATTAAAAGATGGAAACCTCCAGAATCTCTGAATCACTGTTGGACAAGGGCCCCCAAGGAGAACCCCTGCCCTGCACCAGACTATGCTATGGGTGTCAACCCACTGAGAGTTCAGGGTTTATTCGTCTCAGCAGCAGTCTATTGTTACACTGACTAACATCCTGAGGTTTGAGAGGTCTAGCATATTGTTAACTGAAGTTAGATTTCAATTACACTGAGAACCTTATCTATTTAAAAATAAAAACTCTCCTAAAAAAAACAAATAATCCACATTCCTTTTAACCACATGTGGCAAATTTGCAAAAAAAAAAAACAAAAAAAAAACTGGCCACATATTAGGCCATAAAGAAGTCTCAACAAAATCCACTATACGATTGACAGTGTCCAGACCACATTTTCCTGACCATAATGCCACAAAATTAGAAGTCAACAGCAAGAAGATAGCTAAACACAAGCATATATTTGGAAAATTAAAAATATCCTTTCATGAGTTAAATGAAAAATCACAATAGAAATTACTAAACATTTACAACTGAATGAAAACACAACTTTATATATATATGTATATATATATAATATGTATATATATATATATTTTTTTTTTTGTGAGTCTTCCAAATTTGTTCTTCTTTTACAAGGTTATTTGGGAAATTCTGGGTCTCCTGCAATTCCTCTTACAGTTTTATGCTGTGTGTCAATTTCTGTGGCTGGGTCTATGAGAACTTATCGTAGTTCTCATAGACCAGGGTTTGCATGTTGCTGTCTAGAGCCCGGATCTGCTGCACCATGTCCGTCTCACTATCCATCAGCTGGGCCAGAGGGCACTCTCTAGGAAGCTTGTCTAGGTAAACTTCCGGGTCGAAGTGTACCCCGTTCATATCAGTGGGGTCCAGGGGGTCGGTCCCCGCAGGGAGTCCCACCGCCTCCACTTCCGAGAGGCCGTTGTAAAACTTCAGCATCCTGTCCGCCTTCCACCGACGCTCCTTGAGCCTCCCCCTCGGGCCCTTCTGGGGAGTCCCCAGGTCCACACCCCGGGCTAGGCCCAGTGACAGCTGCCGCCGCCATAGCTCCAACTGCAGCCCACGGGCGTAACTTTTATATTTTTAAGTTGGATACATGGAGCTACTTGGCTTTTGCTTTCATCACCTCTTTGAGGAAAGAGCTGGTTGCTTATGGTACCCCTGTTTTTACTGCATCCTGTAATGGATGAGAACCTCCCTGTTGCAGAGAGCAAAACACTGAACTAAATTGTGCTGTAACACAGCTCTGTATTGGGGGAGTGGGAGTGATCATGCAAACGCTTGCAAATTTGCACAGTGACAGAGACAATCGTTTGGGCACCTGTTCACTATATGAAAAGGCAATTGACCAAAAGTCAGTTACTGAGCTATCTCAATACTTTCATTTTATTTTAACTTTTGGCAGCAGCGTGCAATTAAAGGAGAGAAAGAAAACAAAGTGATAAGTGTAAGATAATGTACACACATGTGTAAAAGAAAATGACAAGACAGGATGACCATTTGTCTCTTGGTTAGCTCCTTGGGCTCTATGTCTCCTTCCTCGGAGAACCTCGTTTTCCTTTGTCCAGATTTGTTAGGGTGGGTAATCCAGGCGCCTGCTCCCCCATGATGGAAGCCAAAGACATCCCTGGAGCAGCGTCCCGCTGCATCCTTTCCTGCACTGCCCACATGGACACAACTCAGCCGATTAGTCTTCCTCTCAGAACTTTAGTCTTGAGCAAAGGGATTAAAGGGTGAAGTGACTAAAGGTATGCCCTTCCAAAGTGGTACGTGAGCTAACGGCTAAAGTTTGCCATTTTTTCGTAATTTTTATTTATTTATTTTTTTGAGACGGAGTCTTGCTCTGTTGCCCAGGCAGGAGTGCAGTGGTGTGATCTCGATTCACTGCAACCTCTGTCTCCCGGCTTCAAAGGAGTCTCCTGTCTCAGCCTCCCCAGTAGCTGGGATGACAGGCGTATGCCACCATGCCTGGCTAATTTTTTTGAGTTTTTTTGGTATTTTTAGTAGAAACAGGGTTTCACCATGTTGGCCAGGCTGGTCTCGAAATCCTGACCTTGTGATTCGCCTGTCTCAGCCTCCCAAAGGGCTGGGATTACACACGTGAGCCAACGCGCACAGCTTCAAAGAGTTTTAAGCAGAGCTCAGAGGTCTTAACCACAGGCACATCGGAGGAGCATTTTTGAAACACTTTCCAGCTTCCTCAATAGAAATGGAAGCCAAACTCCGAATTGATGACTCCTTTGAGGAAGTTGAGAGCTGTAAGGAAAGCCAGGAACAGGGGCAAGGGAGAGATGCGTCCCGAATGATCCTGTGCAAATTCTTTCTGGAATCCTTGATGTGATCTCAGCTGCCCTTTCTATACATGACACAGTGATTGTGGCACCCACTGGTCTAGCTGTGGTCAACAAGGAACCCACAAAGGGAAGGGCACAGTGAGTAGGGGCATCCGCCTGAGTGACGAGGATTTGAGAGGGCAGGTTGGTTGCAGGGAGAGGACTTGCCAAATGCCATGTGTCTGGACTTAGACTGCCTGGTTCAAATTGGACTTCGCCCTTTTTGACTTCGTGATCTGGTACAAGCTGCATGAAAATCCGTTGCGCTTTTTCTAGTCTGTAAAATCATCATGAAATGTGCACTAATAACGTGGAGACTATGCAGATGAAATGAAACAAGCTGCATAGAGCACAGAGCTCAGAGCCTGGCCTTTAGGAAGCCCTCAGTAAGGGTTCATGATGCCATGGTGTCTGTCGTCATCCTCTTTATCCTCATCATCACCTTCATAATCTCTTTGTTGTTCTTAGGGAATAGTTAGAGGGACTGATTCCCTGCTATCATGGGTGAGATGTTTATGAAAAGGACAACCAGTGGGGGAGGAAAGCAAAATTTTGAATAAGATTTCTGAGACCCCCAGCACAACCAAGAACATAAACTGCACAGTCTGCTGAGCAGAGAGTTGCACATTGGTCTCCTCACATCTGCCCACCGCACTCTCCTGTTTGTCCTGAGGATGAGGAAACAAACAAGTCTCCCGACCGTCCCTCAGCACTCACTTGAAGGGGTGGCCTCCCCCTCCACAGCTGTGGGTATTTCCAGTCGGGTAGGACGAGAGACTGAGAAAAGAAATAAGATACAGAGACAAAGTATGGAGAAACAACAGTGGGCCTAGGGGACCGCCGCTCAGCATACCAAGGACCTGCACCGGCACAGGACTCTGAGTTCCCTCAGTTTTTATTGACTATTATTTTTATTATTTTAGCAAAAAGGAATGTAGTAGGAGCGCAGGGTGATAATAAGGAGAAGGTCAGCAACGAACATGTGAGAAATAGAATCTATTTCATAAGGAATTTCAAGGAAAGGTACTATGACTGGATGTGTACGTAAGCCAGATTTATGTTTCTCTCCACCCAAACATCTCAGTGGAGTAAAGAATAACAAGGCAGCATTGCTGCAAACATGTCTCGCCTCTCACCATAGGGTGGTTTTTCTCCCATCTCAGAATTGAACAAATGTACAATCGGGTTTTATACCGAGACATTCAGTTCCCAGGGGCAGGCAGGAAACAGCGGCCTTCCTCTCTCTCAACTGCAAGAGGCTTTCCTCTTTGACTAATCCACCTCAGCACAGACCCTTTACGGGGGGCGGGCTGGGGGATGGTCAGGTCTTTCTCATCCCACCAGGCCATATTTCAGACTATCACATGGGGAGAAACCTTGGACAATACCCTGCTTTCAAGGGCAGGGCTCCCTGCGGCTTTCCACAGTGTATTGTGCCCCTGGTTTATTGATACTAGAGAATGGCGATGACTTTTACAAAGTATACTGCTTGGAAACATCTTGTTAACAAGGCAAGTCCTGCATAACCCTAGATCCCTTAAACCTTGATTTCATACAACACATGTTTTTGTGAGCTTCAGGTTGGGTCAAAGTGGCTGGGGCAAAGCTACAGATTAACAACATCTCAGCAAAGCAATTGTTGAAAGTACAGGTCTTTCTCAAAATGGAGTCTCTTATGTCTTTCCTTTCTGCATAGACACAGTAAGAGTCTGATCTCTCTTTCTTTTCCCTACACTCACTGAACTGCCTCTCCCCTCTGCTGGGACATGACCACGGAGAACAGGTCCACTGTCCTCCCTGCGTGGTGCACCATGGAGGCTCAGGCTCCGTCCTCAAGGCTGGCAAGAAGACAGGGTGAGACATGAGCCTCCTGATACAGGTGACGGCTGTGGAGACCACAGGACTGCAACCTCACACTGCAGGGCGGGAGGCACAGACTGAGTATTTACTATCCTGTGGCCTGGGGGGCTCAGGCACAGAGCTCCTCATTAGCCAAAGCCGCGCAAGTTCCCCAACCTCTAAGGATGTCCTCATAATAATGCAAGAAGAAGAGAAAAGTGAGTGTCCATAGAAACTTTGGGGCTCCTCCTCTAATCAGAAGAAAGCTGGTGTGTATTCTTCGCTTCTTTCTTTTCTTTTTAAACATCCAACTGCTTTAATTTTCATCTTTTATAATGGGAAAATATACCACGTATAAATATTAAAAATTATAAATATATATTAGTTCATATAGAATGGCCAGTATAAACATTTACAATTTCCACTCTTTTTCAGTTTACAGATTAATGACATTAAGTACGTTCACATTATTTAGCAAGCATCACCGCCATCATCTCAGGAACAGTTTTATCTTTCAAAATGGAAATTCCACCCATTCACCAAGCTCTCCATTCCTTTCTCTCGCCCACCCCTGGGGGCCACCTTTCTAGTTTGCAACTCTATGAGTTTAACTACTCTAGACACTTGATAGATAAGTGGAATCATACCGTGTTTATTTTTTTTGTTTTGGAGACAGAGTCTTTCTCTCTCACCCAGTCTGGAGTGCAGTGGTGTGATCTCGGCTCACTGCAACCTCCACATCGTGGGTTCAAGCGATTCTTGTGTCTCAGTCTCCCGAGAGGCTGGGATTACAGGCGTGCGCCACCACGCCCTGCTAATTTTTGTATTTTTAATAGAGACGAGCTTTCACCATATTGGCCAGGCTGGTCTCGAACTCCTGACCTGAAGTGATCCGCCTGGCTCAGCCTCCCAAAGTGCTGGTGTTACAGGTGCGAGCCACTGAGCCTGGGCCTGTTTATCCTTTTGGGATTTATTTATTTCACTGACGATAATGTCTTCAAGGTTCATCCATGTTGCGGCCTGCCTCAGAAGTGCCTGTCTGTTTTTTTTTTTGTTGTTTTTTGTTTGTTCGTTTGACTTTGTTTTGTTTTGTGTTTCCATAGAGTCTCACTCTGTCGCACAGGCTGGAGTACAGTGGCACAATCTGGGCTCACCTCCGCTTCCCGGGTTCCAGTGATTCTTGTGCCACATCCTCCCGAGTAGCTGGGACTATAGGCACACGCCTCCATGCTCATCTCATTTTTTGCATTTTCAGTAGGGACAGGGTTTCCCCAAGATGGCCAGGCTGGTCTTGAATTCCTGACCTCAGGTGATCCGCCCACCTCGGTCTTCCAAGACGCTGCGATTACAGGCGTGAGCCACCGCACCGGCCAGAAGTGCCTGCCTTTTGAAGGCTGAATAGTCTTCCATTGTATGAAGGAACTGCAGTGGGCTTTTTCATTCATCTGTCCACGAACCCTTGGGTTGCTTCCACATTTTGGCTCTTGTGAATAATGCTGCTATGAATATGGGTGTACACAAATCTGTCTTCCACTCCTGGCTTCTTTTTGTAGGTACCCACAAATGCAACTGCGGCAACATATGATCATCCTGTTTCTAATTTTTCCAGTAGACGCCATACTATTTTCCCCGTTCCTTCACGGTTTTACATTCCTTCTGATCAGATTCGAGCATTCCTACTTCCCTCTAGTCTCACCAATCCTGTTTGTTTATCATATCCATCCTAATGTGTGGTGTCACATTCTTGGTTTGATTTGCGCTTCCTTATGATGAGTGATTTTGAACATCATTTTAGATGCTTATTGGCCATTGCTATATCTTCTTTAGGAACACGTCTACTTGAGTCTTCTGACCATTATTGATGGGATGCTTTGGGTTTCTTGTTCTTTAGTTCTGCCTGTTCTTTATGTATGATGGATATCAGCCTCTTTTCAGATATATGCTTTGAAAATATTTTTCCTAATCCATGGGTTATCTTTTCACTCAGTTTGCCGTGATTTTGCTGCACAAAAGTGTCTGTCATTTCGATGTAATCCAAGGAATCTAATTTTCTTTTGTTGCCTATGCTTTTGGTGTCATATCCCAGAGAACATTGCCCAATATGATGTCATGAAAGCATGGCCAATGTTTTCCTTTAGGCGAATGATTCTTTTAGCGCTTGGGGTGAGGTCTTTGATCCAGTTTGTGTTAATTTTTGCACCTGGTGTGACATAGTGTCCACCTTCATTCTTCTGCATGTGGAAATCAAGTTTCTCCAACACCATTTCTTGAAAAGGCTGTTTTTCCACCAATGAGCTTTCTTACCACTCATGTTAAAAATCGTTTGAACATACAGGTGACAAGTTATTTCTGGGCTCCAAAATAAACAAACAACAGCAGACAACAGATAATGTTACAGCATGGGCCGGGCCCGTCGCTCACGCCTGTAATCCCAGCACTTTGGGAGGCCGAGGTGGGCGGATCACCTGATGTCAGGAGTTGAAGACCAGCCTGACCGACAGGGAGAAACCCCCGTCTCTACTACAGGCGCGTGCCTGTAATCCCAGCTACTCGGGAGGTGGAGGCAGGAGAATCGCTTGAACCCAGGAGGCAGAGGTTGCGGTGAGCCAAGATTGCACCATGACACTCCAGCCTGGGCAACAAGAGCGAAACTCCATCTCAAAACAAAAAACAAAAAACAAAAAACCAGCATGATTTCAAGAGCAGAAAGAGAAGAGCTGAAAAACCAGCATAATGAGAAAATTAGGAAGTTTCTTACCAAAGCATCTGGAAATATTCAAGAAATTCTTGTGAATTAAAATTTTCATACTGTACAATCAAACACTAGAACTCACTTATTCCATCTTTCTGTATTTTGGGACCCAATTATCCACTTGTCTTCATTCCCCATCCCACCCCTTTTCTTCCTAGCGTCTGCTAACCACCTTTATACTTTCCACCTTCCTGAGATTCCTTTTGTGTGTAGGTGTGTGATGGAGTCTCTTTATGTTGCCCAGGTTGGAGTACACAGGCACAATCCGGGCTCACTGAAAGCTCCGCCTCCCGAGTTCAAGCGCTTCTTGGGCCTCAGCCCTCCGAGTAGCTGAGACTAGAGGCACGCGTCACCACGCCCGGCTAATTGCTTGTTTTTTCCGTAGAGACGGGGTTTCAACATGTTGGCCAAGCGGGTCTCGAACCCCTGGACTCAAGTGATCCCTGCGACTCGGCCTCCCAGAGTGCTGGGATTACAGGTCTGAGCCACCACGCCTGGTCAAGGTTTCCTTTTTTCTTCCTACGTAGAAGTGAGGACATGAAATATTTGACATTCTGTGCCTGGCTTATTTCATTTAATATACAGACCTGCAATCTCATCCATTTTGTCTGCAGCGGAGAGGATTTTCTTCCTCTTTAGGCTGAATAATACTTCATTGGGTGTGTATACCACAGTTTCTTTATTGAAACAAATTTCTAAAGAGCAAATATTTTTAAAGTCTCAGAATGTGAAACTTCAGGGATACCGTGCCCATTTTATTCTTTTCTATTTCCCATCTTATGTATCTGCAAGTGTATAACAAAGCAGCAATTGATGTGTGTATAAATCGATAACTTCAACAATTGCAAAATGTAAATGCTAAGTGGTGGCTGGGCGCGGTCCCTCATGCGTGTAATCCCAGTACTTTGGGAGGCGGAAGCGGCCGGATCACCTGAGGTCGGGAGTTCAAGACCAGCCTGACCAAAATGGAGAAACATTGTCTCTACTAACAATACAACAACAACAACAAAAAGATAGCCAGGCATGGTAGCGCATGCCTGTAATCCCAGCTACTTGGAAGGCTGAGACAGGAGAATTGCTTGAATACGGGAGGCAGAGGTTGCAGTGAGCCGAGACCGTGCCATTGAACTCCAGCCTGGGCAACAAGAGTGAAACTCTGACTCAAAAAAAAAAAAAAAAAAAAGGACAAGAAGGAAATAGAAAATGCGAAATGGTAAGAAAAAACAGCATAATAAACATTCGTATGGTGTTGATGGACAATGCATTTGAAGATAATATTTGAAGAAATCATATTACAATTAATTTCTGTTCTTACTCATTGCAGCTTGATGCCTCTAAAAACTTCGTCATTGGAACCACCTCTGGTGCTTTAAAAGAAAAAAAAAAAAATCCACACACTCACACAGGTGCAAGGAAATCAGAATCTCAGGTATTGAGAACCAGTCCTCATCATGTGTAAGCTGCCCAGGTGATTTGACTCAAAGCCAAGATTGAGGAACGGCGACATGGATATCTACACAGAACCTGCTTAAATAGATTCTCTAGAAGAAGTTTATAAAGAAATTCCACATGAACTGTGGAAGAGGATATGAATTTGATGTACAGTATGTCCTCACTTAACATCTTTGAAAGTCTCTTGGAAACTTCACCTTGAAGCAAAATTATGTATAGTGAAACCACTTATTTTTCATCAACAGTATAACTACACGACTTTGAACAACCAATGCTGTTGGAGGACCTTCTGTACATTGTTTCCATAAAGTCAGTTTTCAGGGAATTCCAAAACGAAGTGAGGACTTCGTGTATATAAAATGATGGTTGTGATTCCACCTGGATGGCATGGTTATTGCTCAGAGACTAAAAGAGGCCACCTAGGTATAGAAGATTCTGTCATGAGGTTTCTGCTAAACCAAGGATCCCAGAATCGTCACTCATTCCAGATAAAGGCATAACGAAGAAAGCAATATTCACAAAGGAAATGCGGAAAGGAATAAAAGCCATCAAGCCACAAAAAGAATGTGACTGAGGGGCAGGATTTGCAGATGTAGAGATTTAATGTGGTTGCCCTTTCTCACCCACACAAGAAAAAGGATGGAACAGATCATGATATTCGACTGCTCTGCTGCGCAGCCTCCGCAGGGCACTTTGTATGTCCCTGTTTCTCAGGCTGCAGATGAAAAGGTTCAGCATGGGGTGACCACAGCGTACATCACTGAAGCCACCACACCATTCCTGGGAGGTGGTGACCCAGCTGAAGTCAGGTACAAGCCAATGCCTGTTCCATAAAACCAGCAAACAACTGCTAGATGACAGCCACAGGTGGAGAAGGCTTTATACTTCCCATCTGACGATGAAATCCTTAGAATGGAGGGGACAATTTTATAGTAAGACAAAAAGATCCCTGAAATGGGAAGAAAACCAAACATAGTACTATCGAAATATATGAATATGTTATTGATGACGCTGTCAGAACAGGCAAGTTTGAGAAGTTGAGAGGGGTCACAGACCAAATTAGAGATTTCCACATTCTTGATGATGGTTAATTGTAACACAATCCAACTGTGCAGCTGGGAATCCAACAGGCTAAGGAAAAAGGACACCAAAACGAAGAAGACACAGAGGTGAGGATTCACGATGATTGGGTAGTGCAGAGGGCGACAGATGGCTACAAAGCAGTCATAGGCCATCACAGTCAGGAGCATGCCTTCTATACATGCAACAAGGAGCAGGAAAGACATCTGTGTCAGGCAGCCCGCATGAGAGATGACTCTGCTATGCGACTGCGTGTCCACAATCATCTTGGGAACCATGGCCGAGGTGAAACCGATGTCAGGCCAGCACAGGTTGGAGAGGAAGAAGTACATGGGGGTGTGGAGGGGGGAGTCAGAGCTGACAGCCAGGATGCTGAGCAGGTTCCTCAGCACCATGACCAGATACATGGACAGGGACAGGGACAGCAAAGCGAGGACCGGCTGCAGTTCTGGATCCTCTGAGAGTCCCAGGAGGAGGAATTCTCAGACATCTGTGAGATATTAGTCCCAACATCCCAGAGGGTGTACACTACCCCTGTGATATTGTCCCTAACTTCCAGAGGGGAGAGGATGACATCACTCCCAATATCTCAGAAGTTGTACATCCCCCGTGATATTGTTCGTCATATCCAGGGAGGCGCAGGATGACATTCCATTGAATTTCGCGACAGGCCTACACGCACAGTGTGATACTGTTCCTACTATCCAAGAAGGGAGAGGATGATATTACTCACAATAAAGCAGTGGGTGTACATCACCCCTGTGTTGTTGTCTCTAATATCCGGGGCCGGGGGAGGAGGGGAGAGGATAACATTGCCTCCAATTTAGCAGGTGATTTGACGCCCCTTGTGCTGTTGTTTTAAATATCCAGCGGGGAAGACAGTAGTACTATTTTTGATAGTCCGATTCATCCTCTCCACCTTTCCGGAACTCTGAGGCCGGGAGGCGGCATGTAGTTTCCGTGTGATCCCCAATACCTTTGCCGTTTTCTGTACCAAGGCAGCCAAAAACGCAGGCCCGTTGTCTGAGCCGATCCATAAGGGCGGTCGAAATCTAGGAATCACATCTCGAAGAAGCACAGGGGTTACTTCACCAGCTTTCTCAGTTCGTGTTGGATAGGCCTCCACCCACCCAGAATAGGTACGCCCAAGAACCAGTACATGCTTGTTACCTCCACACTTTGGCATCTCTGTGAAGTCCACCTGGAGACCTTCAAAGGGGGCTGCTCCACAAGCTCGTATGCCGGGCGGAACGGCTGGACCTTGACTCCCATCATGCTGTCAGCAGGTAACACACCGCTGCCTCACCGTTTTGGCAAGGGTTGACAAAGGCGAGATGTAGAAATACCGGCCTAACAACTTTTCCAGTGACTCCTGACCTCGATGGGTGTTTTCTTGCACAGCCAGTACAACTGCAGCTCCTAGCAGCTGTGGCACAGCTACTCTCCCATCTGGTAACTGAATCCATCCTTCCTCCATCACTTGTCCTTCCCTCTACCTGGAGAAAGTCCTTTCTTCTTTAGAAGAAGCAGGTCCAAGATCAGGTGCTTGAGGGAGCACTGATGCCCAGAAGGGGGCAGTTGCTGCTTTTCGAGCCTCTGACTCAGCGCGGGAATTCCCCAAACACAGCAATGTGGAAGCTCGCTGGTGTCCTCTGCAATGCCTAACTGCCACCTTGTGGGGTTTCCATACTGCTTCTAATCATTGCAAGATTTCTTGTGGATATTTTCTGTCTTTCCCCCCAGAATTCAATAGGCCCTTTTCTTTCTATCACACTCCATGCACTTGAAGGGTTAAAAAGACATACCGAGAATCAGTGTAAGTGTTGACAGTCTCACCCTCACTGAGTTCTAAGGCCCAAATGAAAGCATTGAGTTCAGCTTTCTGGGCTGAAGTGGCCTGGGGCAACGACCTGGTTTCAACAACAGTGTCCAGAGTTATCACTGCATACCCTGCACCTCTCTCTCCTTGGGGGTTGAAGAAGCTGCTCCCATCCACGTGTGGTTCCCAGTCTACTGATGCCCAAGTCTGGTCCCGGAGCTCAGGTCTGCTAGAGTCAATTGAGTCCAACACTTCTACACAATCAGGCTCGACAGGGCTCCCTGATACCGGCAGCAAGGTGGCGGGGTGTAGGGTGTTACAAACTTCAATGGTTATACGGGGATTTTCACAGACCAAAGTTTGGTACTTGGTGAGCCTGGCATTCGTTAGCCAATGACGTCCTTTAGTATTCATCACCACAGCACGGGAGGCCTTTATGTTCAGGTTTCGCCCAAGAGTCAGCTTATTTGCTTCTTATACTAGCAGGGCAGTTGCTGCCAAGGCCCTCCAACAGGGGGGCCATCCTTTAGAAACCCCGTCTAGTGGTTTACAGAGGTAGGCCACCAGCCTCAGCCAGGGCCCCACAGTTTGGGTTCAAAGTCCAGCTGCCATCCTTTCTCTCTCTGATGCATACAATGGAAAAGGCTTTGTCAGATCGGGTAGCCTCAGGGCTGGTGCTGCCAGAAGTTTTTCCTTTAACTCATGAAATACTTGCTGTTGTTGGGATCCGCATTCCAAAGATTCCCCGTCCCCGCCCCCCTTGTGACCTCATACAAAAACTTGGCTAATACTGCAAAGTTTGGGATCCACAGTCTACAAAACCCCACAGCTCCTAAGAATTCTCTTACCTGCCTTCTGCTCTTAGGCTCCGCTAGATGGCAAATGACCTGCTTTCTTTCTGATCTCGGGCTGCGTTCCGACCCCTGTCGGATAGTAAATCCCAAGTAACGTACCTGCTGTCGGCAGATCTGAGCTTTCTTCTTGGACACCTTCTACCCACAGTCCTCCAGGTGCGGTGTAGGGCATCTGTTCCCTTGGCACACCCGACTGCCGTGGGGTGTCCCAGCAGAAGGTCATCAACCTACTGGAGCAACAAGCAGCCTAGGTCTCTGCTAGGAAACTTCTGGAGGTCTCGAGCCTATGCCTCCCCGAAGATGGTGGGGGAGTTCTTGAACCTTTGGGGAAGCCCGGTCCAAGTGTACTAAGTAGTGACACCTGACTCCGGATCTTCCCACTGAAAGGCAAACAGCTTCTGCCTCTCAGGGGCTAATCTGATAGGAAGGAAAGCGTCTTTTAGGTCCAAGCAGGTGAACCAGCTGTCCTCAGCTGGCGGCAACCCCAACAATGTGGACGGGTTAGGTACTGTTGGATGTAAAGTCAGTGTGGCTTGATGAAGCAAGCGCAAATCCTGTACCGGCCGGTAGTCCTTGGTCCGTGGCTTGGGAACAGGCAGGAGGGGAGTGTTCCATGGAGACTGACAAGGAACAATCATTCCAAACGTTCTTAGGTGCTTGAGATGGACCTGGATACCTTGAAGGGCTTCTCTGGGGACCGAGTCCTGTTTTTGCCTCACCGGCTGGGCCCCAGTCTTAACTGGCCAATCCTGGAGGGTTCTCTTCTGCCCGAACTCTTGGCCAGCGCTTAGCCAGAGCTGGTCTTTTCTCTTTGCCCGGGTCAGTTCAGAAAAGTCTCCATTCCTCCTCTCGGGGGACCATAAGCGTCATAATGACTCCCATTCCGGGTAACTTTAGCAGCAAAGAGCCGTGCTCTGTGAAAGAGGCAGTGGCTCTCAGCTTGCTGAGCAAGTCCCTTCCTGAAAAGTTCAAGAGACTGTCAGGCATGTAACAAAACTGATGAATGACTTTATGTCCTCCTACAGGACAAGTCCAAGGCAAGCAGAAAGCTTGCTTTGCTGAAACCCCCGTGGCTCCGATGACGTCAGTAGTCTTTTTCGGTAAGGGGACGACCGGGGCGGTTACTAGCGAATGTTCAGCACCGCTATCTACAAGAAAGTTAATGTCTCCACCCCTGACTGTCATTCTGAACAGATGTCAGAATGGGGATGCTTGAGCCCGGTCTCCCTCAGTCCAAGAACCCTTCTGCCAGGTTGAGCAGGGCCCCTTCCTCCTTGTCCGGGGCCTCCGGCTCTGAGTCACCTTCTTTTCTTTTGAGCTGAGGGCATTTGTTCTTCCACTGTCCTATTTCTTTACAATCAGCACACTGGTTACGCTGCAAACTCTGACAGCCAAGCTGAGTTTCTTTCCCAGGGCCCCCTTTCCCTTGCCTCTTTGCGGGGGCCCCTCTGATTGCTGCAGCTGACAAACAGGTCGGCGTGTGGCCGGGACTGACCTCCATCCTCTTTGCCGTTTTCCTTACGGCTTACTGCATACCTGTTTACAAACACCTGGCTAGCTATTTCTAGTAATTGGGATGGATTCTTCCCTGCAAGCCCAGTCTGTTTCTGCAGTTTTCTTCTCATGTCTTCTGCACTTTGATGGACTAAAGCCATGTGAATCATGCGCTGATTTTCAGGGCTATCGGGATCAAAGGGAGTATACATATGATAGGCCTCATACAGTCTCTCGTAGAATTGTGCTGGACTTTCTTCTTTTCCCTGAATGACCTCAGAGAGCTTGTTAACGTTTGTGGCCTTCTGAGCTCCCCTCATTAATCCTTCCAAGAGAGCTTCCCTGTCTCGGTTTAGCCTTTGCATCTCCTCTCTTTCATGTGGGTCCAACTGGGGGTCGGTTCCTGGCAACTGGGTCCTTCCATACTATTGGGGGTTTTGATAATCAGCTGGTGCATGTTCCTCTAGCCACTTAGTTGCTGCTTGGAGGACTCTCTGCCTTTCTTCACTGTTAAAGAGGAAAATGAGCAACTGGTGCCAATCGGTCCAGGTGTGGTTGTGGGTCTGGATAACAGTTTGGAGCAAATCAATTAGGGCTTGTGGCTTTTCGGTATAGGGCGATGTATTGTTTTTCCAGTTGAGAAGGTCGACGCAGGTGAAGGGCTGGTACCCAAAAACACGTCTCTCCACTACATGAGCATTTTCATCTATCCCAGTATACCGCTGCTCTCTCAGGGGCATTTGTGTCCCCGTTTTGGGTCGTAAACGAGCTGCCGAGGAAGGGGTGGAATGGCGCAATGCGACTTACCGCAATTAATAATCTCAATTATTAACTGACACTAATAATTATCAATATTAATAACCCATAATATAATTTTTAAAATCAATACCGATACTAATGATAATTAATATTAAATAGTTATACTAACAATAACAATACATGATTAATATTAATGATTATGACGCCTGATATTAATAACTGATACGGATCTTATTCATTAGAAAATAGTAATATTAGCTCCTAATAATTAATATTAATATTAATAATCTGAGAACTTTTTATTAGCAATTACTTCTTAATATTAATATTAATATCGGCCATTCATATTCATGTTAATAAAAAACAAGGAATAATTCATACTAATAGTATGCCCTAATACCTCAGTGGGTGTACACTCACCTGTGATATTGTTCCTAAAGTTCAGGGAGTGAGAGAGCATGATATTATGTTCAATATCGCAGCAGGTGCACACCCAGCCGGTGATATTGATCCGAATATAATCTCCAGGGGGTGGAGTATGACATTACTCCCAATATAGCACTGGGTGTGCATCCACCCGGTGATTTTGTTCCTAATATTCATGGAAGAAGAGAATGCTATTACTCCCAACATCGTAGGAAGTGTACACCCCCGTGTGACATGGTTCTTAATAATATTCCAAGGCGGAGGGGGTGATATGACTACACATATGGCAGAAAGTGGACACCCCCAAGGATATTGTTCCCACGATCCTGGAGGGAAGAGGATGATATTACTTTCAGTATCACAGAAGGTGGACACGCCCCCACTGATATTGTTTCTAATTGCAACGTGGGAGAGGATGATATGACACGCGATATCCCAGGGAGTAGAAACACCCCTGTGATACTGTTCTTAATATTCAGAGAGGAAGAGGATGATATGACTCCCAATACAGACGGGTGTACAACCTCTGTACGCCGGGGTGAACACCGGTGGGTGAAACAGTTCACAATCTCCAGAGCGGGAGACGATATTACTCACAATATGATAAACAGGCTGTGAGTCCACCGCGGATCCTAAAAACCAGGGGGGCAAGAGGGGTTAGCTCTTACTCTCCGCATGGCGGGGCGTGCCTCACCCCCTGCGATGGGGGTCCTAAGAGCCAGGAGGTAAGATGGGAAGGCTCTTAATACCCGCATCAAGGGGCGTGCCTCACACCACTGCGATGGGGGTCCTGAGAGCCAGGGGGGCAAGAGGGGCTGGCTCTTACCCCAAGCATAGCAGGACGTGACTCACCCCGCTGCGATGGGGGAAACTAAGAGCCAGGGGGGCAAGAGGGTTTGGCTCTTACAACCCGAAACGGGGGGAGTGCCTCACACCCTGCGATGGGGGTCCTAAGAGCCAGGGAGGCAAGAGGGGCTGCGGGAGACAGCGGCTGTCCTCCATCTAAATTGCAAGAGGCTTTCCTCTTTGACTAATCCACCTCGACACAGACCCTTTACGGGTCTCAGGCTGGGGGCCAGTCAGGTCTTTAACATCCCACGGGGCCATATTTCAGACTGTTACATGGGGAGAAACCTTGGACAATAACCTGCTTTCAAGGGCAGAGGTCGCTGCGGCTTTCGACGGTGCATAGTGCCCCTGGTTTATTGAAACTAGAGAATGGCAATGACTTTTACCAAGTATACTGCTCGCAAACATTTGGTTAACAAAGCACGTCCTGCACAGCCCTAGATCCCTTAAACCTCGATTTTATACAACACAGGTTTTTGTGAGCTCCAAGTTGGGTCAAAGGAAGGGGCTGCGGCAAGGCAACAAATGAACAACATCTCAGCAAAGCAATTGTTTAAACTACAGGTCTTTTTCAAAATGGAGTCTCTTATGTCTTCCCCTTCTACATAGACACAGTGACAGTCTGATCTCTCTTTCTTTACCCTACATCCAAGGGCTTGAACATTTCTTGACTTGTTGGCAATCCAAATCGTTACGTCTCCGAAACAGAGTTGACTGAGGGGACCGCAGGGCTGGGCAGGACCTTTGACTTCCTATACATCCACAGGAGCAAGAAAACCTCAGCCCCACTCTACCAACACGCACCTAGTAAAATTCCGCCAACCGCATCTCACGCACGCTAACACGTGGGGAGCGTTGCTTGCACCACGAGTCCCCATTTGGCTCAACCGCCGATGCCAAGTGTGTGGTTCCAGTTGCGACGGCCCCCCGTGAAGTGGCTTCCGGATGTGCGAAGGAACCAGGCAGAGTTTCACTGGCCAAATAGACCCCAGCAAAGCTGAAGTTAACTCCCACATTTGGGATGTACTTCAGAGGTAAAACATTCATCCCGTCTTCTTTCCGGATGTCTGACACCATGGTTCTCCCCCTAATCCTAAGAGTAGCTGAGGCAGAGACTCACTGAAAGATCTAGGCGGGGATATCCCATCATGCACAGGCTCTCTCCATTCTCTGACCTGGGAACAACTCTCAGCAGGATTCCACATCTAGGAGGCCTCGGAACTCAGCGGGATTTTCTGAGACACACCAACTGGCTGCTCCCTCTCCGCCGCTGTTGAGGGTCGTTATCTTGATTATCCAGATCAACTAGAAAGTATCCGTATCCAGAATGAATAAGATCAACTCTCTGCTCCTCTGACAGCAGAAGGAGCAGGACCGTAAGGAACCAAAGAGCGTGGAAGGAAACGATGTGACAGGAAAGCTCAGAGAACGGCCACAGGGGGTCGTCAGCAGGCCTTCCAACCTGAATCATGAATAATTAATGAAGCGCAAATCAAAGGGGACTCGAGTTTCAGCAGGAGCAATTCATCCAACGGGAGATCGCCGGAGGGCCAACAAGATTGAGTGACTGGGAGCCGGGTGCAGTGTCAAAGGGGACGCGACTGGTTCCAAAGCTCGAGAAGACCTTGGGGTCCCTTGGGCTACATGAGAAAACGCCCCAGTGTGCTGGTTCATCATTCCGACTCCTGCCTGTCTCTTCCCGTCCAAGGAACATGGACCCTAAGTCGTGCAGGTGCGGATGACCATGGGCAGAATTAGGGGCCGTGGCACAAAAGTTCACCGACACGGGAGTTCCACAGAAGGTGCGGTGGATCTTCGCAAATCCAGAGACATGGCAATGGGACCCAGGGAATTAGAGCCTCACAGGCGTCCGGGAGACTTTTCAGGCATAATGCCTGGAGTCGCAAGAGGAGCTGAAAAAGGAGCCAGGCACTGAAGGACAAAGCGTTGTTGACTTTCCTCATCTGTGTTTCCCAGTGCGGTCCAATTCACGGTTGTTTCCAAGCGCCTCCTGGGGGAGAAAACACATGAGGGTGCGGTCAGGGTTCTCTGCTGACAGACTTACCTTGGGGAAGAAAGAGAAGCTCTGAAGATGGATCATGGCCGTGACTGCATGTCAAGGAGAGTCTCCTTGATGACACTGAGGCCTACGTCGAGATAGACAAAATGTGGTCCAATTAAAAGGTGTCTATTTTACCACATTTTTTAAAACAAAACAAAACAAAACAACAAAAAAGATGGAAAAGAAGACAGGGGTACAGGCACCAGTGTTACATGTCTGACGGGGAACATCTATTGTTCAAAGCTTGCAGCTGTACAAGTAGGTTTTAGAATGTCTGTCAGCAGTGGACATGATCTTAGAGTGGGCTGTGCAGATAGACCTTTCCAGGTCATGTAATTGGATTAAGTTAATTGCAATTAAGGTACAGGTAACTGATTAGGTTAGGGTACGTTCCATGTCAGGTGACCAGAGGCAGTATAAAAGGCAGCCTGGAAAGCGGAGGTCCCTCTCTGCCCCTTCCTCCGTCGTCCTGGATGCTGCATCGCTTCCAGCCGGGCTGCTGCAGCACCTGCCCATCTCAGCGCCAGCCTGGGAAAGAAAGTAGACGTGTAATTTCAGGTTGGTTTCGCTGAACAATTGTTTGTTTCACGCAATCCCTGAGGGGTTTTTGCGGGGGGTGTGGGGGAGGAAGAGACAAAGGAGGCCGAAAGAAACCGATCACACTGGGGCTTGCTGGTGGGGTAGGATGTGTTCTCGTTACTAGTAATTCTTGGAACAGAAAACGAGAAAACATATCCGTCTCCACGTGTGGGAGAAGACCAAGATGGGAATGGGAAAAGAAATGTACTGCAGCATGCTGAATTGGTGGGTAAATGGAAACAGGACTTTGGAAAAAAGGGGGGTTTGCCCTTCAGCCGTGTAAGACGTCGATACGATACGGCACTTCTTCCCCGTTTGTTCAGATGAATTCGTGTGGTGTGCGTAAAATACCAGGAAAATAAATAAAGAGGGGCTGGAGCTAAAGCCAAAAGATAGAACAGGAAAGATCCTCACCTGCTAGTGCGGTAGAGAGGAAGGTAACTTCTCTGTATGAATTTGTGCTTGGAAGTTGCCTAATGAAATGGCAAGAGTAGCGATTCAAGTTGTCACAGGAAGCATCCCTTATCCGTGACTTCAAGCAGACCTGCCAAAGGGTGGCACACGCCATGCCCTGTGTCTTCGATCATTCTGTC
The DNA here is from genome assembly GCF_000001405.40 of Homo sapiens. Classification (NCBI taxonomy): domain Eukaryota; kingdom Metazoa; phylum Chordata; class Mammalia; order Primates; family Hominidae; genus Homo; species Homo sapiens. The sequence goes on from NW_018654717.1 coordinate 5,312,260, forward strand.
CGTCAAGGGAGATAGAATCACCGTGTCTTCTACCGGAGTGAATCGTGAGAGACCTAAGTCCAGTCTCCAGAATCAGTTGTTTGTTTGGGGTTGAAAGCTCAACCCCCCCATACCTAGGCCACGGGCCCTGTGGCAGGTGGGGTTTACTCTTGGACTAGGTAGTCATGGCAGAGGAACACACAATATCCGAGGATGCGCACAGCACATTGTGTTCTACAGATTTGACCGACTGGTGGTGAGGTCTCCTCATGACCACACAGGCAGGGAGTTAGCAGGTGGCTTCCTGTGGGTGTGTGAATATCCAACGTGCTTAACCATCGACATGTGTGTGTTTGTGTGTGTTTCAGGTGGCCCAACAGTCCACCCCTGAAAAAGGCGGTCATAAAACCCCCAGGAGACGAAGATGATGGCACGTCGGGACCCCAAATCTTGGGCCAAGAGACTGGTGAGAGCCCAGACCCTCCAGAAGCAGCGGAGGGCCCCAGTTGGGCCAAGGGCTCCCCCGCCCGATGAAGAAGATCCCAGGGTAAGTGTAGCCCTGGATCTCTTGGGTATCGGGGTGGGGGTGGGGACGGGGGGAGGGGCTGTCCCACGGTCCTCAGAGACTGGGTTGGATTCCAAAGAGTTCTGTCACCACCAGCCAGGTTGCTTTTCCCATCCAAGGTGGGCGTGGCTTGGGACCTTCTCCCCGGCCCGATAGGTCCCTTGAGAGACTCTTGGGGGCAACCTCCCTTTCTACTTAGAGTCCTGTGTAGCCACGTTTGGCTGCGTTGTTGACATCGGCTTCACCATCGTGCCCCTTGGAACCTTGAGTCCTTCCTTTCAGAGTTCCTCCGTCCCGTGGGCTTTGCGAGGGAACATCGTACCCGAACTCTCCCAGCACTTAACGGCCCCCATGCCGGTGTCCCCTCTTTGGAATCCTTATTCAGCTCTGAATTCACAATCCGTCCCAATGTTGACGTGGGATCGCTGCCTGTGGCTTCAGCTCACTCACTGACATCACTTCCTTTCCACCCGCAGCTCAAGTGCAAAAACTGCGGGGCCTTTGGCCACACGGCCAGAAGTACCAGGTGCCCCATGAAGTGCTGGAAGGCAGCCCTGGTTCCAGCGACCTTGGGGAAAAAGGAAGGGAAGGAAAACCTGAAACCATGGAAGCCCCGGGGTGAAGCCAACCCGGGGCCCTTGAACAAGGATAAGGGAGAGAAGGAAGAGAGACCAAGGTGAGCAGTGGGAGGGGTTTTCACCACTCTTAGGGTACGGCCTCCCAAGGACATGGTGTCTCTGCACCTGCACACCGTGTGCCTTTCCGTCTCCGGGCCAGGGAAGGAACGCTGCAGAGAAATAGGCCGGAGCTCCGTGTCCTCCGGGGTTCCACACCCAGGAGCTCCTTGGGCTCTGGGAGATTCAGGGACGGGGAGAGGCGGGGGCGCTTCGTGCAGGTTCCCCACGACAGCGGGAAAAGCGATGGAATCCAAATCACAGTCCTTAGTTGGGAAGCCTAGAGGGCCACCTGGAGGATGGGAAGGTTGGCACGTGAGGGAAGGTGCAGAGGCGGAAAGGGCACCAGATGTCCATTTCTGTATCACAAAACACGGAATGGGGCTGGGCCCCAGACGGGGTTCTCCCTGTCTCCTGGGGAAAACCAGGGGGCACGGCCTGACCTTCTTCTGTTCTGCAGGCAACAAGACCCGCAGAGGAAGGCTCTCCTCCACATGTTTTCCGGGAAACCTCCAGAGAAGCCGCTGCCGAATGGAAAAGGATCCACGGAATCTTCTGATTATCTGAGGGCGAGTGTCACCCCGGGCCCCTGGTCTTTTTCTCCTCTAGGTCACCCTGGTTGATTTCCTTTCAGCTTCCCGTCTGCGGGAGGAAATCGGGGAACCCCTCTTTCTTGCCTTCTTGGGGTCAGGGACTCCACGATCCTTCCAGGTCAATTGGATTCCAGGCGAAGGCATCTGAACATGCCGTATTTCCTGTTGCTTTCTTTCTGTCCAATTATGGCAAGCCTGCCAACAACACGTTCCTAGCGGCATGAGGAAATTAGTCCCTCAGAGGCCCCAAACGTGGAGAAGGCGAAACCCAGGAACATGCATGTGTTCAGAGAAGACGTCCCGAGTACCCTTGAGCCAGCAACCTGCCTTGGGAAGGGCATTAGTCCGTTCCACTTCATGGAAGGCTGAGTGGAGGCGCTTTGATCCAGTTAATGCCCAAGACGCGATCTTTTGAACAATGGTGTGCTTAGATCAGCTACACATAGCTCGAGAGCGTATCTTTCATGTGTCTTGTCCTGATCAGCACTCAGGTGGAGGGTCTGTCCCTACTTCCAAGGACCGCCTGTCGATACTGTACTAAGAATTTCATGGCGTGTGCACCTTGTCTTTGGATGTGCTTGATTTTCACGTTGGCTCCATGCTGAGGAACTTCTAACCTGTGTTGTTTCCTCTCTTTCAGGTTGCAAGCGGGCCAATGCCGGTCCACACAACCAGTAAGAGGCCGCGCTTGGACCCTGTCCTCGCTGATCGCTCAGCTACCGCAATGTCTGGCAGGGGCTCCGTCTTGGCTTCACTGTCTCCCCTCAGAAAAGCCAGCCTGAGCTCCTCCTCAAGTCTTGGACCAAAGGAAAGACAGACAGGGGCTGCGGCCGACATGCCTCAGCCTGCAGTCAGGCACCAGGGCCGCGAGCCTCTCCTCGTGGTGAAGCCGACACACAGCCGCCCGGAGGGTGGCTGCCGAGAAGTTCCCCAGGCTGCCTCCAAAACCCACGGCCTGCTCCAGGCCGCCAGACCCCAGGCACAAGACAAACGTCCTGCGGTGACCTCACAGCCCTGCCCGCCAGCCGCCACACACAGCTTGGGCCTAGGCTCCAATCTCAGCTTCGGGCCAGGAGCCAAGAGACCTGCCCAGGCTCCGATTCAGGCTTGCCTGAACTTCCCCAAGAAACCGAGACTGGGTCCCTTCCAGATCCCCGAAAGCGCCATCCAGGGAGGTGAGCTGGGGGCCCCGGAGAATCTCCAACCTCCGCCAGCCGCAACCGAACTTGGACCAAGTACGTCGCCCCAGATGGGCAGGAGGACACCGGCCCAGGTGCCCAGCGTCGACCGGCAGCCTCCGCACAGCAGACCTTGCCTGCCTACTGCCCAGGCCTGCACCATGTCCCATCACTCAGCGGCCAGCCATGATGGGGCCCAGCCTCTCAGAGTGCTCTTCTGGAGACTGGAAAACGGACGCTGGAGCTCCAGCCTCCTGGCGGCCCCCTCATTTCACTCTCCTGAGAAGCCGGGAGCCTTCCTCGCTCAGAGCCCTCATGTGTCAGAGAAGTCTGAGGCTCCCTGTGTTCGTGTCCCACCGAGCGTCCTCTATGAGGACCTTCAGGTTTCCTCCTCCTCAGAGGACAGCGATTTTGACCTGGAGTGAGACTGCAGGTGGCAGGGGCTCCTTGGCCTCCGGCTCCCGTGACTTGGAGGGGACTGTGGGACTGAGGAGCGCAGAGCAGAGAGCACACTCTGTGCGGTGACTCCGAAGCTCCCCGGCTGTGGCGCTTCTGTGGATGTGGGAGCCCAGGCCAGGCAGGGAGCAGATGCAGGGACTCTGCCTCATTGAATTCTGGTGAGGGACGTTGTAGTTGGCGTGGTTCTCCGGAAACGCGCCAGGAAAAGCTTCCGTGCCAGAGATTCGTTGCCTCAGAAACTGCGTGACGCGCAGGAGTCAGACTTCCGCTGGGACGTCAATAGGAAACTGGGGAATTACTGTGTATTTGCTGTCTAGATGACTGAATAAGGGAAAAGTTAGGGAACCCTGAGAGGTGCAGCCCTTCCGCTGTGCCCCGCCCTGAGAGCAGAGTTTCGGACGCTGGGAAGCGTGCTGTGTGAAGCGCTCTCGGGGTCTTTCCTCAGCCTCGAAAACTGGGCTCTGGAATGCCTTTGTACATATGTGTGTTTCATTGGTTTTGAAGTGAATAAAATTCTCAAAAAGATGACATATTGTCTTTTGACTCTCATTCCGTGTTTGTGTGTAACTGATTTTCCAAGTGAAGGGGTGGCCTGCCCCTCCTCACCTGTGGGTGTTTCTAGTCGGGTGGGATGAGAGACGGAGAAAAGAAATAAGACACAGAGACAAAGTATAGGGAGACAACAGTGGGTCCAGGGGACCGGCACTCAGCACACCTAGGACCTGCACCGGCACCGGCCTCTGAGTTCCCGCAGTTTTTATTGATTGTGATTTTCATTATTTCAGCACAAAGGAATGCAGTAGGGGAGCAGGGTGATAATAAGGGGAAGGTCAACAAAAACAACACAAAACAAACACGTGAGCAAAAGAATCCATATCATTATTAAGTTCAAGGGAAGGTACTATGCCTGGACGTGCACGTAGGCCAGATTTATGTTTCTCTCCACACAAATATCTCAGCGGAGTAAAGAATAACAAGGCAGCATTACTGCCAACATGTCTCGCCTCCCGCCACAGGGCAGCTTTTCTCCGAGCTCAGAGTTGAACAAATGTACGATCAGGCTTTACACCGAGACATTCAGTTCCCAGGGGCAAGCAGGAGACAGTGGCCTTCCTCCATCTGAACTGCAAGAGGCGTTCCTCTTTGACTAATCCACCTCAGCACAGACCCATTGCGGGTGTCAGGCTGGGGGACATTCAGGACTTTCCCATCCCACGAGGCCATATTTCAGACTGTCACATGGGGAGAAACCTTGGACAATACCCTGCTATCAAGGGCAGAGGTCCCTGTGGCTTTCCACGGTGCATTGCGCCCCTGGTTTATTGAGACTAGAGAATGGCAATGACTTCTACCAAGTATACTGCTCGTAAACATTTGGTTAACAAGGCGCGTCCTGCACAGCCCCAGATCCCTTAAACCTCGATTTTATACAACACAGGTTTTTGTGAGCTCCAAGTTGGGTCAAAGGAAGGGGCTGCGGCAAGGCAACAAATGAACAACATCTCAGCAAAGCAATTGTTTAAAGTACAGGTCTTTTTCAAAATGGAGTCTCTTATGTCTTCCCCTTCTACATAGACACAGTGACAGTCTGATCTCTCTTTCTTTACCCTACATCCAAGGGCTTGAACATTTCTTGACTTGTTGGCAATCCAAATCGTTACGTCTCCGAAACAGAGTTGACTGAGGGGACCGCAGGGCTGGGCAGGACCTTTGACTTGCTATACATCCACAGGAGCAAGAAAACCTCAGCCCCACTCTACCAACACGCACCTAGTAAAATTCCGCCAACCGCATCTCACGCACGCTAACACGTGGGGAGCGTTGCTTGCACCACGAGTCCCCATTTGGCTCAACCGCCGATGCCAAGTGTGTGGTTCCAGTTGCGACGGCCCCCCGTGAAGTGGCTTCCGGGTGTGCGAAGGAACCAGGCAGAGTTTCACTGGCCAAATAGACCCCAGCAAAGCTGAAGTTAACTCCCACATTTGGGATGTACTTCAGAGGTAAAACATTCATCCCGTCTTCTTTCCGGATGTCTGACACCATGGTTCTCCCCCTAATCCTAAGAGTAGCTGAGGCAGAGACTCACTGAAAGATCTAGGCGGGGATATCCCATCATGCACAGGCTCTCTCCATTCTCTGACCTGGGAACAACTCTCAGCAGGATTCCACATCTAGGAGGCCTCGGAACTCAGCGGGATTTTCTGAGACACACCAACTGGCTGCTCCCTCTCCGCCGCTGTTGAGGGTCGTTATCTTGATTATCCAGATCAACTAGAAAGTATCCGTATCCAGAATGAATAAGATCAACTCTCTGCTCCTCTGACAGCAGAAGGAGCAGGACCGTAAGAAACCAAAGAGCGTGGAAGGAAACGATGTGACAGGAAAGCTCAGAGAACGGCCACAGGGGGTCGTCAGCAGGCCTTCCAACCTGAATCATGAATAATTAATGAAGCGCAAATCAAAGGGGACTCGAGTTTCAGCAGGAGCAATTCATCCAACGGGAGATCGCCGGAGGGCCAACAAGATTGAGTGACTGGGAGCCGGGTGCAGTGTCAAAGGGGACGCGACTGGTTCCAAAGCTCGAGAAGACCATGGGGTCACTTGGGCTACATGAGAAAACGCCCCAGTGTGCTGGTTCATCATTCCGACTCCTGCCTGTCTCTTCCCGTCCAAGGAACATGGACCCTAAGTCGTGCAGGTGCGGATGACCATGGGCAGAATTAGGGGCCGTGGCACAAAAGTTCACCGACACGGGAGTTCCACAGAAGGTGCGGTGGATCTTCGCAAATCCAGAGACATGGCAATGGGACCCAGGGAATTACAGCCTCACAGGCGTCCGGGAGACTTTTCAGGCATAATGCCTGGAGTCGCAAGAGGAGCTGAAAAAGGAGCCAGGCACTGAAGGACAAAGCGTTGTTGACTTTCCTCATCTGTGTTTCCCAGTGCGGTCCAATTCACGGTGGTTTCCAAGCGCCTCCTGGGGGAGAAAACACATGAGGGTGCGGTCAGGGTTCTCTGCTGACAGACTTACCTTGGGGAAGAAAGAGAAGCTCTGAAGATGGATCATGGCCGTGACTGCATGTCAAGGAGAGTCTCCTTGATGACACTGAGGCCTACGTCGAGATAGACAAAATGTGGTCCAATTAAAAGGTGTCTATTTTACCACATTTTTTAAAACAAAACAAAACAAAACAACAAAAAAGATGGAAAAGAAGACAGGGGTACAGGCACCAGTGTTACATGTCTGACGGGGAACATCTATTGTTCAAAGCTTGCAGCTGTACAAGTAGGTTTTAGAATGTCTGTCAGCAGTGGACATGATCTTAGAGTGGGCTGTGCAGATAGACCTTTCCAGGTCATGTAATTGGATTAAGTTAATTGCAATTAAGGTACAGGTAACTGATTAGGTTAGGGTACGTTCCATGTCAGGTGACCAGAGGCAGTATAAAAGGCAGCCTGGAAAGCGGAGGTCCCTCTCTGCCTCTTCCTCCGTCGTCCTGGAGGCTGCATCGCTTCCAGCGGGGCTGCTGCAGCACCTGCCCATCTCAGCGCCAGCCTGGGAAAGAAAGTAGACGTGTAATTTCAGGTTGGTTTCGCTGAACAATTGTTTCTTTCACGCAATCCCTGAGGGGTTTTTGCGGGGGGTGTGGGGGAGGAAGAGACAAAGGAGGCCGAAAGAAACCGATCACACTGGGGCTTGCTGGTGGGGTAGGATGTGTTCTCGTTACTAGTAATTCTTGGAACAGAAAACGAGAAAACATATCCGTCTCCACGTGTGGGAGAAGACCAAGATGGGAATGGGAAAAGAAATGTACTGCAGCATGCTGAATTGGTGGGTAAATGGAAAAAAGACTTTGGAAAAAAGGGGGGTTTGCCCTTCAGCCGTGTAAGACGTCGATACGATACGGCACTTCTTCCCCGTTTGTTCAGATGAATTCGTGTGGTGTGCGTAAAATACCAGGAAAATAAATAAAGAGGGGCTGGAGCTAAAGCCAAAAGATAGAACAGGAAAGATCCTCACCTGCTAGTGCGGTAGAGAGGAAGGTAACTTCTCTGTATGAATTTGTGCTTGGAAGTTGCCTAATGAAATGGCAAGAGTAGCGATTCAAGTTGTCACAGGAAGCATCCCTTATCCGTGACTTCAAGCAGACCTGCCAAAGGGTGGCACACGCCATGCCCTGTGTCTTCGATCATTCTGTCCGTCAAGGGAGATAGAATCACCGTGTCTTCTACCGGAGTGAATCGTGAGAGACCTAAGTCCAGTCTCCAGAATCAGTTGTTTGTTTGGGGTTGAAAGCTCAACCCCCCCATACCTAGGCCACGGGCCCTGTGGCAGGTGGGGTTTACTCTTGGACTAGGTAGTCATGGCAGAGGAACACACAATATCCGAGGATGCGCACAGCACATTGTGTTCTACAGATTTGACCGACTGGTGGTGAGGTCTCCTCATGACCACACAGGCAGGGAGTTAGCAGGTGGCTTCCTGTGGGTGTGTGAATATCCAACGTGCTTAACCATCGACATGTGTGTGTTTGTGTGTGTTTCAGGTGGCCCAACAGTCCACCCCTGAAAAAGGCGGTCATAAAACCCCCAGGAGACGAAGATGATGGCACGTCGGGACCCCAAATCTTGGGCCAAGAGACTGGTGAGAGCCCAGACCCTCCAGAAGCAGCGGAGGGCCCCAGTTGGGCCAAGGGCTCCCCCGCCCGATGAAGAAGATCCCAGGGTAAGTCTAGCCCTGGATCTCTTGGGTATCGGGGTGGGGGTGGGGACGGGGGGAGGGGCTGTCCCACGGTCCTCAGAGACTGGGTTGGATTCCAAAGAGTTCTGTCACCACCAGCCAGGTTGCTTTTCCCATCCAAGGTGGGCGTGGCTTGGGACCTTCTCCCCGGCCCGATAGGTCCCTTGAGAGACTCTTGGGGGCAACCTCCCTTTCTACTTAGAGTCCTGTGTAGCCACGTTTGGCTGCGTTGTTGACATCGGCTTCACCATCGTGCCCCTTGGAACCTTGAGTCCTTCCTTTCAGAGTTCCTCCGTCACATGGGCTTTGCGAGGGAACATCGTATCCGAACTCTCCCAGCACTTAACGGCCCCCATGCCGGTGTCCCCTCTTTGGAATCCTTATTCAGCTCTGAATTCACAATCCGTCCCAATGTTGACGTGGGATCGCTGCCTGTGGCTTCAGCTCACTCACTGACATCACTTCCTTTCCACCCGCAGCTCAAGTGCAAAAACTGCGGGGCCTTTGGCCACACGGCCAGAAGTACCAGGTGCCCCATGAAGTGCTGGAAGGCAGCCCTGGTTCCAGCGACCTTGGGGAAAAAGGAAGGGAAGGAAAACCTGAAACCATGGAAGCCCCGGGGTGAAGCCAACCCGGGGCCCTTGAACAAGGATAAGGGAGAGAAGGAAGAGAGACCAAGGTGAGCAGTGGGAGGGGTTTTCACCACTCTTAGGGTACGGCCTCCCAAGGACATGGTGTCTCTGCACCTGCACACCGTGTGCCTTTCCGTCTCCGGGCCAGGGAAGGAACGCTGCAGAGAAATAGGCCGGAGCTCCGTGTCCTCCGGGGTTCCACACCCAGGAGCTCCTTGGGCTCTGGGAGATTCAGGGACGGGGAGAGGCGGGGGCGCTTCGTGCAGGTTCCCCACGACAGCGGGAAAAGCGATGGAATCCAAATCACAGTCCTTAGTTGGGAAGCCTAGAGGGCCACCTGGAGGATGGGAAGGTTGGCACGTGAGGGAAGGTGCAGAGGCGGAAAGGGCACCAGATGTCCATTTCTGTATCACAAAACACGGAATGGGGCTGGGCCCCAGACGGGGTTCTCCCTGTCTCCTGGGGAAAACCAGGGGGCACGGCCTGACCTTCTTCTGTTCTGCAGGCAACAAGACCCGCAGAGGAAGGCTCTCCTCCACATGTTTTCCGGGAAACCTCCAGAGAAGCCGCTGCCGAATGGAAAAGGATCCACGGAATCTTCTGATTATCTGAGGGCGAGTGTCACCCCGGGCCCCTGGTCTTTTTCTCCTCTAGGTCACCCTGGTTGATTTCCTTTCAGCTTCCCGTCTGCGGGAGGAAATCGGGGAACCCCTCTTTCTTGCCTTCTTGGGGTCAGGGACTCCACGATCCTTCCAGGTCAATTGGATTCCAGGCGAAGGCATCTGAACATGCCGTATTTCCTGTTGCTTTCTTTCTGTCCAATTATGGCAAGCCTGCCAACAACACGTTCCTAGCGGCATGAGGAAATTAGTCCCTCAGAGGCCCCAAACGTGGAGAAGGCGAAACCCAGGAACATGCATGTGTTCAGAGAAGACGTCCCGAGTACCCTTGAGCCAGCAACCTGCCTTGGGAAGGGCATTAGTCCGTTCCACTTCATGGAAGGCTGAGTGGAGGCGCTTTGATCCAGTTAATGCCCAAGACGCGATCTTTTGAACAATGGTGTGCTTAGATCAGCTACACATAGCTCGAGAGCGCATCTTTCATGTGTCTTGTCCTGATCAGCACTCAGGTGGAGGGTCTGTCCCTACTTCCAAGGACCGCCTGTCGATACTGTACTAAGAATTTCATGGCGTGTGCACCTTGTCTTTGGATGTGCTTGATTTTCACGTTGGCTCCATGCTGAGGAACTTCTAACCTGTGTTGTTTCCTCTCTTTCAGGTTGCAAGCGGGCCAATGCCGGTCCACACAACCAGTAAGAGGCCGCGCTTGGACCCTGTCCTCGCTGATCGCTCAGCTACCGCAATGTCTGGCAGGGGCTCCGTCTTGGCTTCACTGTCTCCCCTCAGAAAAGCCAGCCTGAGCTCCTCCTCAAGTCTTGGACCAAAGGAAAGACAGACAGGGGCTGCGGCCGACATGCCTCAGCCTGCAGTCAGGCACCAGGGCCGCGAGCCTCTCCTCGTGGTGAAGCCGACACACAGCCGCCCCGAGGGTGGCTGCCGAGAAGTTCCCCAGGCTGCCTCCAAAACCCACGGCCTGCTCCAGGCCGCCAGACCCCAGGCACAAGACAAACGTCCTGCGGTGACCTCACAGCCCTGCCCGCCAGCCGCCACACACAGCTTGGGCCTAGGCTCCAATCTCAGCTTCGGGCCAGGAGCCAAGAGACCTGCCCAGGCTCCGATTCAGGCTTGCCTGAACTTCCCCAAGAAACCGAGACTGGGTCCCTTCCAGATCCCCGAAAGCGCCATCCAGGGAGGTGAGCTGGGGGCCCCGGAGAATCTCCAACCTCCGCCAGCCGCAACCGAACTTGGACCAAGTACGTCGCCCCAGATGGGCAGGAGGACACCGGCCCAGGTGCCCAGCGTCGACCGGCAGCCTCCGCACAGCAGACCTTGCCTGCCTACTGCCCAGGCCTGCACCATGTCCCATCACTCAGCGGCCAGCCATGATGGGGCCCAGCCTCTCAGAGTGCTCTTCCGGAGACTGGAAAACGGACGCTGGAGCTCCAGCCTCCTGGCGGCCCCCTCATTTCACTCTCCTGAGAAGCCGGGAGCCTTCCTCGCTCAGAGCCCTCATGTGTCAGAGAAGTCTGAGGCTCCCTGTGTTCGTGTCCCACCGAGCGTCCTCTATGAGGACCTTCAGGTTTCCTCCTCCTCAGAGGACAGCGATTCTGACCTGGAGTGAGACTGCAGGTGGCAGGGGCTCCTTGGCCTCCGGCTCCCGTGACTTGGAGGGGACTGTGGGACTGAGGAGCGCAGAGCAGAGAGCACACTCTGTGCGGTGACTCCGAAGCTCCCCGGCTGTGGCGCTTCTGTGGATGTGGGAGCCCAGGCCAGGCAGGGAGCAGATGCAGGGACTCTGCCTCATTGAATTCTGGTGAGGGACGTTGTAGTTGGCGTGGTTCTCCGGAAACGCGCCAGGAAAAGCTTCCGTGCCAGAGATTCGTTGCCTCAGAAACTGCGTGACGCGCAGGAGTCAGACTTCCGCTGGGACGTCAATAGGAAACTGGGGAATTACTGTGTATTTGCTGTCTAGATGACTGAATAAGGGAAAAGTTAGGGAACCCTGAGAGGTGCAGCCCTTCCGCTGTGCCCCGCCCTGAGAGCAGTGTTTCGGACGCTGGGAAGCGTGCTGTGCGAAGCGCTCTCGGGGTCTTTCCTCAGCCTCGAAAACTGGGCTCTGGAATGCCTTTGTACATATGTGTGTTTAATGTGTTTTGAAGTGAATAAAATTCTCAAGAAGATGACATATTGTCTTTTGACTCTCATTCCGTGTTTGTGTGTAACTGATTTTCCAAGTGAAGGGGTGGCCTGCCCCTCCACACCTGTGGGTGTTTCTAGTCGGGTGGGATGAGAGACGGAGAAAAGAAATAAGACACAGAGACAAAGTATAGGGAGACAACAGTGGGTCCAGGGGACCGGCACTCAGCACACCTAGGACCTGCACCGGCACCGGCCTCTGAGTTCCCGCAGTTTTTATTGATTGTGATTTTCATTATTTCAGCACAAAGGAATGCAGTAGGGGAGCAGGGTGATAATAAGGGGAAGGTCAACAAAAACAACACAAAACAAACACGTGAGCAAAAGAATCCATATCATTATTAAGTTCAAGGGAAGGTACTATGCCTGGACGTGCACGTAGGCCAGATTTATGTTTCTCTCCACACAAATATCTCAGCGGAGTAAAGAATAACAAGGCAGCATTACTGCCAACATGTCTCGCCTCCCGCCACAGGGCAGCTTTTCTCCGAGCTCAGAGTTGAACAAATGTACGATCGGGCTTTACACCGAGACATTCAGTTCCCAGGGGCAAGCAGGAGACAGTGGCCTTCCTCCATCTGAACTGCAAGAGGCGTTCCTCTTTGACTAATCCACCTCAGCACAGACCCATTGCGGGTGTCAGGCTGGGGGACATTCAGGACTTTCCCATCCCACGAGGCCATATTTCAGACTGTCACATGGGGAGAAACCTTGGACAATACCCTGCTTTCAAGGGCAGAGGTCCCTGTGGCTTTCCACGGTGCATTGCGCCCCTGGTTTATTGAGACTAGAGAATGGCAATGACTTCTACCAAGTATACTGCTCGTAAACATTTGGTTAAACAAGGCGCGTCCTGCACAGCCCCAGATCCCTTAAACCTCGATTTTATACAACACAGGTTTTTGTGAGCTCCAAGTTGGGTCAAAGGAAGGGGCTGCGGCAAGGCAACAAATGAACAACATCTCAGCAAAGCAATTGTTTAAACTACAGGTCTTTTTCAAAAATGGAGTCTCTTATGTCTTCCCCTTCTACATAGACACAGTGACAGTCTGATCTCTCTTTCTTTACCCTACATCCAAGGGCTTGAACATTTCTTGACTTGTTGGCAATCCAAATCGTTACGTCTCCGAAACAGAGTTGACTGAGGGGACCGCAGGGCTGGGCAGGACCTTTGACTTCCTATACATCCACAGGAGCAAGAAAACCTCAGCCCCACTCTACCAACACGCACCTAGTAAAAATTCCGGCCAACCGAATCTCACGCACGCTAACACGTGGGGGGAGCGTTGCTTGCACCACGAGTCCCCATTTGGCTCAACCGCCGATGCCAAGTGTGTGGTTCCAGTTGCGACGGCCCCCCGTGAAGTGGCTTCCGGATGTGCGAAGGAACCAGGCAGAGTTTCACTGGCCAAATAGACCCCAGCAAAGCTGAAGTTAACTCCCACATTTGGGATGTACTTCAGAGGTAAAAACATTCATCCCGTCTTCTTTCCGGATGTCTGACACCATGGTTCTCCCCCTGATCCTAAGAGTAGCTGAGGCAGAGACTCACTGAAAGATCTAGGCGGGGATATCCCATCATGCACAGGCTCTCTCCATTCTCTGACCTGGGAACAACTCTCAGCAGGATTCCACATCTAGGAGGCCTCGGAACTCAGCGGGATTTTCTGAGACACACCAACTGGCTGCTCCCTCTCCGCCGCTGTTGAGGGTCGTTATCTTGATTATCCAGATCACCACTAGAAAGTATCCGTATCCAGAATGAATAAGATCAACTCTCTGCTCCTCTGACAGCAGAAGGAGCAGGACCGTAAGAAACCAAAAGAGCGTGGAAGGAAACGATGTGACAGGAAAGCTCAGAGAACGGCCACAGGGGGTCGTCAGCAGGCCTTCCAACCTGAATCATGAATAATAATGAAGCGCAAATCAAAGGGGACTCGAGTTTCAGCAGGAGCAATTCATCCAACGGGAGATCGCCGGAGGGCCAACAAGATTGAGAGACTGGGAGCCGGGTGCAGTGTCAAAGGGGACGCGACTGGTTCCAAAGCTCGAGAAGACCATGGGGTCACTTGGGCTACATGAGAAAACGCCCCAGTGTGCTGGTTCATCATTCCGACTCCTGCCTGTCTCTTCCCGTCCAAGGAACATGGACCCTAAGTCGTGCAGGTGCGGATGACCATGGGCAGAACTAGGGGCCGTGGCACAAAAGTTCACCGACACGGGAGTTCCACAGAAGGTGCGGTGGATCTTCGCAAATCCAGAGACATGGCAATGGGACCCAGGGAATTACAGCCTCACAGGCGTCCGGGAGACTTTTCAGGCATAATGCCTGGAGTCGCAAGACGAGCTGAAAAAGGAGCCAGGCACTGAAGGACAAAGCGTTGTTGACTTTCCTCATCTGTGTTTCCCAGTGCGGTCCAATTCACGGTGGTTTCCAAGCGCCTCCTGGGGGAGAAAACACATGAGGGTGCGGTCAGGGTTCTCTGCTGACAGACTTACCTTGGGGAAGAAAGAGAAGCTCTGAAGATGGATCATGGCCGTGACTGCATGTCAAGGAGAGTCTCCTTGATGACACTGAGGCCTACGTCGAGATAGACAAAATGTGGTCCAATTAAAAGGTGTCTATTTTACCACATTTTTTAAAACAAAACAAAACAAAACAACAAAAAAGATGGAAAAGAAGACAGGGGTACAGGCACCAGTGTTACATGTCTGACGGGGAACATCTATTGTTCAAAGCTTGCAGCTGTACAAGTAGGTTTTAGAATGTCTGTCAGCAGTGGACATGATCTTAGAGTGGGCTGTGCAGACAGACCTTTCCAGGTCATGTAATTGGATTAAGTTAATTGCAATTAAGGTACAGGTAACTGATTAGGTTAGGGTACGTTCCATGTCAGGTGACCAGAGGCAGTATAAAAGGCAGCCTGGAAAGCAGAGGTCCCTCTCTGCCCCTTCCTCCGTCGTCCTGGATGCTGCATCGCTTCCAGCCGGGCTGCTGCAGCACCTGCCCATCTCAGCGCCAGCCTGGGAAAGAAAGTAGACGTGTAATTTCAGGTTAGTTTCGCTGAACAATTGTTTGTTTCACGCAATCCCTGAGTGGTTTTGGCGGGGAGGGCGGGGGAGGAAGAGACAAAGGAGGCCGAAAGAAACCGATCACACTGGGGCTTGCTGGTGGGGTAGGATGTGTTCTCGTTACTAGTAATTCTTGGAACAGAAAACGAGAAAACATATCCGTCTCCACGTGTGGGAGAAGACCAAGATGGGAATGCGAAAAGAAATGTACTGCAGCATGCTGAATTGGTGGGTAAATGGAAAAAGGACTTTGGAAAAAAGGGGGGTTTGCCCTTCAGCCGTGTAAGACGTCGATACGATACGGCACTTCTTCCCCGTTTGTTCAGATGAATTCGTGTGGTGTGCGTAAAATACCAGGAAAATAAATAAAGAGGGGCTGGAGCTAAAGCCAAAAGATAGAACAGGAAAGATCATCACCTGCTAGTGCGGTAGAGAGGAAGGTAACTTCTCTGTATGAATTTGTGTTTGGAAGTTGCCTAATGAAATGGCAAGAGTAGCGATTCAAGTTGTCACAGGAAGCATCCCTTATCCGTGACGTCAAGCAGACCTGCCAAAGGGTGGCACACGCCATGCCCTGTGTCTTCGATCATTCTGTCCGTCAAGGGAGATAGAATCACCGTGTCTTCTACCGGAGTGAATCGTGAGAGACCTAAGTCCAGTCTCCAGAATCAGTTGTTTGTTTGGGGTTGAAAGCTCAACCCCCCATACCTAGGCCACGGGCCCTGTGGCAGGTGGGGTTTACTCTTGGACTAGGTAGTCATGGCAGAGGAACACACAATATCCGAGGATGCGCACAGCACATTGTGTTCTACAGATTTGACCCACTGGTGGTGAGGTCTCCTCATGACCACACAGGCAGGGAGTTAGCAGGTGGCTTCCTGTGGGTGTGTGAATATCCAACGTGCTTAACCATCGACATGTGTGTGTTTGTGTGTGTTTCAGGTGGCCCAACAGTCCACCCCTGAAAAAGGCGGTCATAAAACCCCCAGGAGACGAAGATGATGGCACGTCGGGACCCCAAATCTTGGGCCAAGAGACTGGTGAGAGCCCAGACCCTCCAGAAGCAGCGGAGGGCCCCAGTTGGGCCAAGGGCTCCCCCGCCCGATGAAGAAGATCCCAGGGTAAGTCTAGCCCTGGATCTCTTGGGTATCGGGGTGGGGGTGGGGACGGGGGGAGGGGGTGTCCCACGGTCCTCAGAGACTGGGTTGGATTCCAAAGAGTTCTGTCACCACCAGCCAGGTTGCTTTTCCCATCCAAGGTGGGCGTGGCTTGGGACCTTCTCCCCGGCCCGATAGGTCCCTTGAGAGACTCTTGGGGGCAACCTCCCTTTCTACTTAGAGTCCTGTGTAGCCACGTTTGGCTGCGTTGTTGACATCGGCTTCACCATCGTGCCCCTTGGAACCTTGAGTCCTTCCTTTCAGAGTTCCTCCGTCACACGGGCTTTGCGAGGGAACATCGTACCCGAACTCTCCCGGCACTTAACGGCCCCCATGCCGGTGTCCCCTCTTTGGAATCCTTATTCAGCTCTGAATTCACAATCCGTCCCAATGTTGACGTGGGATCGCTGCCTGTGGCTTCAGCTCACTCACTGACATCACTTCCTTTCCACCCACAGCTCAAGTGCAAAAACTGCGGGGCCTTTGGCCACACGGCCAGAAGTACCAGGTGCCCCATGAAGTGCTGGAAGGCAGCCCTGGTTCCAGCGACCTTGGGGAAAAAGGAAGGGAAGGAAAACCTGAAACCATGGAAGCCCCGGGTTGAAGCCAACCCGGGGCCCTTGAACAAGGATAAGGGAGAGAAGGAAGAGAGACCAAGGTGAGCAGTGGGAGGGGTTTTCACCACTCTTAGGATGCTGCCTCCTAAGGACATGGTGTCTCTGCACCTGCACACCGTGTGCCTTTCCGTCTCCGGGCCAGGGAAGGAGCGCTGCAGAGAAATAGGCCGGAGCTCCGTGTCCTCCGGGGTTCCACACCCAGGAGCTCCTTGGGCTCTGGGAGATTCAGGGACGGGGAGAGGCGGGGGCGCTTCGTGCAGGTTCCCCACGACAGGGGGAAAAGCGATGGAATCCAAATCACAGTCCTTAGTTCGGAAGCCTAGAGGGCCACCTGGAGGATGGGAAGGTTGGCACGTGAGGGAAGGTGCAGAGGCGGAAAGGGCACCAGATGTCCATTTCTGTATCACAAAACACGGAATGGGGCTGGGCCCCAGACGGGGTTCTCCCTGTCTCCTGGGGAAAACCAGGGGGCACGGCCTGACCTTTTTCTGTTCTGCAGGCAACAAGACCCGCAGAGGAAGGCTCTCCTCCACATGTTTTCCGGGAAACCTCCAGAGAAGCCGCTGCCGAATGGAAAAGGATCCACGGAGTCTTCTGATCATCTGAGGGTGAGTGTCACCCCGGGCCCCTGGTCCTTTTCTCCTCTAGGTCACCCTGGTTGATTTCCTTTCAGCTTCCCGTCTGCGGGAGGAAATCGGGGAACCCCTCTTTCTTGCCTTCTTGGGGTCAGGGACTCCACGATCCTTCCAGGTCAATTGGATTCCAGGCGAAGGCATCTGAAGATGCCGTATTTCCTGTGGCTTTCTTTCTGTCCAATTATGGCAAGCCTGCCAACAACACGTTCCTAGCGGCATGAGGAAATTAGTCCCTCAGAGGCCCCAAACGTGGAGAAGGCGAAACCCAGGAACATGCATGTGTTCAGAGAAGACGTCCCGAGTACCCTTGAGCCAGCAACCTGCCTCGGGAAGGGCATTAGTCCGTTCCACTTCATGGAAGGCTGAGTGGAGGCGCTTTGATCCAGTTAATGCCCAAGACGCGATCTTTTGAACAATGGTGTGCTTAGATCAGCTACACATAGCTCGAGAGCGCATCTTTCATGTGTCTTGTCCTGATCAGCACTCAGGTGGAGGGTCTGTCCCTACTTCCAAGGACCGCCTGTCGATACTGTACTAAGAATTTCATGGCGTGTGCACCTTGTCTTTGGATGTGCTTGATTTTCACGTTGGCTCCATGCTGAGGAACTTCTAACCTGTGTTGTTTCCTCTCTTTCAGGTTGCAAGCGGGCCAATGCCGGTCCACACAACCAGTAAGAGGCCGCGCGTGGACCCTGTCCTCGCTGATCGCTCAGCTGCCGAAATGTCTGGCAGGGGCTCCGTCTTGGCTTCACTGTCTCCCCTCAGAAAAGCCAGCCTGAGCTCCTCCTCAAGTCTTGGACCAAAGGAAAGACAGACAGGGGCTGCGGCCGACATCCCTCAGCCTGCAGTCAGGCACCAGGGCCGCGAGCCTCTCCTCGTGGTGAAGCCGACACACAGCAGCCCCGAGGGTGGCTGCCGAGAAGTTCCCCAGGCTGCCTCCAAAACCCACGGCCTGCTCCAGGCCGCCAGACCCCAGGCACAAGACAAACGTCCTGCGGTGACCTCGCAGCCCTGCCCGCCAGCCGCCACACACAGCTTGGGCCTAGGCTCCAATCTCAGCTTCGGGCCAGGAGCCAAGAGACCTGCCCAGGCTCCGATTCAGGCTTGCCTGAACTTCCCCAAGAAACCGAGACTGGGTCCCTTCCAGATCCCCGAAAGCGCCATCCAGGGAGGTGAGCTGGGGGCCCCGGAGAATCTCCAACCTCCGCCAGCCGCAACCGAACTTGGACCAAGTACGTCGCCCCAGATGGGCAGGAGGACACCGGCCCAGGTGCCCAGCGTCGACCGGCAGCCTCCGCACAGCAGACCTTGCCTGCCTACTGCCCAGGCCTGCACCATGTCCCATCACTCAGCGGCCAGCCATGATGGGGCCCAGCCTCTCAGAGTGCTCTTCCGGAGACTGGAAAACGGACGCTGGAGCTCCAGCCTCCTGGCGGCCCCCTCATTTCACTCTCCTGAGAAGCCGGGAGCCTTCCTCGCTCAGAGCCCTCATGTGTCAGAGAAGTCTGAGGCTCCCTGTGTTCGTGTCCCACCGAGCGTCCTCTATGAGGACCTTCAGGTTTCCTCCTCCTCAGAGGACAGCGATTCTGACCTGGAGTGAGACTGCAGGTGGCAGGGGCTCCTTGGCCTCCAGCTCCCGTGACTTGGAGGGGACTGTGGGACTGAGGAGCGCAGAGCAGAGAGCACACTCTGTGCGGTGACTCCGAAGCTCCCCGGCTGTGGCGCTTCTGTGGATGTGGGAGCCCAGGCCAGGCAGGGAGCAGATGCAGGGACTCTGCCTCATTGAATTCTGGTGAGGGACGTTGTAGTTGGCGTGGTTCTCCGGAAACGCGCCAGGAAAAGCTTCCGTGCCAGAGATTCGTTGCCTCAGAAACTGCGTGACGCGCAGGAGTCAGACTTCCGCTGGGACGTCAATAGGAAACTGGGGAATTACTGTGTATTTGCTCTCTAGATGACTGAATAAGGGAAAAGTTAGGGAACCCTGAGAGGTGCAGCCCTTCCGCTGTGCCCCGCCCTGAGAGCAGAGTTTCGGACGCTGGGAAGCGTGCTGTGCGAAGCGCTCTCGGGGTCTTTCCTCAGCCTCGAAAACTGGGCTCTGGAATGCCTTTGTACATATGTGTGTTTAATGGGTTTTGAAGTGAATAAAATTCTCAAAAAGATGACATATTGTCTTTTGACTCTCATTCCGTGTTTGTGTGTAACTGATTTTCCAAGTGAAGGGGTGGCCTGCCCCTCCACACCTGTGGGTGTTTCTAGTCGGGTGGGATGAGAGACGGAGAAAAGAAATAAGACACAGAGACAAAGTATAGGGAGACAACAGTGGGTCCAGGGGACCGGAACTCAGCACACCTAGGACCTGCACCGGCACCGGCCTCTGAGTTCCCTCAGTTTTTATTGATTATGATTTTCATTATTTCAGCACAAAGGAATGCAGTAGGGGAGCAGGGTGATAATAAGGGGAAGGTCAAAACAACAACAAAAAACAAACACGTGAGCAAAAGAATCCATATCATTATTAAGTTCAAGGGAAGGTACTATGCCTGGACGTGCACGTAGGCCAGATTTATGTTTCTCTAAACACAAATATCTCAGCGGAGTAAAGAATAACAAGGCAGCATTACTGCCAGCATGTCTCGCCTCCCGCCACAGGGCAGCTTTTCGCCGAGCTCATAGTTGAACAAATGTACGATCGGGCTTTACACCGAGACATTCAGTTCCCAGGGGCAAGCAGGAGACAGTGGCCTTCCTCCATCTGAACTGCAAGAGGCGTTCCTCTTTGACTAATCCACCTCAGCACAGACCCATTGCGGGTGTCAGGCTGGGGGACAGTCCGGTCTTTTCCATCCCACGAGGCCATATTTCAGACTGTCACATGGGGAGAAACCTTGGACAATACCCTGCTTTCAAGGGCAGAGGTCCCTGTGGCTTTCCACGGTGCATTGCACCCCTGGTTTATTGAGACTAGGGAATGGCAATGACTCCTACCAAGGATACTGCTCGTAAACATTTGGTAAACAAGGCGCGTCCTGCACAGCCCTAGATCCCTTAAACCTCGATTTTATACAACACAGGTTTTTGTGAGCTCCAAGTTGGGTCAAAGGAAGGGGCTGCGGCAAAGCTACAAATGATCAACATCTCAGCAAAGCAATTGTTTAAACTACAGGTCTTTTTCAAAATGGAGTCTCTTATGTCTTCCCCTTCTACATAGACACAGTGACAGTCTGATCTCTCTTTCTTTACCCTACATCCAAGGGCTTGAACATTTCTTGACTTGTTGGCAATCCAAATCGTTACGTCTCCGAAACAGAGTTGCCTGAGGGGACCGCAGGGCTGGGCAGGACCTTTGACTTCCTATACATCCACAGGAGCAAGAAAACCTCAGCCCCACTCTACCAACACGCACCTAGTAAAATTCCGCCAACCGAATCTCACGCACGCTAACACGTGGGGAGCGTTGCTTGCACCACGAGTCCCCATTTGGCTCAACCGCCGATGCCAAGTGTGTGGTTCCAGTTGCGACGGCCCCCCGTGAAGTGGCTTCCGGATGTGCGAATGAACCAGGCAGAGTTTCACTGGCCAAATAGACCCCAGCAAAGCTGAAGTTAACTCCCACATTTGGGATGTACTTCAGAGGTAAAACATTCATCCCGTCTTCTTTCCGGATGTCTGACACCATGGTTCTCCCCCTGATCCTAAGAGTAGCTGAGGTAGAGACTCACTGAAAGATCTAGGCAGGGATATCCCATCATGCACAGGCTCTCTCCATTCTCTGACCTGGGAACAACTCTCAGCAGGATTCCACATCTAGGAGGCCTCGGAACTCAGCGGGATTTTCTGAGACACACCAACTGGCTGCTCCCTCTCCGCCGCTGTTGAGGGTCGTTATCTTGATTATCCAGATCACCTAGAAAGTATCCGTATCCAGAATGAATAAGATCAACTCTCTGCTCCTCTGACAGCAGAAGGAGCAGGACCATAAGGAACTAAAGAGCGTGGAACGAAACGATATGACAGGAAAGCTCAGAGAACGACGAGCCACAGAGGGTCGTCAGCAGGCCTTCCAACCTGAATCATGAATAATTAATGAAGCGCAAATCAAAGGGGTCTCCAGTTTCAGCAGGAGCAATTCATCCAACGGGAGATCGCCGGAGGGCCAACAAGATTGAGACTAGGAGCCGGGTGCAGTGTCAAAGGGGACGCGACTGGTTCCAAAGCTCGAGAAGACCATGGGGTCACTTGGGCTACATGAGAAAACGCCCCAGTGTGCTGGTTCATCATTCCGACTCCTGCCTGTCTCTTCCCGTCCAAGGAACATGGACCCTAAGTCGTGCAGGTGCGGATGACCATGGGCAGAATTAGGGGCCGTGGCACAAAAGTTCACCGACACGGGAGTTCCACAGAAGGTGCGGTGGATCTTCGCAAATCCAGAGACATGGCAATGGGACCCAGGGAATTACAGCCTCACAGGCGTCCGGGAGACTTTTCAGGCATAATGCCTGGAGTCGCAAGACGAGCTGAAAAAGGAGCCAGGCACTGAAGGACAAAGCGTTGTTGACTTTCCTCATCTGTGTTTCCCAGTGCGGTCCAATTCACGGTGGTTTCCAAGCGCCTCCTGGGGGAGAAAACACATGAGGGTGCGGTCAGGGTTCTCTGCTGACAGACTTACCTTGGGGAAGAAAGAGAAGCTCTGAAGATGGATCATGGCCGTGACTGCATGTCAAGCAGAGTCTCCTTGATGACACTGAGGCCTACGTCGAGATAGACAAAATGTGGTCCAATTAAAAGGTGTCTATTTTACCACATTTTTTAAAACAAAACAAAACAAAACAACAAAAAAGATGGAAAAGAAGACAGGGGTACAGGCACCAGTGTTACATGTCTGACGGGGAACATCTATTGTTCAAAGCTTGCAGCTGTACAAGTAGGTTTTAGAATGTCTGTCAGCAGTGGACATGATCTTAGAGTGGGCTGTGCAGATAGACCTTTCCAGGTCATGTAATTGGATTAAGTTAATTGCAATTAAGGTACAGGTAACTGATTAGGTTAGGGTACGTTCCATGTCAGGTGACCAGAGGCAGTATAAAAGGCAGCCTGGAAAGCAGAGGTCCCTCTCCGCCCCTTCCTCCGTCGTCCTGGATGCTGCATCGCTTCCAGCGGGGCTGCTGCAGCACCTGCCCATCTCAGCGCCAGCCTGGGAAAGAAAGTAGACGTGTAATTTCAGGTTAGTTTCGCTGAACAATTGTTTGTTTCACGCAATCCCTGAGTGGTTTTGGCGGGGGGGGGCGGGGGGAGGAAGAGACAAAGGAGGCCGAAAGAAACCGATCACACTGGGGCTTGCTGGTGGGGTAGGATGTGTTCTCGTTACTAGTAATTCTTGGAACAGAAAACGAGACAACATATCCGTCTCCACGTGTAGGAGAAGACCAAGATGGGAATGCGAAAAGAAATGTACTGCAGCATGCTGAGTTGGTGGGTAAATGGAAAAAGGACTTTGGAAAAAAGGGGGGTTTGCCCTTCAGCCGTGTAAGACGTCGATACGATACGGCACTTCTTCCCCGTTTGTTCAGATGAATTCGTGTGGTATGCGTAAAATACCAGGAAAATAAATAAAGAGGGGCTGGAGCTAAAGCCAAAAGATAGAACAGGAAAGATCATCACCTGCTAGTGCGGTAGAGAGGAAGGTAACTTCTCTGTATGAATTTGTGTTTGGAAGTTGCCTAATGAAATGGCAAGAGT
The DNA here is from genome assembly GCF_000001405.40 of Homo sapiens. NCBI lineage: Eukaryota > Metazoa > Chordata > Mammalia > Primates > Hominidae > Homo > Homo sapiens. The sequence continues at coordinate 5,335,114 of NW_018654717.1, forward strand.
AGCGATTCAAGTTATCACAGGAAGCATCCCTTATCCGTGACTTCAAGCAGACCTGCCAAAGGGTGGCACACGCCATGCCCTGTGTCTTCGATCATTCTGTCCGTCAAGGGAGATAGAATCACCGTGTCTTCTACCGGAGTGAACCGTGAGAGACCTAAGTCCAGTCTCCAGAATCAGTTGTTTGTTTGGGGTTGAAAGCTCAACCCCCCATACCTAGGCCACGGGCCCTGTGGCAGGTGGGGTTTACTCTTGGACTAGGTAGTCATGGCAGAGGAACACACAATATCCGAGGATGCGCACAGCACATTGTGTTCTACAGATTTGACCCACTGGTGGTGAGGTCTCCTCATGACCACACAGGCAGGGAGTTAGCAGGTGGCTTCCTGTGGGTGTGTGAATATCCAACGTGCTTAACCATCGACATGTGTGTGTTTGTGTGTGTTTCAGGTGGCCCAACAGTCCACCCCTGAAAAAGGCGGTCATAAAACCCCCAGGAGACGAAGATGATGGCACGTCGGGACCCCAAATCTTGGGCCAAGAGACTGGTGAGAGCCCAGACCCTCCAGAAGCAGCGGAGGGCCCCAGTTGGGCCAAGGGCTCCCCCGCCCGATGAAGAAGATCCCAGGGTAAGTCTAGCCCTGGATCTCTTGGGTATCGGGGTGGGGGTGGGGACGGGGGGAGGGGGTGTCCCACGGTCCTCAGAGACTGGGTTGGATTCCAAAGAGTTCTGTCACCACCAGCCAGGTTGCTTTTCCCATCCAAGGTGGGCGTGGCTTGGGACCTTCTCCCCGGCCCGATAGGTCCCTTGAGAGACTCTTGGGGGCAACCTCCCTTTCTACTTAGAGTCCTGTGTAGCCACGTTTGGCTGCGTTGTTGACATCGGCTTCACCATCGTGCCCCTTGGAACCTTGAGTCCTTCCTTTCAGAGTTCCTCCGTCACACGGGCTTTGCGAGGGAACATCGTACCCGAACTCTCCCGGCACTTAACGGCCCCCATGCCGGTGTCCCCTCTTTGGAATCCTTATTCAGCTCTGAATTCACAATCCGTCCCAATGTTGACGTGGGATCGCTGCCTGTGGCTTCAGCTCACTCACTGACATCACTTCCTTTCCACCCACAGCTCAAGTGCAAAAACTGCGGGGCCTTTGGCCACACGGCCAGAAGTACCAGGTGCCCCATGAAGTGCTGGAAGGCAGCCCTGGTTCCAGCGACCTTGGGGAAAAAGGAAGGGAAGGAAAACCTGAAACCATGGAAGCCCCGGGTTGAAGCCAACCCGGGGCCCTTGAACAAGGATAAGGGAGAGAAGGAAGAGAGACCAAGGTGAGCAGTGGGAGGGGTTTTCACCACTCTTAGGATGCTGCCTCCTAAGGACATGGTGTCTCTGCACCTGCACACCGTGTGCCTTTCCGTCTCCGGGCCAGGGAAGGAGCGCTGCAGAGAAATAGGCCGGAGCTCCGTGTCCTCCGGGGTTCCACACCCAGGAGCTCCTTGGGCTCTGGGAGATTCAGGGACGGGGAGAGGCGGGGGCGCTTCGTGCAGGTTCCCCACGACAGGGGGAAAAGCGATGGAATCCAAATCACAGTCCTTAGTTCGGAAGCCTAGAGGGCCACCTGGAGGATGGGAAGGTTGGCACGTGAGGGAAGGTGCAGAGGCGGAAAGGGCACCAGATGTCCATTTCTGTATCACAAAACACGGAATGGGGCTGGGCCCCAGACGGGGTTCTCCCTGTCTCCTGGGGAAAACCAGGGGGCACGGCCTGACCTTTTTCTGTTCTGCAGGCAACAAGACCCGCAGAGGAAGGCTCTCCTCCACATGTTTTCCGGGAAACCTCCAGAGAAGCCGCTGCCGAATGGAAAAGGATCCACGGAGTCTTCTGATCATCTGAGGGTGAGTGTCACCCCGGGCCCCTGGTCCTTTTCTCCTCTAGGTCACCCTGGTTGATTTCCTTTCAGCTTCCCGTCTGCGGGAGGAAATCGGGGAACCCCTCTTTCTTGCCTTCTTGGGGTCAGGGACTCCACGATCCTTCCAGGTCAATTGGATTCCAGGCGAAGGCATCTGAAGATGCCGTATTTCCTGTGGCTTTCTTTCTGTCCAATTATGGCAAGCCTGCCAACAACACGTTCCTAGCGGCATGAGGAAATTAGTCCCTCAGAGGCCCCAAACGTGGAGAAGGCGAAACCCAGGAACATGCATGTGTTCAGAGAAGACGTCCCGAGTACCCTTGAGCCAGCAACCTGCCTCGGGAAGGGCATTAGTCCGTTCCACTTCATGGAAGGCTGAGTGGAGGCGCTTTGATCCAGTTAATGCCCAAGACGCGATCTTTTGAACAATGGTGTGCTTAGATCAGCTACACATAGCTCGAGAGCGCATCTTTCATGTGTCTTGTCCTGATCAGCACTCAGGTGGAGGGTCTGTCCCTACTTCCAAGGACCGCCTGTCGATACTGTACTAAGAATTTCATGGCGTGTGCACCTTGTCTTTGGATGTGCTTGATTTTCACGTTGGCTCCATGCTGAGGAACTTCTAACCTGTGTTGTTTCCTCTCTTTCAGGTTGCAAGCGGGCCAATGCCGGTCCACACAACCAGTAAGAGGCCGCGCGTGGACCCTGTCCTCGCTGATCGCTCAGCTGCCGAAATGTCTGGCAGGGGCTCCGTCTTGGCTTCACTGTCTCCCCTCAGAAAAGCCAGCCTGAGCTCCTCCTCAAGTCTTGGACCAAAGGAAAGACAGACAGGGGCTTCGGCCGACATGCCTCAGCCTGCAGTCAGGCACCAGGGCCGCGAGCCTCTCCTCGTGGTGAAGCCGACACACAGCCGCCCCGAGGGTGGCTGCCGAGAAGTTCCCCAGGCTGCCTCCAAAACCCACGGCCTGCTCCAGGCCGCCAGACCCCAGGCACAAGACAAACGTCCTGCGGTGACCTCGCAGCCCTGCCCGCCAGCCGCCACACACAGCTTGGGCCTAGGCTCCAATCTCAGCTTCGGGCCAGGAGCCAAGAGACCTGCCCAGGCTCCGATTCAGGCTTGCCTGAACTTCCCCAAGAAACCGAGACTGGGTCCCTTCCAGATCCCCGAAAGCGCCATCCAGGGAGGTGAGCTGGGGGCCCCGGAGAATCTCCAACCTCCGCCAGCCGCAACCGAACTTGGACCAAGTACGTCGCCCCAGATGGGCAGGAGGACACCGGCCCAGGTGCCCAGCGTCGACCGGCAGCCTCCGCACAGCACACCTTGCCTGCCTACTGCCCAGGCCTGCACCATGTCCCATCACTCAGCGGCCAGCCATGATGGGGCCCAGCCTCTCAGAGTGCTCTTCCGGAGACTGGAAAACGGACGCTGGAGCTCCAGCCTCCTGGCGGCCCCCTCATTTCACTCTCCTGAGAAGCCGGGAACCTTCCTCGCTCAGAGCCCTCATGTGTCAGAGAAGTCTGAGGCTCCCTGTGTTCGTGTCCCACCGAGCGTCCTCTATGAGGACCTTCAGGTTTCCTCCTCCTCAGAGGACAGCGATTCTGACCTGGAGTGAGACTGCAGGTGGCAGGGGCTCCTTGGCCTCCAGCTCCCGTGACTTGGAGGGGACTGTGGGACTGAGGAGCGCAGAGCAGAGAGCACACTCTGTGCGGTGACTCCGAAGCTCCCCGGCTGTGGCGCTTCTGTGGATGTGGGAGCCCAGGCCAGTCAGGGAGCAGATGCAGGGACTCTGCCTCATTGAATTCTGGTGAGGGACGTTGTAGTTGGCGTGGTTCTCCGGAAACGCGCCAGGAAAAGCTTCCGTGCCAGAGATTCGTTGCCTCAGAAACTGCGTGACGCGCAGGAGTCAGACTTCCGCTGGGACGTCAATAGGAAACTGGGGAATTACTGTGTATTTGCTCTCTAGATGACTGAATAAGGGAAAAGTTAGGGAACCCTGAGAGGTGCAGCCCTTCCGCTGTGCCCCGCCCTGAGAGCAGAGTTTCGGACGCTGGGAAGCGTGCTGTGCGAAGCGCTCTCGGGGTCTTTCCTCAGCCTCGAAAACTGGGCTCTGGAATGCCTTTGTACATATGTGTGTTTAATGTGTTTTGAAGTGAATAAAATTCTCAAAAAGATGACATATTGTCTTTTGACTCTCATTCCGTGTTTGTGTGTAACTGATTTTCCAAGTGAAGGGGTGGCCTGCCCCTCCACACCTGTGGGTGTTTCTAGTCGGGTGGGATGAGAGACGGAGAAAAGAAATAAGACACAGAGACAAAGTATAGGGAGACAACAGTGGGTCCAGGGGACCGGCACTCAGCACACCTAGGACCTGCACCGGCACCGGCCTCTGAGTTCCCTCAGTTTTTATTGATTATGATTTTCATTATTTCAGCACAAAGGAATGCAGTAGGGGAGCAGGGTGATAATAAGGGGAAGGTCAAAACAACAACAAAAAACAAACACGTGAGCAAAAGAATCCATATCATTATTAAGTTCAAGGGAAGGTACTATGCCTGGACGTGCACGTAGGCCAGATTTATGTTTCTCTCCACACAAATATCTCAGCGGAGTAAAGAATAACAAGGCAGCATTACTGCCAGCATGTCTCGCCTCCCGCCACAGGGCAGCTTTTCGCCGAGCTCAGAGTTGAACAAATGTACGATCGGGCTTTACACCGAGACATTCAGTTCCCAGGGGCAAGCAGGAGACAGTGGCCTTCCTCCATCTGAACTGCAAGAGGCTTTCCTCTTTGACTAATCCACCTCAGCACAGACCCATTGCGGGTGTCAGGCTGGGGGACAGTCAGGTCTTTCCCATCCCACGAGGCCATATTTCAGACTGACACATGGGGAGAAACCTTGGACAATACCCTGCTTTCAAGGGCAGAGGTCCCTGTGGCTTTCCACGGTGCATTGCACCCGTGGTTTATTGAGACTAGAGAATGGCAATGACTTCTACCAAGTATACTGCTCGTAAACATTTGGTTAACAAGGCGCGTCCTGCACAGCCCTAGATCCCTTAAACCTCGATTTTATACAGCACAGGTTTTGGTGAGCTCCAAGTTGGGTCAAAGGAAGGGGCTGCGGCAAAGCTACAAATGATCAACATCTCAGCAAAGCAATTGTTTAAACTACAGGTCTTTTCCAAAATGGAGTCTCTTGTGTCTTCCCCTTCTACATAGACACAGTGGCAGTCTGATCTCTCTTTCTTTACCCTACATCCAAGGGCTTGAACATTTCTTGACTTGTTGGCAATCCAAATCGTTACGTCTCCGAAACAGAGTTGACTGAGGGGACCGCAGGGCTGGGCAGGACCTTTGACTTCCTATACATCCACAGGAGCAAGAAAACCTCAGCCCCACTCTACCAACACGCACCTAGTAAAATTCCGCCAACCGAATCTCACGCACGCTAACACGTGGGGAGCGTTGCTTGCACCACGAGTCCCCATTTGGCTCAACCGCCGATGCCAAGTGTGTGGTTCCAGTTGCGACGGCCCCCCGTGAAGTGGCTTCCGGATGTGCGAATGAACCAGGCAGCGTTTCACTGGCCAAATAGACCCCAGCAAAGCTGAAGTTAACTCCCACATTTGGGATGTACTTCAGAGGTAAAACATTCATCCCATCTTCTTTCCGGATGTCTGACACCATGGTTCTCCCCCTGATCCTAAGAGTTGCTGAGGTAGAGACTCACTGAAAGATCTAGGCGGGGATATCCCATCATGCACAGGCTCTCTCCATTCTCTGACCTGGGAACAACTCTCAGCAGGATTCCACATCTAGGAGGCCTCGGAACTCAGTGGGATTTTCTGAGACACACCAACTGGCTGCTCCCTTTCCGCCGCTGTTGAGGGTCGTTATCTTGATTATCCAGATCACCTAGAAAGTATCCGTATCCAGAATGAATAAGATCAACTCTCTGCTCCTCTGACAGCAGAAGGAGCAGGACCATAAGGAACCAAAGAGCGTGGAAGGAAACGATGTGACAGGAAAGCTCAGAGAACGGCCACAGGGGGTCGTCAGCAGGCCTTCGAACCTGAATCATGAATAATTAATGAAGCGCAAATCAAAGGGGACTCGAGTTTCAGCAGGAGCAATTCATCCAACGGGAGATCGCCGGAGGGCCAACAAGATTGAGAGACTGGGAGCCGGGTGCAGTGTCAAAGGGGACGCGACTGGTTCCAAAGCTCGAGAAGACCATGGGGTCACTTGGGCTACATGAGAAAACGCCCCAGTGTGCTGGTTCATCATTCCGACTCCTGCCTGTCTCTTCCGGTTCAGGGAACATAGACCCTAAGTCGTGCAGGTGCGGATGACCATGGGCAGAATTAGGGGCCGTGGCACAAAAGTTCACCGACACGGGAGTTCCACAGAAGGTGCGGTGGATCTTCGCAAATCCAGAGACATGGCAATGGGACCCAGGGAATTACAGCCTCACAGGCGTCCGGGAGACTTTTCAGGCATAATGCCTGGAGTCGCAAGAGGAGCTGAAAAAGGAGCCAGGCACTGAAGGACAAAGCGTTGTTGACTTTCCTCATCTGTGTTTCCCAGTGCGGTCCAATTCACGGTTGTTTCCAAGCGCCTCCTGGGGGAGAAAACACATGAGGGTGCGGTCAGGGTTCTCTGCTGACAGACTTACCTTGGGGAAGAAAGAGAAGCTCTGAAGATGGATCATGGCCGTGACTGCATGTCAAGGAGAGTCTCCTTGATGACACTGAGGCCTACGTCGAGATAGACAAAATGTGGTCCAATTAAAAGGTGTCTATTTTACCACATTTTTTAAAACAAAACAAAACAAAACAACAAAAAAGATGGAAAAGAAGACAGGGGTACAGGCACCAGTGTTACATGTCTGACGGGGAACATCTATTGTTCAAAGCTTGCAGCTGTACAAGTAGGTTTTAGAATGTCTGTCAGCAGTGGACATGATCTTAGAGTGGGCTGTGCAGATAGACCTTTCCAGGTCATGTAATTGGATTAAGTTAATTGCAATTAAGGTACAGGTAACTGATTAGGTTAGGGTACGTTCCATGTCAGGTGACCAGAGGCAGTATAAAAGGCAGCCTGGAAAGCGGAGGTCCCTCTCTGCCCCTTCCTCCGTCGTCCTGGATGCTGCATCGCTTCCAGCCGGGCTGCTGCAGCACCTGCCCATCTCAGCGCCAGCCTGGGAAAGAAAGTAGACGTGTAATTTCAGGTTGGTTTCGCTGAACAATTGTTTGTTTCACGCAATCCCTGAGGGGTTTTTGCGGGGGGTGTGGGGGAGGAAGAGACAAAGGAGGCCGAAAGAAACCGATCACACTGGGGCTTGCTGGTGGGGTAGGATGTGTTCTCGTTACTAGTAATTCTTGGAACAGAAAACGAGAAAACATATCCGTCTCCACGTGTGGGAGAAGACCAAGATGGGAATGGGAAAAGAAATGTACTGCAGCATGCTGAATTGGTGGGTAAATGGAAAAAGGACTTTGGAAAAAAGGGGGGTTTGCCCTTCAGCCGTGTAAGACGTCGATACGATACGGCACTTCTTCCCCGTTTGTTCAGATGAATTCGTGTGGTGTGCGTAAAATACCAGGAAAATAAATAAAGAGGGGCTGGAGCTAAAGCCAAAAGATAGAACAGGAAAGATCCTCACCTGCTAGTGCGGTAGAGAGGAAGGTAACTTCTCTGTATGAATTTGTGCTTGGAAGTTGCCTAATGAAATGGCAAGAGTAGCGATTCAAGTTGTCACAGGAAGCATCCCTTATCCGTGACTTCAAGCAGACCTGCCAAAGGGTGGCACACGCCATGCCCTGTGTCTTCGATCATTCTGTCCGTCAAGGGAGATAGAATCACCGTGTCTTCTACCGGAGTGAATCGTGAGAGACCTAAGTCCAGTCTCCAGAATCAGTTGTTTGTTTGGGGTTGAAAGCTCAACCCCCCCATACCTAGGCCACGGGCCCTGTGGCAGGTGGGGTTTACTCTTGGACTAGGTAGTCATGGCAGAGGAACACACAATATCCGAGGATGCGCACAGCACATTGTGTTCTACAGATTTGACCGACTGGTGGTGAGGTCTCCTCATGACCACACAGGCAGGGAGTTAGCAGGTGGCTTCCTGTGGGTGTGTGAATATCCAACGTGCTTAACCATCGACATGTGTGTGTTTTGTGTGTGTTTCAGGTGGCCCAACAGTCCACCCCTGAAAAAGGCGGTCATAAAACCCCCAGGAGACGAAGATGATGGCACGTCGGGACCCCAAATCTTGGGCCAAGAGACTGGTGAGAGCCCAGACCCTCCAGAAGCAGCGGAGGGCCCCAGTTGGGCCAAGGGCTCCCCCGCCCGATGAAGAAGATCCCAGGGTAAGTGTAGCCCTGGATCTCTTGGGTATCGGGGTGGGGGTGGGGACGGGGGGAGGGGCTGTCCCACGGTCCTCAGAGACTGGGTTGGATTCCAAAGAGTTCTGTCACCACCAGCCAGGTTGCTTTTCCCATCCAAGGTGGGCGTGGCTTGGGACCTTCTCCCCGGCCCGATAGGTCCCTTGAGAGACTCTTGGGGGCAACCTCCCTTTCTACTTAGAGTCCTGTGTAGCCACGTTTGGCTGCGTTGTTGACATCGGCTTCACCATCGTGCCCCTTGGAACCTTGAGTCCTTCCTTTCAGAGTTCCTCCGTCACATGGGCTTTGCGAGGGAACATCGTATCCGAACTCTCCCAGCACTTAACGGCCCCCATGCCGGTGTCCCCTCTTTGGAATCCTTATTCAGCTCTGAATTCACAATCCGTCCCAATGTTGACGTGGGATCGCTGCCTGTGGCTTCAGCTCACTCACTGACATCACTTCCTTTCCACCCGCAGCTCAAGTGCAAAAACTGCGGGGCCTTTGGCCACACGGCCAGAAGTACCAGGTGCCCCATGAAGTGCTGGAAGGCAGCCCTGGTTCCAGCGACCTTGGGGAAAAAGGAAGGGAAGGAAAACCTGAAACCATGGAAGCCCCGGGGTGAAGCCAACCCGGGGCCCTTGAACAAGGATAAGGGAGAGAAGGAAGAGAGACCAAGGTGAGCAGTGGGAGGGGTTTTCACCACTCTTAGGGTACGGCCTCCCAAGGACATGGTGTCTCTGCACCTGCACACCGTGTGCCTTTCCGTCTCCGGGCCAGGGAAGGAACGCTGCAGAGAAATAGGCCGGAGCTCCGTGTCCTCCGGGGTTCCACACCCAGGAGCTCCTTGGGCTCTGGGAGATTCAGGGACGGGGAGAGGCGGGGGCGCTTCGTGCAGGTTCCCCACGACAGCGGGAAAAGCGATGGAATCCAAATCACAGTCCTTAGTTGGGAAGCCTAGAGGGCCACCTGGAGGATGGGAAGGTTGGCACGTGAGGGAAGGTGCAGAGGCGGAAAGGGCACCAGATGTCCATTTCTGTATCACAAAACACGGAATGGGGCTGGGCCCCAGACGGGGTTCTCCCTGTCTCCTGGGGAAAACCAGGGGGCACGGCCTGACCTTCTTCTGTTCTGCAGGCAACAAGACCCGCAGAGGAAGGCTCTCCTCCACATGTTTTCCGGGAAACCTCCAGAGAAGCCGCTGCCGAATGGAAAAGGATCCACGGAATCTTCTGATTATCTGAGGGCGAGTGTCACCCCGGGCCCCTGGTCTTTTTCTCCTCTAGGTCACCCTGGTTGATTTCCTTTCAGCTTCCCGTCTGCGGGAGGAAATCGGGGAACCCCTCTTTCTTGCCTTCTTGGGGTCAGGGACTCCACGATCCTTCCAGGTCAATTGGATTCCAGGCGAAGGCATCTGAACATGCCGTATTTCCTGTTGCTTTCTTTCTGTCCAATTATGGCAAGCCTGCCAACAACACGTTCCTAGCGGCATGAGGAAATTAGTCCCTCAGAGGCCCCAAACGTGGAGAAGGCGAAACCCAGGAACATGCATGTGTTCAGAGAAGACGTCCCGAGTACCCTTGAGCCAGCAACCTGCCTTGGGAAGGGCATTAGTCCGTTCCACTTCATGGAAGGCTGAGTGGAGGCGCTTTGATCCAGTTAATGCCCAAGACGCGATCTTTTGAACAATGGTGTGCTTAGATCAGCTACACATAGCTCGAGAGCGCATCTTTCATGTGTCTTGTCCTGATCAGCACTCAGGTGGAGGGTCTGTCCCTACTTCCAAGGACCGCCTGTCGATACTGTACTAAGAATTTCATGGCGTGTGCACCTTGTCTTTGGATGTGCTTGATTTTCACGTTGGCTCCATGCTGAGGAACTTCTAACCTGTGTTGTTTCCTCTCTTTCAGGTTGCAAGCGGGCCAATGCCGGTCCACACAACCAGTAAGAGGCCGCGCTTGGACCCTGTCCTCGCTGATCGCTCAGCTACCGCAATGTCTGGCAGGGGCTCCGTCTTGGCTTCACTGTCTCCCCTCAGAAAAGCCAGCCTGAGCTCCTCCTCAAGTCTTGGACCAAAGGAAAGACAGACAGGGGCTGCGGCCGACATGCCTCAGCCTGCAGTCAGGCACCAGGGCCGCGAGCCTCTCCTCGTGGTGAAGCCGACACACAGCCGCCCCGAGGGTGGCTGCCGAGAAGTTCCCCAGGCTGCCTCCAAAACCCACGGCCTGCTCCAGGCCGCCAGACCCCAGGCACAAGACAAACGTCCTGCGGTGACCTCACAGCCCTGCCCGCCAGCCGCCACACACAGCTTGGGCCTAGGCTCCAATCTCAGCTTCGGGCCAGGAGCCAAGAGACCTGCCCAGGCTCCGATTCAGGCTTGCCTGAACTTCCCCAAGAAACCGAGACTGGGTCCCTTCCAGATCCCCGAAAGCGCCATCCAGGGAGGTGAGCTGGGGGCCCCGGAGAATCTCCAACCTCCGCCAGCCGCAACCGAACTTGGACCAAGTACGTCGCCCCAGATGGGCAGGAGGACACCGGCCCAGGTGCCCAGCGTCGACCGGCAGCCTCCGCACAGCAGACCTTGCCTGCCTACTGCCCAGGCCTGCACCATGTCCCATCACTCAGCGGCCAGCCATGATGGGGCCCAGCCTCTCAGAGTGCTCTTCCGGAGACTGGAAAACGGACGCTGGAGCTCCAGCCTCCTGGCGGCCCCCTCATTTCACTCTCCTGAGAAGCCGGGAGCCTTCCTCGCTCAGAGCCCTCATGTGTCAGAGAAGTCTGAGGCTCCCTGTGTTCGTGTCCCACCGAGCGTCCTCTATGAGGACCTTCAGGTTTCCTCCTCCTCAGAGGACAGCGATTCTGACCTGGAGTGAGACTGCAGGTGGCAGGGGCTCCTTGGCCTCCGGCTCCCGTGACTTGGAGGGGACTGTGGGACTGAGGAGCGCAGAGCAGAGAGCACACTCTGTGCGGTGACTCCGAAGCTCCCCGGCTGTGGCGCTTCTGTGGATGTGGGAGCCCAGGCCAGGCAGGGAGCAGATGCAGGGACTCTGCCTCATTGAATTCTGGTGAGGGACGTTGTAGTTGGCGTGGTTCTCCGGAAACGCGCCAGGAAAAGCTTCCGTGCCAGAGATTCGTTGCCTCAGAAACTGCGTGACGCGCAGGAGTCAGACTTCCGCTGGGACGTCAATAGGAAACTGGGGAATTACTGTGTATTTGCTGTCTAGATGACTGAATAAGGGAAAAGTTAGGGAACCCTGAGAGGTGCAGCCCTTCCGCTGTGCCCCGCCCTGAGAGCAGTGTTTCGGACGCTGGGAAGCGTGCTGTGCGAAGCGCTCTCGGGGTCTTTCCTCAGCCTCGAAAACTGGGCTCTGGAATGCCTTTGTACATATGTGTGTTTAATGTGTTTTGAAGTGAATAAAATTCTCAAGAAGATGACATATTGTCTTTTGACTCTCATTCCGTGTTTGTGTGTAACTGATTTTCCAAGTGAAGGGGTGGCCTGCCCCTCCACACCTGTGGGTGTTTCTAGTCGGGTGGGATGAGAGACGGAGAAAAGAAATAAGACACAGAGACAAAGTATAGGGAGACAACAGTGGGTCCAGGGGACCGGCACTCAGCACACCTAGGACCTGCACCGGCACCGGCCTCTGAGTTCCCGCAGTTTTTATTGATTGTGATTTTCATTATTTCAGCACAAAGGAATGCAGTAGGGGAGCAGGGTGATAATAAGGGGAAGGTCAACAAAAACAACACAAAACAAACACGTGAGCAAAAGAATCCATATCATTATTAAGTTCAAGGGAAGGTACTATGCCTGGACGTGCACGTAGGCCAGATTTATGTTTCTCTCCACACAAATATCTCAGCGGAGTAAAGAATAACAAGGCAGCATTACTGCCAACATGTCTCGCCTCCCGCCACAGGGCAGCTTTTCTCCGAGCTCAGAGTTGAACAAATGTACGATCGGGCTTTACACCGAGACATTCAGTTCCCAGGGGCAAGCAGGAGACAGTGGCCTTCCTCCATCTGAACTGCAAGAGGCGTTCCTCTTTGACTAATCCACCTCAGCACAGACCCATTGCGGGTGTCAGGCTGGGGGACATTCAGGACTTTCCCATCCCACGAGGCCATATTTCAGACTGTCACATGGGGAGAAACCTTGGACAATACCCTGCTTTCAAGGGCAGAGGTCCCTGTGGCTTTCCACGGTGCATTGCGCCCCTGGTTTATTGAGACTAGAGAATGGCAATGACTTCTACCAAGTATACTGCTCGTAAACATTTGGTTAACAAGGCGCGTCCTGCACAGCCCCAGATCCCTTAAACCTCGATTTTATACAACACAGGTTTTTGTGAGCTCCAAGTTGGGTCAAAGGAAGGGGCTGCGGCAAGGCAACAAATGAACAACATCTCAGCAAAGCAATTGTTTAAACTACAGGTCTTTTTCAAAATGGAGTCTCTTATGTCTTCCCCTTCTACATAGACACAGTGACAGTCTGATCTCTCTTTCTTTACCCTACATCCAAGGGCTTGAACATTTCTTGACTTGTTGGCAATCCAAATCGTTACGTCTCCGAAACAGAGTTGACTGAGGGGACCGCAGGGCTGGGCAGGACCTTTGACTTCCTATACATCCACAGGAGCAAGAAAACCTCAGCCCCACTCTACCAACACGCACCTAGTAAAATTCCGCCAACCGAATCTCACGCACGCTAACACGTGGGGAGCGTTGCTTGCACCACGAGTCCCCATTTGGCTCAACCGCCGATGCCAAGTGTGTGGTTCCAGTTGCGACGGCCCCCCGTGAAGTGGCTTCCGGATGTGCGAAGGAACCAGGCAGAGTTTCACTGGCCAAATAGACCCCAGCAAAGCTGAAGTTAACTCCCACATTTGGGATGTACTTCAGAGGTAAAACATTCATCCCGTCTTCTTTCCGGATGTCTGACACCATGGTTCTCCCCCTAATCCTAAGAGTAGCTGAGGCAGAGACTCACTGAAAGATCTAGGCGGGGATATCCCATCATGCACAGGCTCTCTCCATTCTCTGACCTGGGAACAACTCTCAGCAGGATTCCACATCTAGGAGGCCTCGGAACTCAGCGGGATTTTCTGAGACACACCAACTGGCTGCTCCCTCTCCGCCGCTGTTGAGGGTCGTTATCTTGATTATCCAGATCACCTAGAAAGTATCCGTATCCAGAATGAATAAGATCAACTCTCTGCTCCTCTGACAGCAGAAGGAGCAGGACCGTAAGGAACCAAAGAGCGTGGAAGGAAACGATGTGACAGGAAAGCTCAGAGAACGGCCACAGGGGGTCGTCAGCAGGCCTTCCAACCTGAATCATGAATAATTAATGAAGCGCAAATCAAAGGGGACTCGAGTTTCAGCAGGAGCAATTCATCCAACGGGAGATCGCCGGAGGGCCAACAAGATTGAGTGACTGGGAGCCGGGTGCAGTGTCAAAGGGGACGCGACTGGTTCCAAAGCTCGAGAAGACCATGGGGTCACTTGGGCTACATGAGAAAACGCCCCAGTGTGCTGGTTCATCATTCCGACTCCTGCCTGTCTCTTCCCGTCCAAGGAACATGGACCCTAAGTCGTGCAGGTGCGGATGACCATGGGCAGAATTAGGGGCCGTGGCACAAAAGTTCACCGACACGGGAGTTCCACAGAAGGTGCGGTGGATCTTCGCAAATCCAGAGACATGGCAATGGGACCCAGGGAATTACAGCCTCACAGGCGTCCGGGAGACTTTTCAGGCATAATGCCTGGAGTCGCAAGAGGAGCTGAAAAAGGAGCCAGGCACTGAAGGACAAAGCGTTGTTGACTTTCCTCATCTGTGTTTCCCAGTGCGGTCCAATTCACGGTTGTTTCCAAGCGCCTCCTGGGGGAGAAAACACATGAGGGTGCGGTCAGGGTTCTCTGCTGACAGACTTACCTTGGGGAAGAAAGAGAAGCTCTGAAGATGGATCATGGCCGTGACTGCATGTCAAGGAGAGTCTCCTTGATGACACTGAGGCCTACGTCGAGATAGACAAAATGTGGTCCAATTAAAAGGTGTCTATTTTACCACATTTTTTAAAACAAAACAAAACAAAACAACAAAAAAGATGGAAAAGAAGACAGGGGTACAGGCACCAGTGTTACATGTCTGACGGGGAACATCTATTGTTCAAAGCTTGCAGCTGTACAAGTAGGTTTTAGAATGTCTGTCAGCAGTGGACATGATCTTAGAGTGGGCTGTGCAGATAGACCTTTCCAGGTCATGTAATTGGATTAAGTTAATTGCAATTAAGGTACAGGTAACTGATTAGGTTAGGGTACGTTCCATGTCAGGTGACCAGAGGCAGTATAAAAGGCAGCCTGGAAAGCGGAGGTCCCTCTCTGCCCCTTCCTCCGTCGTCCTGGATGCTGCATCGCTTCCAGCCGGGCTGCTGCAGCACCTGCCCATCTCAGCGCCAGCCTGGGAAAGAAAGTAGACGTGTAATTTCAGGTTGGTTTCGCTGAACAATTGTTTGTTTCACGCAATCCCTGAGGGGTTTTTGCGGGGGGTGTGGGGGAGGAAGAGACAAAGGAGGCCGAAAGAAACCGATCACACTGGGGCTTGCTGGTGGGGTAGGATGTGTTCTCGTTACTAGTAATTCTTGGAACAGAAAACGAGAAAACATATCCGTCTCCACGTGTGGGAGAAGACCAAGATGGGAATGGGAAAAGAAATGTACTGCAGCATGCTGAATTGGTGGGTAAATGGAAAAAGGACTTTGGAAAAAAGGGGGGTTTGCCCTTCAGCCGTGTAAGACGTCGATACGATACGGCACTTCTTCCCCGTTTGTTCAGATGAATTCGTGTGGTGTGCGTAAAATACCAGGAAAATAAATAAAGAGGGGCTGGAGCTAAAGCCAAAAGATAGAACAGGAAAGATCCTCACCTGCTAGTGCGGTAGAGAGGAAGGTAACTTCTCTGTATGAATTTGTGCTTGGAAGTTGCCTAATGAAATGGCAAGAGTAGCGATTCAAGTTGTCACAGGAAGCATCCCTTATCCGTGACTTCAAGCAGACCTGCCAAAGGGTGGCACACGCCATGCCCTGTGTCTTCGATCATTCTGTCCGTCAAGGGAGATAGAATCACCGTGTCTTCTACCGGAGTGAATCGTGAGAGACCTAAGTCCAGTCTCCAGAATCAGTTGTTTGTTTGGGGTTGAAAGCTCAACCCCCCCATACCTAGGCCACGGGCCCTGTGGCAGGTGGGGTTTACTCTTGGACTAGGTAGTCATGGCAGAGGAACACACAATATCCGAGGATGCGCACAGCACATTGTGTTCTACAGATTTGACCGACTGGTGGTGAGGTCTCCTCATGACCACACAGGCAGGGAGTTAGCAGGTGGCTTCCTGTGGGTGTGTGAATATCCAACGTGCTTAACCATCGACATGTGTGTGTTTGTGTGTGTTTCAGGTGGCCCAACAGTCCACCCCTGAAAAAGGCGGTCATAAAACCCCCAGGAGACGAAGATGATGGCACGTCGGGACCCCAAATCTTGGGCCAAGAGACTGGTGAGAGCCCAGACCCTCCAGAAGCAGCGGAGGGCCCCAGTTGGGCCAAGGGCTCCCCCGCCCGATGAAGAAGATCCCAGGGTAAGTGTAGCCCTGGATCTCTTGGGTATCGGGGTGGGGGTGGGGACGGGGGGAGGGGGTGTCCCACGGTCCTCAGAGACTGGGTTGGATTCCAAAGAGTTCTGTCACCACCAGCCAGGTTGCTTTTCCCATCCAAGGTGGGCGTGGCTTGGGACCTTCTCCCCGGCCCGATAGGTCCCTTGAGAGACTCTTGGGGGCAACCTCCCTTTCTACTTAGAGTCCTGTGTAGCCACGTTTGGCTGCGTTGTTGACATCGGCTTCACCATGGTGCCCCTTGGAACCTTGAGTCCTTCCTTTCAGAGTTCCTCCGTCACATGGGCTTTGCGAGGGAACATCGTATCCGAACTCTCCCAGCACTTAACGGCCCCCATGCCGGTGTCCCCTCTTTGGAATCCTTATTCAGCTCTGAATTCACAATCCGTCCCAATGTTGACGTGGGATCGCTGCCTGTGGCTTCAGCTCACTCACTGACATCACTTCCTTTCCACCCGCAGCTCAAGTGCAAAAACTGCGGGGCCTTTGGCCACACGGCCAGAAGTACCAGGTGCCCCATGAAGTGCTGGAAGGCAGCCCTGGTTCCAGCGACCTTGGGGAAAAAGGAAGGGAAGGAAAACCTGAAACCATGGAAGCCCCGGGGTGAAGCCAACCCGGGGCCCTTGAACAAGGATAAGGGAGAGAAGGAAGAGAGACCAAGGTGAGCAGTGGGAGGGGTTTTCACCACTCTTAGGGTACGGCCTCCCAAGGACATGGTGTCTCTGCACCTGCACACCGTGTGCCTTTCCGTCTCCGGGCCAGGGAAGGAACGCTGCAGAGAAATAGGCCGGAGCTCCGTGTCCTCCGGGGTTCCACACCCAGGAGCTCCTTGGGCTCTGGGAGATTCAGGGACGGGGAGAGGCGGGGGCGCTTCGTGCAGGTTCCCCACGACAGCGGGAAAAGCGATGGAATCCAAATCACAGTCCTTAGTTGGGAAGCCTAGAGGGCCACCTGGAGGATGGGAAGGTTGGCACGTGAGGGAAGGTGCAGAGGCGGAAAGGGCACCAGATGTCCATTTCTGTATCACAAAACACGGAATGGGGCTGGGCCCCAGACGGGGTTCTCCCTGTCTCCTGGGGAAAACCAGGGGGCACGGCCTGACCTTCTTCTGTTCTGCAGGCAACAAGACCCGCAGAGGAAGGCTCTCCTCCACATGTTTTCCGGGAAACCTCCAGAGAAGCCGCTGCCGAATGGAAAAGGATCCACGGAATCTTCTGATTATCTGAGGGCGAGTGTCACCCCGGGCCCCTGGTCTTTTTCTCCTCTAGGTCACCCTGGTTGATTTCCTTTCAGCTTCCCGTCTGCGGGAGGAAATCGGGGAACCCCTCTTTCTTGCCTTCTTGGGGTCAGGGACTCCACGATCCTTCCAGGTCAATTGGATTCCAGGCGAAGGCATCTGAACATGCCGTATTTCCTGTTGCTTTCTTTCTGTCCAATTATGGCAAGCCTGCCAACAACACGTTCCTAGCGGCATGAGGAAATTAGTCCCTCAGAGGCCCCAAACGTGGAGAAGGCGAAACCCAGGAACATGCATGTGTTCAGAGAAGACGTCCCGAGTACCCTTGAGCCAGCAACCTGCCTTGGGAAGGGCATTAGTCCGTTCCACTTCATGGAAGGCTGAGTGGAGGCGCTTTGATCCAGTTAATGCCCAAGACGCGATCTTTTGAACAATGGTGTGCTTAGATCAGCTACACATAGCTCGAGAGCGCATCTTTCATGTGTCTTGTCCTGATCAGCACTCAGGTGGAGGGTCTGTCCCTACTTCCAAGGACCGCCTGTCGATACTGTACTAAGAATTTCATGGCGTGTGCACCTTGTCTTTGGATGTGCTTGATTTTCACGTTGGCTCCATGCTGAGGAACTTCTAACCTGTGTTGTTTCCTCTCTTTCAGGTTGCAAGCGGGCCAATGCCGGTCCACACAACCAGTAAGAGGCCGCGCTTGGACCCTGTCCTCGCTGATCGCTCAGCTACCGCAATGTCTGGCAGGGGCTCCGTCTTGGCTTCACTGTCTCCCCTCAGAAAAGCCAGCCTGAGCTCCTCCTCAAGTCTTGGACCAAAGGAAAGACAGACAGGGGCTGCGGCCGACATGCCTCAGCCTGCAGTCAGGCACCAGGGCCGCGAGCCTCTCCTCGTGGTGAAGCCGACACACAGCCGCCCCGAGGGTGGCTGCCGAGAAGTTCCCCAGGCTGCCTCCAAAACCCACGGCCTGCTCCAGGCCGCCAGACCCCAGGCACAAGACAAACGTCCTGCGGTGACCTCACAGCCCTGCCCGCCAGCCGCCACACACAGCTTGGGCCTAGGCTCCAATCTCAGCTTCGGGCCAGGAGCCAAGAGACCTGCCCAGGCTCCGATTCAGGCTTGCCTGAACTTCCCCAAGAAACCGAGACTGGGTCCCTTCCAGATCCCCGAAAGCGCCATCCAGGGAGGTGAGCTGGGGGCCCCGGAGAATCTCCAACCTCCGCCAGCCGCAACCGAACTTGGACCAAGTACGTCGCCCCAGATGGGCAGGAGGACACCGGCCCAGGTGCCCAGCGTCGACCGGCAGCCTCCGCACAGCAGACCTTGCCTGCCTACTGCCCAGGCCTGCACCATGTCCCATCACTCAGCGGCCAGCCATGATGGGGCCCAGCCTCTCAGAGTGCTCTTCCGGAGACTGGAAAACGGACGCTGGAGCTCCAGCCTCCTGGCGGCCCCCTCATTTCACTCTCCTGAGAAGCCGGGAGCCTTCCTCGCTCAGAGCCCTCATGTGTCAGAGAAGTCTGAGGCTCCCTGTGTTCGTGTCCCACCGAGCGTCCTCTATGAGGACCTTCAGGTTTCCTCCTCCTCAGAGGACAGCGATTCTGACCTGGAGTGAGACTGCAGGTGGCAGGGGCTCCTTGGCCTCCGGCTCCCGTGACTTGGAGGGGACTGTGGGACTGAGGAGCGCAGAGCAGAGAGCACACTCTGTGCGGTGACTCCGAAGCTCCCCGGCTGTGGCGCTTCTGTGGATGTGGGAGCCCAGGCCAGGCAGGGAGCAGATGCAGGGACTCTGCCTCATTGAATTCTGGTGAGGGACGTTGTAGTTGGCGTGGTTCTCCGGAAACGCGCCAGGAAAAGCTTCCGTGCCAGAGATTCGTTGCCTCAGAAACTGCGTGACGCGCAGGAGTCAGACTTCCGCTGGGACGTCAATAGGAAACTGGGGAATTACTGTGTATTTGCTGTCTAGATGACTGAATAAGGGAAAAGTTAGGGAACCCTGAGAGGTGCAGCCCTTCCGCTGTGCCCCGCCCTGAGAGCAGTGTTTCGGACGCTGGGAAGCGTGCTGTGCGAAGCGCTCTCGGGGTCTTTCCTCAGCCTCGAAAACTGGGCTCTGGAATGCCTTTGTACATATGTGTGTTTAATGGGTTTTGAAGTGAATAAAATTCTCAAGAAGATGACATATTGTCTTTTGACTCTCATTCCGTGTTTGTGTGTAACTGATTTTCCAAGTGAAGGGGTGGCCTGCCCCTCCACACCTGTGGGTGTTTCTAGTCGGGTGGGATGAGAGACGGAGAAAAGAAATAAGACACAGAGACAAAGTATAGGGAGACAACAGTGGGTCCAGGGGACCGGCACTCAGCACACCTAGGACCTGCACCGGCACCGGCCTCTGAGTTCCCGCAGTTTTTATTGATTGTGATTTTCATTATTTCAGCACAAAGGAATGCAGTAGGGGAGCAGGGTGATAATAAGGGGAAGGTCAACAAAAACAACACAAAACAAACACGTGAGCAAAAGAATCCATATCATTATTAAGTTCAAGGGAAGGTACTATGCCTGGACGTGCACGTAGGCCAGATTTATGTTTCTCTCCACACAAATATCTCAGCGGAGTAAAGAATAACAAGGCAGCATTACTGCCAACATGTCTCGCCTCCCGCCACAGGGCAGCTTTTCTCCGAGCTCAGAGTTGAACAAATGTACGATCGGGCTTTACACCGAGACATTCAGTTCCCAGGGGCAAGCAGGAGACAGTGGCCTTCCTCCATCTGAACTGCAAGAGGCGTTCCTCTTTGACTAATCCACCTCAGCACAGACCCATTGCGGGTGTCAGGCTGGGGGACATTCAGGACTTTCCCATCCCACGAGGCCATATTTCAGACTGTCACATGGGGAGAAACCTTGGACAATACCCTGCTTTCAAGGGCAGAGGTCCCTGTGGCTTTCCACGGTGCATTGCGCCCCTGGTTTATTGAGACTAGAGAATGGCAATGACTTCTACCAAGTATACTGCTCGTAAACATTTGGTTAACAAGGCGCGTCCTGCACAGCCCCAGATCCCTTAAACCTCGATTTTATACAACACAGGTTTTTGTGAGCTCCAAGTTGGGTCAAAGGAAGGGGCTGCGGCAAGGCAACAAATGAACAACATCTCAGCAAAGCAATTGTTTAAACTACAGGTCTTTTTCAAAATGGAGTCTCTTATGTCTTCCCCTTCTACATAGACACAGTGACAGTCTGATCTCTCTTTCTTTACCCTACATCCAAGGGCTTGAACATTTCTTGACTTGTTGGCAATCCAAATCGTTACGTCTCCGAAACAGAGTTGACTGAGGGGACCGCAGGGCTGGGCAGGACCTTTGACTTCCTATACATCCACAGGAGCAAGAAAACCTCAGCCCCACTCTACCAACACGCACCTAGTAAAATTCCGCCAACCGAATCTCACGCACGCTAACACGTGGGGAGCGTTGCTTGCACCACGAGTCCCCATTTGGCTCAACCGCCGATGCCAAGTGTGTGGTTCCAGTTGCGACGGCCCCCCGTGAAGTGGCTTCCGGATGTGCGAAGGAACCAGGCAGAGTTTCACTGGCCAAATAGACCCCAGCAAAGCTGAAGTTAACTCCCACATTTGGGATGTACTTCAGAGGTAAA
Organism: Homo sapiens; assembly: GCF_000001405.40. Classification (NCBI taxonomy): domain Eukaryota; kingdom Metazoa; phylum Chordata; class Mammalia; order Primates; family Hominidae; genus Homo; species Homo sapiens. Next base: position 5,355,963 of record NW_018654717.1, read on the forward strand.
ACATTCATCCCGTCTTCTTTCCGGATGTCTGACACCATGGTTCTCCCCCTGATCCTAAGAGTAGCTGAGGCAGAGACTCACTGAAAGATCTAGGCGGGGATATCCCATCATGCACAGGCTCTCTCCATTCTCTGACCTGGGAACAACTCTCAGCAGGATTCCACATCTAGGAGGCCTCGGAACTCAGCGGGATTTTCTGAGACACACCAACTGGCTGCTCCCTCTCCGCCGCTGTTGAGGGTCGTTATCTTGATTATCCAGATCAACTAGAAAGTATCCGTATCCAGAATGAATAAGATCAACTCTCTGCTCCTCTGACAGCAGAAGGAGCAGGACCATAAGGAACCAAAGAGCGTGGAAGGAAACGATGTGACAGGAAAGCTCAGAGAACGGCCACAGGGGGTCGTCAGCAGGCCTTCCAACCTGAATCATGAATAACTAATGAAGCGCAAATCAAAGGGGACTCGAGTTTCAGCAGGAGCAATTCATCCAACGGGAGATCGCCGGAGGGCCAACAAGATTGAGAGACTGGGAGCCGGGTGCAGTGTCAAAGGGGACGCGACTGGTTCCAAAGCTCGAGAAGACCATGGGGTCACTTGGGCTACATGAGAAAACGCCCCAGTGTGCTGGTTCATCATTCCGACTCCTGCCTGTCTCTTCCCGTCCAAGGAACATGGACCCTAAGTCGTGCAGGTGCGGATGACCATGGGCAGAACTAGGGGCCGTGGCACAAAAGTTCACCGACACGGGAGTTCCACAGAAGGTGCGGTGGATCTTCGCAAATCCAGAGACATGGCAATGGGACCCAGGGAATTACAGCCTCACAGGCGTCCGGGAGACTTTTCAGGCATAATGCCTGGAGTCGCAAGACGAGCTGAAAAAGGAGCCAGGCACTGAAGGACAAAGCGTTGTTGACTTTCCTCATCTGTGTTTCCCAGTGCGGTCCAATTCACGGTGGTTTCCAAGCGCCTCCTGGGGGAGAAAACACATGAGGGTGCGGTCAGGGTTCTCTGCTGACAGACTTACCTTGGGGAAGAAAGAGAAGCTCTGAAGATGGATCATGGCCGTGACTGCATGTCAAGGAGAGTCTCCTTGATGACACTGAGGCCTACGTCGAGATAGACAAAATGTGGTCCAATTAAAAGGTGTCTATTTTACCACATTTTTTAAAACAAAACAAAACAAAACAACAAAAAAGATGGAAAAGAAGACAGGGGTACAGGCACCAGTGTTACATGTCTGACGGGGAACATCTATTGTTCAAAGCTTGCAGCTGTACAAGTAGGTTTTAGAATGTCTGTCAGCAGTGGACATGATCTTAGAGTGGGCTGTGCAGACAGACCTTTCCAGGTCATGTAATTGGATTAAGTTAATTGCAATTAAGGTACAGGTAACTGATTAGGTTAGGGTACGTTCCATGTCAGGTGACCAGAGGCAGTATAAAAGGCAGCCTGGAAAGCAGAGGTCCCTCTCTGCCCCTTCCTCCGTCGTCCTGGATGCTGCATCGCTTCCAGCCGGGCTGCTGCAGCACCTGCCCATCTCAGCGCCAGCCTGGGAAAGAAAGTAGACGTGTAATTTCAGGTTAGTTTCGCTGAACAATTGTTTGTTTCACGCAATCCCTGAGTGGTTTTTGGCGGGGAGGGGGGGGGAGGAAGAGACAAAGGAGGCCGAAAGAAACCGATCACACTGGGGCTTGCTGGTGGGGTAGGATGTGTTCTCGTTACTAGTAATTCTTGGAACAGAAAACGAGAAAACATATCCGTCTCCACGTGTGGGAGAAGACCAAGATGGGAATGCGAAAAGAAATGTACTGCAGCATGCTGAATTGGTGGGTAAATGGAAAAAGGACTTTGGAAAAAAGGGGGGTTTGCCCTTCAGCCGTGTAAGACGTCGATACGATACGGCACTTCTTCCCCGTTTGTTCAGATGAATTCGTGTGGTGTGCGTAAAATACCAGGAAAATAAATAAAGAGGGGCTGGAGCTAAAGCCAAAAGATAGAACAGGAAAGATCATCACCTGCTAGTGCGGTAGAGAGGAAGGTAACTTCTCTGTATGAATTTGTGTTTGGAAGTTGCCTAATGAAATGGCAAGAGTAGCGATTCAAGTTGTCACAGGAAGCATCCCTTATCCGTGACGTCAAGCAGACCTGCCAAAGGGTGGCACACGCCATGCCCTGTGTCTTCGATCATTCTGTCCGTCAAGGGAGATAGAATCACCGTGTCTTCTACCGGAGTGAATCGTGAGAGACCTAAGTCCAGTCTCCAGAATCAGTTGTTTGTTTGGGGTTGAAAGCTCAACCCCCCATACCTAGGCCACGGGCCCTGTGGCAGGTGGGGTTTACTCTTGGACTAGGTAGTCATGGCAGAGGAACACACAATATCCGAGGATGCGCACAGCACATTGTGTTCTACAGATTTGACCCACTGGTGGTGAGGTCTCCTCATGACCACACAGGCAGGGAGTTAGCAGGTGGCTTCCTGTGGGTGTGTGAATATCCAACGTGCTTAACCATCGACATGTGTGTGTTTGTGTGTGTTTCAGGTGGCCCAACAGTCCACCCCTGAAAAAGGCGGTCATAAAACCCCCAGGAGACGAAGATGATGGCACGTCGGGACCCCAAATCTTGGGCCAAGAGACTGGTGAGAGCCCAGACCCTCCAGAAGCAGCGGAGGGCCCCAGTTGGGCCAAGGGCTCCCCCGCCCGATGAAGAAGATCCCAGGGTAAGTCTAGCCCTGGATCTCTTGGGTATCGGGGTGGGGGTGGGGACGGGGGGAGGGGGTGTCCCACGGTCCTCAGAGACTGGGTTGGATTCCAAAGAGTTCTGTCACCACCAGCCAGGTTGCTTTTCCCATCCAAGGTGGGCGTGGCTTGGGACCTTCTCCCCGGCCCGATAGGTCCCTTGAGAGACTCTTGGGGGCAACCTCCCTTTCTACTTAGAGTCCTGTGTAGCCACGTTTGGCTGCGTTGTTGACATCGGCTTCACCATCGTGCCCCTTGGAACCTTGAGTCCTTCCTTTCAGAGTTCCTCCGTCACACGGGCTTTGCGAGGGAACATCGTACCCGAACTCTCCCGCACTTAACGGCCCCCATGCCGGTGTCCCCTCTTTGGAATCCTTATTCAGCTCTGAATTCACAATCCGTCCCAATGTTGACGTGGGATCGCTGCCTGTGGCTTCAGCTCACTCACTGACATCACTTCCTTTCCACCCACAGCTCAAGTGCAAAAACTGCGGGGCCTTTGGCCACACGGCCAGAAGTACCAGGTGCCCCATGAAGTGCTGGAAGGCAGCCCTGGTTCCAGCGACCTTGGGGAAAAAGGAAGGGAAGGAAAACCTGAAACCATGGAAGCCCCGGGTTGAAGCCAACCCGGGGCCCTTGAACAAGGATAAGGGAGAGAAGGAAGAGAGACCAAGGTGAGCAGTGGGAGGGGTTTTCACCACTCTTAGGATGCTGCCTCCTAAGGACATGGTGTCTCTGCACCTGCACACCGTGTGCCTTTCCGTCTCCGGGCCAGGGAAGGAGCGCTGCAGAGAAATAGGCCGGAGCTCCGTGTCCTCCGGGGTTCCACACCCAGGAGCTCCTTGGGCTCTGGGAGATTCAGGGACGGGGAGAGGCGGGGGCGCTTCGTGCAGGTTCCCCACGACAGGGGGAAAAGCGATGGAATCCAAATCACAGTCCTTAGTTCGGAAGCCTAGAGGGCCACCTGGAGGATGGGAAGGTTGGCACGTGAGGGAAGGTGCAGAGGCGGAAAGGGCACCAGATGTCCATTTCTGTATCACAAAACACGGAATGGGGCTGGGCCCCAGACGGGGTTCTCCCTGTCTCCTGGGGAAAACCAGGGGGCACGGCCTGACCTTTTTCTGTTCTGCAGGCAACAAGACCCGCAGAGGAAGGCTCTCCTCCACATGTTTTCCGGGAAACCTCCAGAGAAGCCGCTGCCGAATGGAAAAGGATCCACGGAGTCTTCTGATCATCTGAGGGTGAGTGTCACCCCGGGCCCCTGGTCCTTTTTCTCCTCTAGGTCACCCTGGTTGATTTCCTTTCAGCTTCCCGTCTGCGGGAGGAAATCGGGGAACCCCTCTTTCTTGCCTTCTTGGGGTCAGGGACTCCACGATCCTTCCAGGTCAATTGGATTCCAGGCGAAGGCATCTGAAGATGCCGTATTTCCTGTGGCTTTCTTTCTGTCCAATTATGGCAAGCCTGCCAACAACACGTTCCTAGCGGCATGAGGAAATTAGTCCCTCAGAGGCCCCAAACGTGGAGAAGGCGAAACCCAGGAACATGCATGTGTTCAGAGAAGACGTCCCGAGTACCCTTGAGCCAGCAACCTGCCTCGGGAAGGGCATTAGTCCGTTCCACTTCATGGAAGGCTGAGTGGAGGCGCTTTGATCCAGTTAATGCCCAAGACGCGATCTTTTGAACAATGGTGTGCTTAGATCAGCTACACATAGCTCGAGAGCGCATCTTTCATGTGTCTTGTCCTGATCAGCACTCAGGTGGAGGGTCTGTCCCTACTTCCAAGGACCGCCTGTCGATACTGTACTAAGAATTTCATGGCGTGTGCACCTTGTCTTTGGATGTGCTTGATTTTCACGTTGGCTCCATGCTGAGGAACTTCTAACCTGTGTTGTTTCCTCTCTTTCAGGTTGCAAGCGGGCCAATGCCGGTCCACACAACCAGTAAGAGGCCGCGCGTGGACCCTGTCCTCGCTGATCGCTCAGCTGCCGAAATGTCTGGCAGGGGCTCCGTCTTGGCTTCACTGTCTCCCCTCAGAAAAGCCAGCCTGAGCTCCTCCTCAAGTCTTGGACCAAAGGAAAGACAGACAGGGGCTGCGGCCGACATCCCTCAGCCTGCAGTCAGGCACCAGGGCCGCGAGCCTCTCCTCGTGGTGAAGCCGACACACAGCAGCCCCGAGGGTGGCTGCCGAGAAGTTCCCCAGGCTGCCTCCAAAACCCACGGCCTGCTCCAGGCCGCCAGACCCCAGGCACAAGACAAACGTCCTGCGGTGACCTCGCAGCCCTGCCCGCCAGCCGCCACACACAGCTTGGGCCTAGGCTCCAATCTCAGCTTCGGGCCAGGAGCCAAGAGACCTGCCCAGGCTCCGATTCAGGCTTGCCTGAACTTCCCCAAGAAACCGAGACTGGGTCCCTTCCAGATCCCCGAAAGCGCCATCCAGGGAGGTGAGCTGGGGGCCCCGGAGAATCTCCAACCTCCGCCAGCCGCAACCGAACTTGGACCAAGTACGTCGCCCCAGATGGGCAGGAGGACACCGGCCCAGGTGCCCAGCGTCGACCGGCAGCCTCCGCACAGCAGACCTTGCCTGCCTACTGCCCAGGCCTGCACCATGTCCCATCACTCAGCGGCCAGCCATGATGGGGCCCAGCCTCTCAGAGTGCTCTTCCGGAGACTGGAAAACGGACGCTGGAGCTCCAGCCTCCTGGCGGCCCCCTCATTTCACTCTCCTGAGAAGCCGGGAGCCTTCCTCGCTCAGAGCCCTCATGTGTCAGAGAAGTCTGAGGCTCCCTGTGTTCGTGTCCCACCGAGCGTCCTCTATGAGGACCTTCAGGTTTCCTCCTCCTCAGAGGACAGCGATTCTGACCTGGAGTGAGACTGCAGGTGGCAGGGGCTCCTTGGCCTCCAGCTCCCGTGACTTGGAGGGGACTGTGGGACTGAGGAGCGCAGAGCAGAGAGCACACTCTGTGCGGTGACTCCGAAGCTCCCCGGCTGTGGCGCTTCTGTGGATGTGGGAGCCCAGGCCAGGCAGGGAGCAGATGCAGGGACTCTGCCTCATTGAATTCTGGTGAGGGACGTTGTAGTTGGCGTGGTTCTCCGGAAACGCGCCAGGAAAAGCTTCCGTGCCAGAGATTCGTTGCCTCAGAAACTGCGTGACGCGCAGGAGTCAGACTTCCGCTGGGACGTCAATAGGAAACTGGGGAATTACTGTGTATTTGCTCTCTAGATGACTGAATAAGGGAAAAGTTAGGGAACCCTGAGAGGTGCAGCCCTTCCGCTGTGCCCCGCCCTGAGAGCAGAGTTTCGGACGCTGGGAAGCGTGCTGTGCGAAGCGCTCTCGGGGTCTTTCCTCAGCCTCGAAAACTGGGCTCTGGAATGCCTTTGTACATATGTGTGTTTAATGGGTTTTGAAGTGAATAAAATTCTCAAAAAGATGACATATTGTCTTTTGACTCTCATTCCGTGTTTGTGTGTAACTGATTTTCCAAGTGAAGGGGTGGCCTGCCCCTCCACACCTGTGGGTGTTTCTAGTCGGGTGGGATGAGAGACGGAGAAAAGAAATAAGACACAGAGACAAAGTATAGGGAGACAACAGTGGGTCCAGGGGACCGGAACTCAGCACACCTAGGACCTGCACCGGCACCGGCCTCTGAGTTCCCTCAGTTTTTATTGATTATGATTTTCATTATTTCAGCACAAAGGAATGCAGTAGGGGAGCAGGGTGATAATAAGGGGAAGGTCAAAACAACAACAAAAAACAAACACGTGAGCAAAAGAATCCATATCATTATTAAGTTCAAGGGAAGGTACTATGCCTGGACGTGCACGTAGGCCAGATTTATGTTTCTCTAAACACAAATATCTCAGCGGAGTAAAGAATAACAAGGCAGCATTACTGCCAGCATGTCTCGCCTCCCGCCACAGGGCAGCTTTTCGCCGAGCTCATAGTTGAACAAATGTACGATCGGGCTTTACACCGAGACATTCAGTTCCCAGGGGCAAGCAGGAGACAGTGGCCTTCCTCCATCTGAACTGCAAGAGGCGTTCCTCTTTGACTAATCCACCTCAGCACAGACCCATTGCGGGTGTCAGGCTGGGGGACAGTCCGGTCTTTTCCATCCCACGAGGCCATATTTCAGACTGTCACATGGGGAGAAACCTTGGACAATACCCTGCTTTCAAGGGCAGAGGTCCCTGTGGCTTTCCACGGTGCATTGCACCCCTGGTTTATTGAGACTAGGGAATGGCAATGACTCCTACCAAGGATACTGCTCGTAAACATTTGGTAAACAAGGCGCGTCCTGCACAGCCCTAGATCCCTTAAACCTCGATTTTATACAACACAGGTTTTTGTGAGCTCCAAGTTGGGTCAAAGGAAGGGGCTGCGGCAAAGCTACAAATGATCAACATCTCAGCAAAGCAATTGTTTAAACTACAGGTCTTTTTCAAAATGGAGTCTCTTATGTCTTCCCCTTCTACATAGACACAGTGACAGTCTGATCTCTCTTTCTTTACCCTACATCCAAGGGCTTGAACATTTCTTGACTTGTTGGCAATCCAAATCGTTACGTCTCCGAAACAGAGTTGCCTGAGGGGACCGCAGGGCTGGGCAGGACCTTTGACTTCCTATACATCCACAGGAGCAAGAAAACCTCAGCCCCACTCTACCAACACGCACCTAGTAAAATTCCGCCAACCGAATCTCACGCACGCTAACACGTGGGGAGCGTTGCTTGCACCACGAGTCCCCATTTGGCTCAACCGCCGATGCCAAGTGTGTGGTTCCAGTTGCGACGGCCCCCCGTGAAGTGGCTTCCGGATGTGCGAATGAACCAGGCAGAGTTTCACTGGCCAAATAGACCCCAGCAAAGCTGAAGTTAACTCCCACATTTGGGATGTACTTCAGAGGTAAAACATTCATCCCGTCTTCTTTCCGGATGTCTGACACCATGGTTCTCCCCCTGATCCTAAGAGTAGCTGAGGTAGAGACTCACTGAAAGATCTAGGCAGGGATATCCCATCATGCACAGGCTCTCTCCATTCTCTGACCTGGGAACAACTCTCAGCAGGATTCCACATCTAGGAGGCCTCGGAACTCAGCGGGATTTTCTGAGACACACCAACTGGCTGCTCCCTCTCCGCCGCTGTTGAGGGTCGTTATCTTGATTATCCAGATCACCTAGAAAGTATCCGTATCCAGAATGAATAAGATCAACTCTCTGCTCCTCTGACAGCAGAAGGAGCAGGACCATAAGGAACTAAAGAGCGTGGAACGAAACGATATGACAGGAAAGCTCAGAGAACGACGAGCCACAGAGGGTCGTCAGCAGGCCTTCCAACCTGAATCATGAATAATTAATGAAGCGCAAATCAAAGGGGTCTCCAGTTTCAGCAGGAGCAATTCATCCAACGGGAGATCGCCGGAGGGCCAACAAGATTGAGACTAGGAGCCGGGTGCAGTGTCAAAGGGGACGCGACTGGTTCCAAAGCTCGAGAAGACCATGGGGTCACTTGGGCTACATGAGAAAACGCCCCAGTGTGCTGGTTCATCATTCCGACTCCTGCCTGTCTCTTCCCGTCCAAGGAACATGGACCCTAAGTCGTGCAGGTGCGGATGACCATGGGCAGAATTAGGGGCCGTGGCACAAAAGTTCACCGACACGGGAGTTCCACAGAAGGTGCGGTGGATCTTCGCAAATCCAGAGACATGGCAATGGGACCCAGGGAATTACAGCCTCACAGGCGTCCGGGAGACTTTTCAGGCATAATGCCTGGAGTCGCAAGACGAGCTGAAAAAGGAGCCAGGCACTGAAGGACAAAGCGTTGTTGACTTTCCTCATCTGTGTTTCCCAGTGCGGTCCAATTCACGGTGGTTTCCAAGCGCCTCCTGGGGGAGAAAACACATGAGGGTGCGGTCAGGGTTCTCTGCTGACAGACTTACCTTGGGGAAGAAAGAGAAGCTCTGAAGATGGATCATGGCCGTGACTGCATGTCAAGCAGAGTCTCCTTGATGACACTGAGGCCTACGTCGAGATAGACAAAATGTGGTCCAATTAAAAGGTGTCTATTTTACCACATTTTTTAAAACAAAACAAAACAAAACAACAAAAAAGATGGAAAAGAAGACAGGGGTACAGGCACCAGTGTTACATGTCTGACGGGGAACATCTATTGTTCAAAGCTTGCAGCTGTACAAGTAGGTTTTAGAATGTCTGTCAGCAGTGGACATGATCTTAGAGTGGGCTGTGCAGATAGACCTTTCCAGGTCATGTAATTGGATTAAGTTAATTGCAATTAAGGTACAGGTAACTGATTAGGTTAGGGTACGTTCCATGTCAGGTGACCAGAGGCAGTATAAAAGGCAGCCTGGAAAGCAGAGGTCCCTCTCCGCCCCTTCCTCCGTCGTCCTGGATGCTGCATCGCTTCCAGCGGGGCTGCTGCAGCACCTGCCCATCTCAGCGCCAGCCTGGGAAAGAAAGTAGACGTGTAATTTCAGGTTAGTTTCGCTGAACAATTGTTTGTTTCACGCAATCCCTGAGTGGTTTTGGCGGGGGGGGGCGGGGGGAGGAAGAGACAAAGGAGGCCGAAAGAAACCGATCACACTGGGGCTTGCTGGTGGGGTAGGATGTGTTCTCGTTACTAGTAATTCTTGGAACAGAAAACGAGACAACATATCCGTCTCCACGTGTAGGAGAAGACCAAGATGGGAATGCGAAAAGAAATGTACTGCAGCATGCTGAGTTGGTGGGTAAATGGAAAAAGGACTTTGGAAAAAAGGGGGGTTTGCCCTTCAGCCGTGTAAGACGTCGATACGATACGGCACTTCTTCCCCGTTTGTTCAGATGAATTCGTGTGGTATGCGTAAAATACCAGGAAAATAAATAAAGAGGGGCTGGAGCTAAAGCCAAAAGATAGAACAGGAAAGATCATCACCTGCTAGTGCGGTAGAGAGGAAGGTAACTTCTCTGTATGAATTTGTGTTTGGAAGTTGCCTAATGAAATGGCAAGAGTAGCGATTCAAGTTATCACAGGAAGCATCCCTTATCCGTGACTTCAAGCAGACCTGCCAAAGGGTGGCACACGCCATGCCCTGTGTCTTCGATCATTCTGTCCGTCAAGGGAGATAGAATCACCGTGTCTTCTACCGGAGTGAACCGTGAGAGACCTAAGTCCAGTCTCCAGAATCAGTTGTTTGTTTGGGGTTGAAAGCTCAACCCCCCATACCTAGGCCACGGGCCCTGTGGCAGGTGGGGTTTACTCTTGGACTAGGTAGTCATGGCAGAGGAACACACAATATCCGAGGATGCGCACAGCACATTGTGTTCTACAGATTTGACCCACTGGTGGTGAGGTCTCCTCATGACCACACAGGCAGGGAGTTAGCAGGTGGCTTCCTGTGGGTGTGTGAATATCCAACGTGCTTAACCATCGACATGTGTGTGTTTGTGTGTGTTTCAGGTGGCCCAACAGTCCACCCCTGAAAAAGGCGGTCATAAAACCCCCAGGAGACGAAGATGATGGCACGTCGGGACCCCAAATCTTGGGCCAAGAGACTGGTGAGAGCCCAGACCCTCCAGAAGCAGCGGAGGGCCCCAGTTGGGCCAAGGGCTCCCCCGCCCGATGAAGAAGATCCCAGGGTAAGTCTAGCCCTGGATCTCTTGGGTATCGGGGTGGGGGTGGGGACGGGGGGAGGGGGTGTCCCACGGTCCTCAGAGACTGGGTTGGATTCCAAAGAGTTCTGTCACCACCAGCCAGGTTGCTTTTCCCATCCAAGGTGGGCGTGGCTTGGGACCTTCTCCCCGGCCCGATAGGTCCCTTGAGAGACTCTTGGGGGCAACCTCCCTTTCTACTTAGAGTCCTGTGTAGCCACGTTTGGCTGCGTTGTTGACATCGGCTTCACCATCGTGCCCCTTGGAACCTTGAGTCCTTCCTTTCAGAGTTCCTCCGTCACACGGGCTTTGCGAGGGAACATCGTACCCGAACTCTCCCGGCACTTAACGGCCCCCATGCCGGTGTCCCCTCTTTGGAATCCTTATTCAGCTCTGAATTCACAATCCGTCCCAATGTTGACGTGGGATCGCTGCCTGTGGCTTCAGCTCACTCACTGACATCACTTCCTTTCCACCCACAGCTCAAGTGCAAAAACTGCGGGGCCTTTGGCCACACGGCCAGAAGTACCAGGTGCCCCATGAAGTGCTGGAAGGCAGCCCTGGTTCCAGCGACCTTGGGGAAAAAGGAAGGGAAGGAAAACCTGAAACCATGGAAGCCCCGGGTTGAAGCCAACCCGGGGCCCTTGAACAAGGATAAGGGAGAGAAGGAAGAGAGACCAAGGTGAGCAGTGGGAGGGGTTTTCACCACTCTTAGGATGCTGCCTCCTAAGGACATGGTGTCTCTGCACCTGCACACCGTGTGCCTTTCCGTCTCCGGGCCAGGGAAGGAGCGCTGCAGAGAAATAGGCCGGAGCTCCGTGTCCTCCGGGGTTCCACACCCAGGAGCTCCTTGGGCTCTGGGAGATTCAGGGACGGGGAGAGGCGGGGGCGCTTCGTGCAGGTTCCCCACGACAGGGGGAAAAGCGATGGAATCCAAATCACAGTCCTTAGTTCGGAAGCCTAGAGGGCCACCTGGAGGATGGGAAGGTTGGCACGTGAGGGAAGGTGCAGAGGCGGAAAGGGCACCAGATGTCCATTTCTGTATCACAAAACACGGAATGGGGCTGGGCCCCAGACGGGGTTCTCCCTGTCTCCTGGGGAAAACCAGGGGGCACGGCCTGACCTTTTTCTGTTCTGCAGGCAACAAGACCCGCAGAGGAAGGCTCTCCTCCACATGTTTTCCGGGAAACCTCCAGAGAAGCCGCTGCCGAATGGAAAAGGATCCACGGAGTCTTCTGATCATCTGAGGGTGAGTGTCACCCCGGGCCCCTGGTCCTTTTCTCCTCTAGGTCACCCTGGTTGATTTCCTTTCAGCTTCCCGTCTGCGGGAGGAAATCGGGGAACCCCTCTTTCTTGCCTTCTTGGGGTCAGGGACTCCACGATCCTTCCAGGTCAATTGGATTCCAGGCGAAGGCATCTGAAGATGCCGTATTTCCTGTGGCTTTCTTTCTGTCCAATTATGGCAAGCCTGCCAACAACACGTTCCTAGCGGCATGAGGAAATTAGTCCCTCAGAGGCCCCAAACGTGGAGAAGGCGAAACCCAGGAACATGCATGTGTTCAGAGAAGACGTCCCGAGTACCCTTGAGCCAGCAACCTGCCTCGGGAAGGGCATTAGTCCGTTCCACTTCATGGAAGGCTGAGTGGAGGCGCTTTGATCCAGTTAATGCCCAAGACGCGATCTTTTGAACAATGGTGTGCTTAGATCAGCTACACATAGCTCGAGAGCGCATCTTTCATGTGTCTTGTCCTGATCAGCACTCAGGTGGAGGGTCTGTCCCTACTTCCAAGGACCGCCTGTCGATACTGTACTAAGAATTTCATGGCGTGTGCACCTTGTCTTTGGATGTGCTTGATTTTCACGTTGGCTCCATGCTGAGGAACTTCTAACCTGTGTTGTTTCCTCTCTTTCAGGTTGCAAGCGGGCCAATGCCGGTCCACACAACCAGTAAGAGGCCGCGCGTGGACCCTGTCCTCGCTGATCGCTCAGCTGCCGAAATGTCTGGCAGGGGCTCCGTCTTGGCTTCACTGTCTCCCCTCAGAAAAGCCAGCCTGAGCTCCTCCTCAAGTCTTGGACCAAAGGAAAGACAGACAGGGGCTTCGGCCGACATGCCTCAGCCTGCAGTCAGGCACCAGGGCCGCGAGCCTCTCCTCGTGGTGAAGCCGACACACAGCCGCCCCGAGGGTGGCTGCCGAGAAGTTCCCCAGGCTGCCTCCAAAACCCACGGCCTGCTCCAGGCCGCCAGACCCCAGGCACAAGACAAACGTCCTGCGGTGACCTCGCAGCCCTGCCCGCCAGCCGCCACACACAGCTTGGGCCTAGGCTCCAATCTCAGCTTCGGGCCAGGAGCCAAGAGACCTGCCCAGGCTCCGATTCAGGCTTGCCTGAACTTCCCCAAGAAACCGAGACTGGGTCCCTTCCAGATCCCCGAAAGCGCCATCCAGGGAGGTGAGCTGGGGGCCCCGGAGAATCTCCAACCTCCGCCAGCCGCAACCGAACTTGGACCAAGTACGTCGCCCCAGATGGGCAGGAGGACACCGGCCCAGGTGCCCAGCGTCGACCGGCAGCCTCCGCACAGCACACCTTGCCTGCCTACTGCCCAGGCCTGCACCATGTCCCATCACTCAGCGGCCAGCCATGATGGGGCCCAGCCTCTCAGAGTGCTCTTCCGGAGACTGGAAAACGGACGCTGGAGCTCCAGCCTCCTGGCGGCCCCCTCATTTCACTCTCCTGAGAAGCCGGGAACCTTCCTCGCTCAGAGCCCTCATGTGTCAGAGAAGTCTGAGGCTCCCTGTGTTCGTGTCCCACCGAGCGTCCTCTATGAGGACCTTCAGGTTTCCTCCTCCTCAGAGGACAGCGATTCTGACCTGGAGTGAGACTGCAGGTGGCAGGGGCTCCTTGGCCTCCAGCTCCCGTGACTTGGAGGGGACTGTGGGACTGAGGAGCGCAGAGCAGAGAGCACACTCTGTGCGGTGACTCCGAAGCTCCCCGGCTGTGGCGCTTCTGTGGATGTGGGAGCCCAGGCCAGTCAGGGAGCAGATGCAGGGACTCTGCCTCATTGAATTCTGGTGAGGGACGTTGTAGTTGGCGTGGTTCTCCGGAAACGCGCCAGGAAAAGCTTCCGTGCCAGAGATTCGTTGCCTCAGAAACTGCGTGACGCGCAGGAGTCAGACTTCCGCTGGGACGTCAATAGGAAACTGGGGAATTACTGTGTATTTGCTCTCTAGATGACTGAATAAGGGAAAAGTTAGGGAACCCTGAGAGGTGCAGCCCTTCCGCTGTGCCCCGCCCTGAGAGCAGAGTTTCGGACGCTGGGAAGCGTGCTGTGCGAAGCGCTCTCGGGGTCTTTCCTCAGCCTCGAAAACTGGGCTCTGGAATGCCTTTGTACATATGTGTGTTTAATGTGTTTTGAAGTGAATAAAATTCTCAAAAAGATGACATATTGTCTTTTGACTCTCATTCCGTGTTTGTGTGTAACTGATTTTCCAAGTGAAGGGGTGGCCTGCCCCTCCACACCTGTGGGTGTTTCTAGTCGGGTGGGATGAGAGACGGAGAAAAGAAATAAGACACAGAGACAAAGTATAGGGAGACAACAGTGGGTCCAGGGGACCGGCACTCAGCACACCTAGGACCTGCACCGGCACCGGCCTCTGAGTTCCCTCAGTTTTTATTGATTATGATTTTCATTATTTCAGCACAAAGGAATGCAGTAGGGGAGCAGGGTGATAATAAGGGGAAGGTCAAAACAACAACAAAAAACAAACACGTGAGCAAAAGAATCCATATCATTATTAAGTTCAAGGGAAGGTACTATGCCTGGACGTGCACGTAGGCCAGATTTATGTTTCTCTCCACACAAATATCTCAGCGGAGTAAAGAATAACAAGGCAGCATTACTGCCAGCATGTCTCGCCTCCCGCCACAGGGCAGCTTTTCGCCGAGCTCAGAGTTGAACAAATGTACGATCGGGCTTTACACCGAGACATTCAGTTCCCAGGGGCAAGCAGGAGACAGTGGCCTTCCTCCATCTGAACTGCAAGAGGCTTTCCTCTTTGACTAATCCACCTCAGCACAGACCCATTGCGGGTGTCAGGCTGGGGGACAGTCAGGTCTTTCCCATCCCACGAGGCCATATTTCAGACTGACACATGGGGAGAAACCTTGGACAATACCCTGCTTTCAAGGGCAGAGGTCCCTGTGGCTTTCCACGGTGCATTGCACCCGTGGTTTATTGAGACTAGAGAATGGCAATGACTTCTACCAAGTATACTGCTCGTAAACATTTGGTTAACAAGGCGCGTCCTGCACAGCCCTAGATCCCTTAAACCTCGATTTTATACAGCACAGGTTTTGGTGAGCTCCAAGTTGGGTCAAAGGAAGGGGCTGCGGCAAAGCTACAAATGATCAACATCTCAGCAAAGCAATTGTTTAAACTACAGGTCTTTTCCAAAATGGAGTCTCTTGTGTCTTCCCCTTCTACATAGACACAGTGGCAGTCTGATCTCTCTTTCTTTACCCTACATCCAAGGGCTTGAACATTTCTTGACTTGTTGGCAATCCAAATCGTTACGTCTCCGAAACAGAGTTGACTGAGGGGACCGCAGGGCTGGGCAGGACCTTTGACTTCCTATACATCCACAGGAGCAAGAAAACCTCAGCCCCACTCTACCAACACGCACCTAGTAAAATTCCGCCAACCGAATCTCACGCACGCTAACACGTGGGGAGCGTTGCTTGCACCACGAGTCCCCATTTGGCTCAACCGCCGATGCCAAGTGTGTGGTTCCAGTTGCGACGGCCCCCCGTGAAGTGGCTTCCGGATGTGCGAATGAACCAGGCAGCGTTTCACTGGCCAAATAGACCCCAGCAAAGCTGAAGTTAACTCCCACATTTGGGATGTACTTCAGAGGTAAAACATTCATCCCATCTTCTTTCCGGATGTCTGACACCATGGTTCTCCCCCTGATCCTAAGAGTTGCTGAGGTAGAGACTCACTGAAAGATCTAGGCGGGGATATCCCATCATGCACAGGCTCTCTCCATTCTCTGACCTGGGAACAACTCTCAGCAGGATTCCACATCTAGGAGGCCTCGGAACTCAGTGGGATTTTCTGAGACACACCAACTGGCTGCTCCCTTTCCGCCGCTGTTGAGGGTCGTTATCTTGATTATCCAGATCACCTAGAAAGTATCCGTATCCAGAATGAATAAGATCAACTCTCTGCTCCTCTGACAGCAGAAGGAGCAGGACCATAAGGAACCAAAGAGCGTGGAAGGAAACGATGTGACAGGAAAGCTCAGAGAACGGCCACAGGGGGTCGTCAGCAGGCCTTCGAACCTGAATCATGAATAATTAATGAAGCGCAAATCAAAGGGGACTCGAGTTTCAGCAGGAGCAATTCATCCAACGGGAGATCGCCGGAGGGCCAACAAGATTGAGAGACTGGGAGCCGGGTGCAGTGTCAAAGGGGACGCGACTGGTTCCAAAGCTCGAGAAGACCATGGGGTCACTTGGGCTACATGAGAAAACGCCCCAGTGTGCTGGTTCATCATTCCGACTCCTGCCTGTCTCTTCCGGTTCAGGGAACATAGACCCTCACTTGTGTTATCCAGTTGTCGTTCTTTTTTTAGATACTTATGCAGTGATACACTACTGTAACTATTTTTTAAATTTATATTTAGGCCTCTCCTCATAAGATACATTAATCAAGAGCCTTTCCATTGTGTTTCAAAACACAGTAGCATCTCACTCTACACACCGGACATGCCTGGTTACTGTTTTATCCAACATGTTTGAAATCAGCATTGTGATTGCCTTTTTTTTTCTACACGAAGGAGATAGAAACTTGTCTGTCCTCCTCAAAGTTATGGCCCTGCCTTTATAAAAAAAATGCTGCCCAAATCATGAAATTTAGTGTACAGGTATATGAAATACAAACCAAAAATTGAAAACAAAACTTAGGAATGGCAAGTGGTAATGTAAACTTGATGAGCCAGAGCAGAAGCGTGTCTCACTTGGAAGCAATCACAGCAGTCACCACTATTTCATCCTATAATTTCAGTATTTATTGAAAAGCATTGGCCTGGGGAGTGTGGGGAACCTGAACAAAGACAAGGACTGGGTCACAGCACGGAGAAAATGGTGAAAATCTCAGGGCATACATACAGTGTCAAGCTTAGGAATTATTATCTATACATCAGACCAATGACTACATGGACACCAGCAATCAAGGGGCTGTGTTAGCCCTGGGAGTGAGCAGAGTTCTTCAGGTGAATTTTCACGCCACTGAAAGCATGCTGAAAGCAGAACCCTCGCGTTGAGGAGTAAGGGATTTGATTGAGTGTGGTTGCATTTAAGAGGTTGAATATGGAAGAGAAATTCTAAGGGACACTGTGTGCCAAGTGAAATGGGAGCACTTTATTTACACACCTTGCAGTTCTTCGTCTCCCTGCAGCATCTGGGATCCTCTGCTAGTGAGCACAATGGATCATGATGGGAAACAGAGAAGGGGAAGCAAGAGGTTCCTGGAACTACTCTCCCTCCACATTTTAGGGCATGCACTGACTAAGGATTTGGCCAATCTCTGATCTATCAATGTAAGTGGTGGATCTTGGCTACATCCCTTCTTGAAAACACATCTTCGTGCCCTGGTTGGAGAACTATGGTGAACCCTGTGGCAGACCTGAGTGCTGGACTTGGTGAAGGGTGCATAGGTCTGAGGGAGGAGTTGGGCAAAGTCTCCATCCTATACAGGCTGAAGCTGAGATTGGCTGGTCTAGGGAATCCCACTGGACTAGGTGTGGTTGGTAAAGGGTAGGGCACAGAGGAGAAAGTATGCAATGCGCAGTAGGATTATTGAAAGAGAAGCGCTGAGCCAAGCAACATGGTTTTCTTCGGATCTCATCAAGGGCTGGTGACATACGGGTTCTGCCTCCCCCTCTTCTGTAGGTGAGCGCGGCACATTGTCTCTTTCATGTCTGAGGTGTCTCTGTCTTGAACATGGAACTCCAAGGTGAAGTCATCCACAGAGTGCTAGATGTAATCGATCTGCAGAGGGAACTGCAGGCCATCCAGTGACCTCAGGACATGCTCAGGCACAACCACAAATACGCTGTTACCCAGGGTCAGGGCAGGGCTGTCTGTGGGGACAGGATGAGGACATACTCTTCCAGTCTCAGTGTGAGTTCTGTCCCTTGTTCCGGGACCACGATGATGAACGTCTCTGTGCTGGAATTCTGCTGCTGCTGTGGAACGACAGCCCTCAGTCCACTGCCTTCAAAAAAGACTGCAAATGATGCTCCTGGGGAGGGAGCTGGAGCAGCTTCACCCTCTACAACTTTAAAATACAAATTCCCTCCTAGAAGTGGCAGTCATGCTGACCCTGCTGAATGCACCACCACTGGATGTGTCTTGTGGCCTGGAGATTATGCAACATAGTCCAATCTTTGCTATCCATGAACATAGGGAGTTACCTGGGGTGATTCCAGGCCTGGAATGAATTCATGTGAGGAATTCTTTGAAGTAAGGGTGTTTCTGCATCTGTGGTGAGACCACAGTGAGGGAGGTTAAGGCTCCCCACCTTTTTTTCTTCTTTCTTTCTTTCCAGACACAGGAGATAATCAACAAAGACCAGGCTCCCTTTTAAATCCAATAAGAAACATTTTACAACCTACTCCCTCTCAAGTCTACTATCTGAAGGTTCCTCTGCACAGTAAAACTTGGCCTCCCCACCTCTTTATCTTAACCTAAACATTTCCTTTCAATAGATCCCTGGTCTTAGATAAACTCATCCAATTATCAACCAGATAATTTTTAAATCTATCTATAAGCTGGAAGCCCCCCTCCTTCAAGTTGTCCCACTTTTCTGGATCAAATCAACGTATTTCTTAAATGCACTTAGTTGAAGTCATGTCTCCCTAAAATGCATAAAACCAAGCTGCACCCTGATCACCTTGGACACACGTTCTCAGAACCTCCTGAGGGCTGGGTCACACGACATGGTCAATCATATTTGGCTCAGAATAAATATCTCCAAATATTTTGCAGAGTATGACTCTTTTCCTCAACAAGGTCATGATGATTAGGGTCAAAATTCACCGATATGAAGGACAGCCCCAATTTCTTGACTCAGAGAAATAAAGCAAGAGAAAACACATGGAGGAGGAGGAGGAGGAGGAGGAGAAGAACCTGGAGCTCCCGCCTGCCCCTGGGTGAGTCCTGGAGGTGGAAGGAGAGGTACTTGATCCTGAGTTGGCCCCTGCTCCACCTGAAACAGAACCCTGGAGTGCCACTCCCTGAATGCGGCCCAGCTCTACCCAGGTTAGACACTCCCTTGCCCTAGAGCCTGGGTCCTCCCTGGCCCCCGCTACCACTGCTTCCTCAGAGCCCAGGCCCAGTGCACCACATCTGCCTCTGCACGGCTCTGGGAGGGCTGCACCAAGGACAATCTAGTCTCAGAGGGGACTTCCTGGACACAGGCGGGTCCTGACACCCTGAGGGAACAGAGGAGAATGGCCTTCACAGGGGCTGCTGTCTTGGGGCTCACAGAAGCCGCCTCTCCAGCGACCAGACTCAGAACCTACCCAGAGGCCCAGGCTGGTGAGGATGCCCTGGCTGGGCCTTTCATGTGGATGAAGGCAGTTCCCACCTCAGCCAACGTCTAAAACCCCGAGGAGAATCAAACCTGAAAGAGTCCCTGTCCTCCTTCCCAGAGGGGAAAGGCAGTTCCTGAAACCTCAGTAGAAGAGAAAATGCTGTGAGGGTTCAAGGGACCAAGGACGCCCTTCCCAGGCCAGCAAGGCCAGAGTAGGAGGAAGCTGCACCCACCTCCAGGGGACATGTGAGGTTTTAGAGGCTCAGGCAAGTCAAGGGCAAACGCCCTGTACTCCCCGCAGGGTCATGAGCACTCCCCACCTACTGGAGTTGGGCTCCAGAAGGCCAGGACATTATCCCTGCATCTCCCCTGCCTCCAGGACTCAGGCCTGAGCTCCCAGGTTGGCCAGGAAAAGCTAGTGGTAGCTCTAGCTGGCCATGGACATACAGGCTGGGACATGCAGGCCAACAAAGAGGTGCTGGGCCCTCAAGAGAACTTCTAGACTTCCTAGACACTCCAGAGACACAGAGACGTCCAGGCAGGACAGGGAGAGCCTGGAAGCAGCTGTGAGCAAGTGCAGGTGCCCGTCCCAACACACAGAGCTAAGCTCTGTTCAACCATTTGCTAAGCCAGACCCATCCCAGGGCCCAGAGGTGCAAACAGTGACCCCACTCAGGACTTGGAAGGAGGAGCACAGGAAAAGCCCCAAATTGGCCAAAAAAACTGTCAGAAATGTGGCAGTTATTTCATAAGTACATGAATAATAAACCCAAACAATGGAAAACAAAACTAAACAAAGGCAAATGTGAATGGAAACGTGATGAGTGAGAGCAGGAGACTGTCTCAGTTGGAAGCAAGCACAGCAGTCACCACTACTTCATTCAATGACGTCAAGATTTATTCAAAAGCATTGGCCTGGGGAGTGTAGGGAACCTGGACTAAGACAAGGAATGGGGCACAGCTTGGAGAAAAAGGGGAGAGTCTCAGGGCAGAAATAGAGCACCAGCCTTAGGAATTATTTATTGTGGCATCAGACCAATGACTACAAGGACATCAGCATGCAAGGGGCGGTGTTAGCCCCCGGGAGTGAGCAGCTGTCTTCAGATGAACTTTCAGACCACGTCATGCTGGAAGCAGAACTCTCACATGGAGCAGTCAGGGATTTGATTGAGTGTGGTTGGATGTATGTGCTTAAATAGGAAGAGAAAGTCTAAGGGACAGTGTGTGTGAAGTGAAATGTGAATGTTTTATTTGAACTCCCTGCAGTTCTCCCCCTCCCTGCAGCATCTGGGACCCTCCGCTGTTGAAGACAGTGGTTGATGATGGGGAACAGCAAAGGGCAAGCAAGTGGTCAAATTACTTTCTCTCCACATTTCAGAGAATGCACTGACTAAGGATCTGGACAATCTCTGACCTATCAATGCAGGGGGTGGCTCTTGGGTTAAATCACTTCCTAAAGAGACATCTCCGTGCCCTGCTGGGAGGCCTATGGTGAACCTGTGATAGACCTGGGGACCAGGACTTGGTGAAGGGGGCATAGGTCTGAGGGAGGAGGTGCACAAGAGCTCCATACCATGCAGGCTGAAACTGGAGTCGGCTGGTCTAGGGCGTCCCACGGGACTAGGTGTGGGTGGTAGAGGGTAGCATTGGGGGAAGGCTGCCCGACAGCGTGGAATGCACAATGGGGTTACTAGGAAAGAAGGGCTGATCCCAGCCATGTGGTTTGCTTGGGGTATCATCAAGGGCTGCTGATACAGGGGTGCTGCCTTCCCTTCTTCTGCAGGTGAAAAAGGCACATTCTCTCTTCTCATGTCTGAGATGTCTCCATCTTGAGCATGGAACTCCAAGCTGAAGTCATCAACGGAAGGTATGATGTACTGGATCTGCACAGGGGACTGCAGGCCATCTTCTGACCTCAGGACATGCTCAGGGACAATCACAAGGACTGTGTTCTCCAGGGTCAGCTGCAGCACTGTCTCTGGGGCCAAGATGAGGATGACCTCTTCCAGGCTCAACCTCACTTCTGTCCCTTGTTCCAGGACTATCATGAGCTCCTCAGTGCCAGAATCCTGCTGCTTCTGTGGAAAGACAGTCCTCAGTATTCTGCCCTCCAAAAAGGCTGCAAATGATGCTCATGGGGAGGGAGATGCCAGGAGCTTCACCCTTTACAACTTTAAAATACAAACTCCCTCCCAGAATTGGTGCTCATGCCAATCCACCTAAATATACATCCACTGGATGTCCCTTGAACCTGAAGATTGTGCAGCACTATCCAATCTTTGCTATGCAAGGACACAGGAACTTACCTGGGGAAGTTCCAGGGACTGGTATGAATTCAGGTGTGGAGCTCCTGAAATTGAGGGTTTTTTTGCACCTGCAGAGAGACCACAGTGAGGGAGGTTAAGGCTCTCTTCCAGCAAGAGTCTCTTGCATTTCAGAATGTGACCTTCAGAAATCCACCACCCAGCACTGGCCAGCCTCAGGACACCAGCCCCCAACAGTCAAGCATGACTTTCCACTCACCCTGCAGAAAGCACCCTCTCCATTTATGGTATCATGAGACATGACACTGACTTCCAGGCATGGGAATCTTAAAAAATATTAGGGAAAGTGCCTTACCTGTACTGGGACCCTGCTCCACTTGGCGACGTTTGGGTGGATTCATTTGTGTGGTAGCCAAACTGCAGGACAGAAAGGGACCCATCAATCTTCCACATAGTGACACAAAGTCCAATTCTCACAAGCCCCAAACTTCATTAGTCATCCGGCACACATTGCTGCTGTGGCCCAAAATCACATGCACTTGTGTTCAGCTCCAAATCCTACCTGCATCCAGAAAGTCCTAACACTCATATCCCACCCTCTCCTTTTCTAGAGGCTTTTCCTATCGGTGCATGTGTGTGATAAGACATGGCGATCACAGGAAACAGTTTGCTTTTTCAGGAGCTCATCCACATGAGAAGGAGGGACATCAAATTTGGCCCGAGGACTTTAGGAGAAGATGCTGATTTTCCGGGTATCTAACCCCTGTGTCTATGCAGTTACAGTGTGAATGGAGTGATAAATGACATGAAATGTTCCATTTTCTAGTGAGCACAAGGAAAAAATTTAGATCATGCCCACAGTTTACCTGTCTCCACACAAGAGGCAACTTCTGTTTACCCAGAGGACAGAGATTAACAATGGGAAGAAACATGAGATGAGCCCCCTGACAGGCTGCAGAAACCCCCCATGCTGGCTGCATCCTGTGGCCTCCACTGTGGGTCTCATGTCTCCCCAGTGTGTTCTAAATTTATAACATTCAATGTCATGGCAGGCCAGGGTGTCTTCTCTGCCCTAGTTTGGCCCTTTAGCATACATTCACACACACACACACACATACAGTCACACACAGTCACATGTCAACCTCCTGGCAACCCAAAGTAGCCACATACTCCAACATACCTGGTCTCTCCTTCATTGTCATTCTGCGGTTCTGTCTGGGAATCTCTGGGGCTTCTTAAGCGCCGGTAACCATACATGGTAAAAGTTCTCTGGACTTGCTTGTGTCAAAAAAATCTCAATCTTTGGCCTATT
The DNA here is from genome assembly GCF_000001405.40 of Homo sapiens. Classification (NCBI taxonomy): domain Eukaryota; kingdom Metazoa; phylum Chordata; class Mammalia; order Primates; family Hominidae; genus Homo; species Homo sapiens. Next base: position 5,378,515 of record NW_018654717.1, read on the forward strand.
TTCTGTAAATCTATATAGTTCGTGCCTTGATCTTTTACTCTACCTGGAGAAAAATTATCAGCCTCTAGCACAGCACAGCCAGAGCATGGAAGAGTGTGTCCTGGCCTGGGACCGGTCAAATGGTGCTTTGGTAGAGTGAGCTCTTGGGGAAATCCTCCAAGGGTCTTATAAGAGGTGGAGCCATGGGATTTGTCAAAATGGATGAATGTGATTGGCTAGTGGTGCTGATTAAACAACATGAAGGGCCAGCATGGGAGTGGTTTTATCAAAACTCAGTCAATATGAGTGTTACCCAGTCAGAATTAGCCTAATTCAATCAAAATTAATTCAAGAGCTCTACTCTGATTCACCATATAATTGTGACATAAAATAACAGTATTTTAAACTAGCAATATTTACTTTCTATTGTAGTCTGTTCATTAATTTGGTAGGACAGTTATTTTCTGTAAAGTTCATGTGTACGTCGTTTCTTAGTAAACATAAAGGATTGGGTCTAGGAAACTTTAAATATGCCACAATTTGTATATACTCAAGTCCCTTGTATAAAACGGCGTAGAATTTGAATATAACATAATCACATTAATTTATATAATTTAAATGATCTCTAGATTACTTACAATACTTAATGCAATGCCCAGACGTCACGTCATTTATGTGAACTCAAAAAGAATGTGATGCATGGAAAATTTAAAGTTTCTTTGAAGAAACTTGTGCAAATCTTTTGTGAATATTTTCTATTCAAGATTAGTTGGATCCATGAATATGGAACCTATGGATGTGGAGGGCTGACAGTATTTTTAAATAAAAAAAAATACGTTATTTTAAGTGAATTAAGTTTTAAAATGAATCTCCTGGGGAAAGTTATCCAAACAGAAGAAGCGAATACTATAAGACAAGCTGGGGAAAATACAAAAAGAACCTTTACTTAATTTCTAATATATCATTGTGTATTAATCTGTCTGTTAATTTATTTCTTGCCTGTATCCCCGCTGGACTAATTTCAGAATTGTAATGCAAGTTTTGCTTTCAACATTACTTATTAATTACAAATCCATCATTCTTATTGGCAAAGTCACCTAAACTTCTTGCAGGTGGCCAGACACCATATGCCTGAACTCAGAATTAGTCATTTTAAGATTAAAAATTATTTGACAGTATAAAGAATAATAGATGGTATTGGGGGAAAACAGTAATCCAGTAATCACTAGAACTGAACTAGAAGGAAAATCTGTGAGGGTGCACCATTACTGAGCGTGCCATCTCTAACAGGCCCCTGAGCTCAGGGCTTCATCCTCTCTCTAGAACTTGTATAAATTTGTTTGTGGATTCTCTTTGCATTTAGCTGATAATTTCATCAGTTTTATTAGGTGAAGTATAGACCCTGTTTCCCTTAAATGTTAAAAAAAAAATTGAATCTAATTAGCAGATGCCTTTTGCACTGAAGCTTTCTTCTCCAGTTAGATAAATCATTTAGATGAATAAAAGGAAAACAGGAAGATTCCTTTAATTTTGCCAATGTCTTAAAAGCCTCCAAGGGGAACATTAGTGCCTTTATCCAGAGAACTCTCTGCTTTGGGGATTTTGATAATTTCTGAGGAGAACAGCAGGTAATTAGCTGAATATCAGCTGCAGTTATAAAATTGGATTAATTGCCTACATTCTTTCTGGCTGCGGGGTTCAGGTTGAGATATTCAAGAAATAGCCTCTATTGATGATTCTGGAGTATGTATATTTTACAGTCAAGAAAGAGAAAGGCTCCTCATGGTGAGTTTCTGTGTGTCACGTCTAGCTGAAAACCTATGGACTGCAAACCAGTACAAGAATAAAAATATGAGGGACGTGCCAAATATATATTCTACCTTTATAATCGCTTTGATTATAAACCAAATGTTTTAATAGATAAATTAATAAATTTGCAGCATAAATGTCTCAGGATATATCCTGCAGCACAGAATAATAACTTATTTTTGAAGAAATATTTAAGCAATATGTTTTCATTTGGGGTAGAAACTATTTTTCACAAAAGTGTAGCTTTCCCCTTGCATGTGTAATGAAAATCACTTTTAAATCTGCAGTGCTAGGGTAAAATTAAAGACGTGGCTCTTGCCGTTTTAATAGCAACAATTAAAGGATGCATTAGTGCCCCTCCCTTTCATTGTCTCACTATTTTTCAGTGAATTTGGCACTGTAGGAAAGATGAGCCCCTCACAATGTGGAAATGCAGGGATGCAGAGTGCGGGGTTTCCCTGCAGGGGCCCCTTTCTCGCGAGCTGCGCGACAGTGCGCCGCCGTGCCCCGGCCACATACTCCTTCCTGTGCAGGGTCCCTGTATTCTGTAGATTTTCCTCACAATTCTTCTTGTGTTTCTCCTCATAATCAATCCTGACAGAGGTTGCGAGGAAGGCACATTACGGCCTGCTATGGTTATCAATGAAAATCCCTAAGGAATACGTAGATTTGTAAAATAATTCTTGCTAATATATCCCAACAGACAGTGCAGAAGAAAACACGTAGGAACAGCCCAGAACATTAAGTCTTTAGTGCTGTTTCAGAAAAATATCCGGGAGACGCGCAGGGAATCTCACTCCTCAGCAGGTAGGGCTGTGAACAGCAGCGTTTTCCTTAAGATGGATGCAGCCCCATTTGCCCCAAAGCCAGGGCGGCGCCTCCTCCTCCCTGGCCTGAGGAAGGGAAGTTCCCTTCTTCCTTGGCGATCTGGCCCCGCTTCCGCAAGCAGAATGCGCATGCGCCCCGCACGACCAGAAAGCGAGTTCCATTGCCCTCTGCCGGCTATGGGCTTGCAGCGCGGGACTCTTGGCCTTCACTGTTTAGCGGTTGACCTGCGTCTGTATCGCTGAAATTCCGGTTTTATCAGTACCTTCCTTTTGGAAGATCAAATGCAAATGGAGCACGGTATCTTTTTTCTTTTTCTTTTTTTTTTATGAAAGAGGGTGGAAATAAAGAAGCAAAGTCCAAAGACCGTATAAAGTAGTCTGTTGATTCCCTGTATGTGGAGGAAAGAGGAGCTCGAATAAGAGAAACATTCTGTGTGATGCTTTAATGCCAGAGATCTGCCACTATGCATTTGTCAAATACAATACAATTTTACAGCACAAATAGTACATCTTAGTGGGTCAGGATTACAGCAAATGACATCTAAAATTTGGAGAACATTACATATTTAATTAAATAGGTCAAAGTATAAATAATGTGAGGCCTGCCTGGACACAGTCTCTGCCTGTCCTTCCAGATTGTCATGGGCTTGAATTGATGTCTCCTCATCCTCACACAGGAATTGACATAAACCCTGGCTTTAACGTAAAAACAGTTGGGCAGATTTGTAAACATTATGATGTTTCACTTTCACCCATGAATTAGCCAATTTAATTGGCCTCAGTAAAGTCTATGATTTTGGGATTGTGCAGTTTGGTAAAAGCTCAAAGTCCTCTCAGTATATTTCCTGGGACCACTTCTCCTTGATATTTAGATTCAGTACTGAGATTTGTTGAAGCACAATATGTATCCAAGCCCGAGTCAAAGCAGAGGATGCCTGCTGGTCAGAAGATTCATTTTGCTTGTGGAAAAGTCCATTGCATTTGATATAAAAGGGCTTGCATGGTGACTGAGAAGTTAGGGTGTTTTAGTTTGCTGGTGCTTTATCTGCTAGGCTATAGTAAGGGGAGCAATGCTGTGTCCTTCTCTGTGTCATAACGCAATTACTCACTTGAATGAAAAGTGGGATGTCATGAGATGAATTCCTTTTCCCTCTTTGGGAGGCTTTAGGAACAAAATCTCAAGAGTTTTCTGAGGGATACAAGAGCAGGGCTGCCTGACTCTCTGCCCCGGGAGCTGTTCATGGGCAGAGACGAGGGCTGGGGTCATCCAATGGTTTATACAAGGTGTCTTTGATATTACTCCCATTTCCCTGCTAAATCTGTGTAATGGCTCATTGAGAAACCCGGCATGAAGATCCCTGTTTTGACAACTCCAGGGATGGATGGAGACAAATATTTTTGTTGGAAGTTAGAATTAGGGGACATGGGCTGTGCGGCAAAAATAAAAAACTCTTGAAGAAGGCAGGGACTCGAAGAAAGGGGTGGAATTTCTGCCCACATGCCAAAGAGTGCAGAAGGAATTCTAAGTGTTAGAGCAGCATCAGTAAAACTAGATCTTGTACAACATATTACATTTTTCAGGAACAGGCTATATTGTTTCAATATTTGCAAGTATTGTTCTCTTAAAAAACTTGAGGAGTTGCTTAGACCTCTGGAGAGAAAAATTGAGACATGTAAGAGGGCAGGAGTGACACAGTGGTGACACACTCTGGAGTCCTGCCTACAAGCAGCACCCTTTGACCCACTCCACAAAAGCTCTATTCCACAGCTCAATTCCTCCTTAAAAAAAAGGTGAGAAAAAAATCTAAAACTTAGGAGAAAACAAGGAGAATGACCCACTTTCAAGCACTTCTTAGATTTTACGACAACTCTACTAGCCAGACTTTATGTAAAATGGAAGTAACGTGGTCTTTGTGCACATTTAAAAAAAAAAAAAAAAAAGCCCTAAGGTCGACCTGCAAGTTATAGATTTCCTAAGGTCTCTTTTTCTCTCTTTTCTTTTCTGCCTGCTTTATATCAGCTGTTACATTATGACTGAGATAAAAGCCACTGTTTGGATATAACAGGGTTTTGTTTGTCTGTTTGTTCGTTTTTCAAGCCAGTTTCATATCATTCCTAAAGTTCTCAACCAAAAGCTACAGGATTTTCTTTTCTGTGCAAATATGTGCATGTATATATTTAAAAGGCTTTTATGATTTCTATAATTTTATGTTATGTAGCAGTTACATCCATTTTAATTTCTGTCTAGCACAACAGACTATTTCGCTGTGTTCCTCAGATGTAAGTTTCCTATCTGATTTTCACCTATGAATTGTTTCCTTTGATATGCAGAGTAAGGCTATTTAGCTGACAGCTACCTAAGGTAGTCAAACAGGTTATCAAGAATTTGAAAACCTAAGACAGGAAAAAATAGGATCTTATGAATCTATAAGATGTACATCTATTGGCATGCCTAATACATCTATGTATTTATGTGTTGTGTACACAATGTTTCACTATTAAAAATATATACAAGAGCTCTAATTGGCTTTAAAAATAAAAGCACATAAATCAGATACTTAATCAAATAAAAGACTACACAAATGCTTTTTAAGGTCACTTGACTTAAAATATTTAATAAATGAGCTGGCTTTAAAATTATGGGTAAAGTAAAATTAGAAATGTCGTAAAAATTGTTAGCATTTTTGTTTTGTGTTTATTGATCAAGTAATTCCATGCTTAATCCTGCAGAATAATATAAGATTAACCATAAGGGTTATAAAATTATGAAAGCCAGACCAAGACAAAATGATCTTTGCTTGTGTAATTTTAGACAAGAAAGACATGGAATATTCTTTTAATGAAATCCTAAATTATTTGTAAAAATACTCTTATATTTAACTTTAGGTTTCCTATGTAAGTAAACACCTAAAATGCACAGCTATAAAAAAGGGTAACAGGGAAATAACTTACAGAAGGACTGTTACAGTTTTGGTCAATAATCTAGGTAAACTATTGAATAATGTAATCAGGGAAATGTGATGGAATAAATGCTTGTAAACAAACTTGTCATATAATTTAGGATCTAAGGTTATTCATAAATATTGAGTATACAGGTAATTCAAAACTTAAAAATTATAAAAAATTTTTAAGTGTTCTTATTAAAATGTAAATATCTTTGTGTAACTGACAGCCTACTTAAATGTTATGTATAAAAAGAACCAGAAAAAAAGAAATGTAAAAAAATTTAAAGTGGTACCTTTTTATAGAGAAGGGATAAAGGAAAATAATTTTATATCAGAAAGAATCTTGTGTAGTAAATTTTTGCCCTAGAATAAAATGACTGGGTCATTCAAGAAAGAGGAATATTTAGGAAAAAACAGAAAGTCTAAACATGTTTTGAGTGGTCTATGTAAGTCATAACAGGGTTAGTAAAAATATATTTTTTTAAAGGGGTTGTATAATTCAGTTGGCTACCATTAAAAAGGAATTATAATAGTCTTTCTAGGGATGGATCTTCGATATTTAAAAATATACACTAATGTAAAACTGAAATAATTGGTTAAAACAAGATTTTTATTAAAAATATTAACTTATTACTAATGCAAAAAGTTATTAAATTTTAAATTCTAGAATCTGTCTCTTTGAAATTCTTCAGATAAAATAGGTCAAAACTTCAGCTCTTCCTCTTTGAAAGGGCCATGGATGATAGCTCTCTCCTTCACCTTTTGTTGGCTCCTGTAACTTTTATTAATTATCTAAAGTAAGAAAGGGAATTTTTTTAAAAAAACAGTCAAATGAAATATCCTTTGGACCTGCCTTTTTATTCCGCATGAGTGTTATATCTCTATCTTTATATGTGTCATGTGGAAGTGGTATTTAACTCCCAAACTACATGAAAGAGCTCTAGACAAGTAACTTTTCTTAAAGAAATGTAGCTGCTTGTTAGACTGGTACAAGCTATCTCAAATGCCCTTTTAATTTTCATAACCTTAAGAATCTTTGGTAAAATTAATGTGGTAAATTCCATCTCAAAACTCTCCAGTAATTTAAAAGCTTCAAGTCATGTTAAAATCTCAGGTTAGGTTATTTTTCACTGGAAATTTGGATTGCTGAAAGTTAAAATAGCAAGAGCATAAAATTTGTTTTTGGTGAATTTTATAAAGCATAAAAATGTTGACTTTGCTTAAAAAAGAAAATATATTTTTCCTCTAGCTAGAAAACTATTTAAGAGTTGCTTTAAAATGAAAGGAAAAATTATACGGATATAACTAAATAAAAAGAGTAATTAAGCTAGGGCAACAAAAGTTAACTCTGAGACCCGTGGCTACCAAAATGATAGTCAATCAATGTGGGGGAAGAGCAAAACTAACTATTTAGAACCAGAGGGTATACTGTAAAGAATTGTTCCATTTTGTAGTTTAGTATCATCAGCTTCTTTAAAAAATCCTTACTATGATGGATTGAGAAAAAACACTTTAAGGACAAGATTCTTAATTTTAAATGTTACACGATTTAAGAGCTTGTTTGGGTTAATGCAGGACCCACAGTTCACTATTGAACAACCACTAACATGTGATCCAAATACCCAGGAGGTTATTCCTAAGAGAATAATCATCATAATATACCCAGAAAATGCCACCATAAAGTCTGTTTTCTCTGAGTAGGGGACTACCTAACTCTCCCAATAAAATACCAAGTGAAACACCCCAGATGGAGCAGTTAATATGCTTCTTATGTGAACCATGTTGGACTGGCTTAATAATGACTGGGATATGCTCCCACCAAACTGTCTGTTACCCAGGTTATGTTAAATTTGGGTGCTAAGAGGGCCCCTTTTACATGGATGCTCCTCCCACAAAATCATGAGAGTGTTTGAGGAGTCGTATCAAATTTGCTGCCCCTTAGAGGTCTTACAGATGCAACTCCCTGCTGAGAAACCAAACCCTTTTTCAATAGAAAAGGTAAAATGATTTGGGGGTATTAAAAAAAAATTCTGGGACCAGAACATATAAACATACAGGTTAATAGAGTTATGAAATTTAAAATGTTTAAACAGGTTTTATGTAAGGTAGTTGTAACCTCCTTTACTACCTGGGAGAGGTTTCCCCTTTCTAGTAGTATAAAACTGAAGGCATATAAATCTGCTCTTTTGAGAAATGTTAATTGGACATGCCAAATGGGAACTAGTAAGACTGCCTAAGCCCACAAAGTATAGGGTAGAAGCTGGAGTGCTAGTCGGGACAAATCCTGCACTTCATAGCCCTTTGTGTAACATTTATTGGGGCTGATGGCAAAAAAAAAAAAAAAACTGTGAGTTCTTCCTGATGACAAAGATAGAACAAGGGAATTTCTAGCTCAGGGACATTTAGTACCTTACTATGGAATGCTAACTGAACCAACTTCTATGATAGTGGAAATAATGTTGCCCCAAAAGAGTTTCGTGATAAAATAAAAATGGTTTACATAGAATCTTGCTACATGAGGATATAAGGAGGAGATACTAATAAGCAGGCAGCCTCATTCCTAGGACTAATTCTAACTCTGTGAGGAGCTGCTAGATTGCATAGTGCCTGATAGACAGCTCTCAGGAGCGGTTTGGCTTGTGCATGACATTTCCAAGATGATAAACAAACATCTTGTGTGAAAGCCACTGCTCTTGTTAAAGGAGGGTCCAGACAATCTTTTTCTTTAATTCATTTTGATGAAGTTTGTTTTTGTAAGCAAATTATCTTTCTGAGTTCTCCAAAATTCAGATCCTAATTTTATGACAATATGGTTGTTTGCATAAGTTTCAATAAGAGTCTTTAAAACAATTAGAGACTTGAACTAAAGTGGTATATTTTTAGGTAAGGTGCCAGCAAAGCCAACTTAAAATGAGTCTATGTGGCCAATCAATTCTTGCTGCATTTTAAGCAAATAATCCGGCCAACCATGATAAGACTAAAACTTACTTGGCACACAAACTGGTCTTACTATAATCTCTAAAAAAAATGCAGATAGAACAATTGTTTAAAAGGAAAAGCTTAAGGATTAGTACTAGATTTCAGTCCTAACTCTTTTTAAGTGCAGATTAAATCATTATTTCTTTGCTATAATAATCCTCTAGAGAGTACCAGATCATAATTTATCTCCATATTTTTAGCTGGTTCCCTAATGAAGTAGGTTCCTTTTTCCATTCTGACACACAAATAATCTTTTGATTGTGAAACTATAAATGTTATTTACCTCTCCTTGTTTTACTTCCAAGGAAACCAAAATTACGGTATTCTGAAGACTAGAGATATGAATCCCCCTCAGCTGACATCCCACTGGGTTCAGATCTGTATTTCACCGCGAATCTTCTGATGCTAAAACTATACAAGCACCCTCTCTCTAGGCTCAGGGACTGTCTTGGAAGAGGCAGGCACATGAGATTGTAAGAGCTAGTTTTGGGCATGAACTTAGGTCCATGTCAAACTCTCCAAATCAAGGAGGGGTACAAAGATGGTACAGCCGGCAAAACAAGGGACATTTCCTTCTAGACTATAGTGTGTCACTTTTGCATCCACCCCAACCATAAACAATTTTCTGCTTCTCATAGATTTAAAAGAAAATATTTACTGATAGGATAAAGATGCCTTATGACAAAGCCTCTTGGTATAATACTCCCAAGTATAAATTGCACATATAGTTTCAAATTGTGCTAATGCCATTAGTATACAATGGCAACAGCAATCCTGATGAATCCAGCAAAATTCGCCACCCAGAAATTAAAACTTGACCTCACTGGAAAAGTTGGAGCTGGCCTAGGTATATTGGTGTAAGCTGAGTTCATAGCTAACGAGGAGAGGCATCTCTTAGAGAAAAGTTTTCTGTCAAAAATAGCCCACATAGAAGGAATGTTATTCCAGGAAGATGGAAAAGGATGGGAAGCTCCTTTAAAAAATAATGCAACACTCATCAAATGGATAGGAGAAACCAAACAAAACATAAAAACATACTCTCAAACCCGAAGGTGGCAATGAGCATGTTCTGTAACCCAACAGGGGCTCATGTCTATTTCATTACAAACACAATCTAAGGTGGCTATGAAGCAATGGCCTATACTCATCTGTGCCGAGGCACAATCCAAACACCTGTGGAAAATACACGGCCCCCCAAACATATGGAAAATTTCGGATGGTAAATGTGACCTTAAACATGGTATTCTCAGAGCATAGGCACCAAAGTTAAATGAGGCTCAAAGGTATTCTGTGGTTCAACTGGCAGGCATTGTAAACAATACAGAAATACTCCCCTGGGGAAATAGGTGGACTATTTCAGCTCATGATAACACATGGCGTCCCATCTCCTTTTCAGATTGTGAAAACAGAAAAGGGGAATGGTTATGCCCTCAGTCCACTTAGAACCCTAATTTTCCCCAACTTAGCCCCTAATATCCACTCCCATAGCACATAACATTTGTTATATGGGAAAGGGCCATTTCTGTGGGAAAGGACAACAAAATGAAAGTATAGAATCATATGACTTCTCCTTTAAAGAACATTGTTTTCTCTCCCAAACACATACCAGTATATAGTGCAATACAAGTGGTGTGAAAAATAGGTGTGTCTACTGTTAACAAATCCTGTAACAATTTAGATATAGAACACCAGGCATTTGTTGCACTTGATTTATACCCTCGTCAGGATGTTATACCTATGGAGACCAATTGGCCCGAAGTAAACGAAGCTGCACCCTTACTACCTTGGGCACATGTTCTGAGGACCTCCTGAGGGCTCTTCAATATATTGCAGAGTTTGACTGCTTTACTCAACAAGGTACTGGGGATTAGGGTAGAAATACACCGATGTGAAGGACGGCGCCATTTCTCAACTCACAGAAATAAAAGAAGAGAAAACACCTGGAGAAGGAGGAGGAGAAGGGGGAGGGGAAAGGCGAGAGGAGGGGGAAGGGAAGGGGAGGGGAGGAGTGGAGGAGGAGGAGGAGGAGGAGGAGAAGGAGGAGGAGGAGGAGGAGGAGGAGGAGCAGCTGCTGAGCCTGGAGCTCCCGCCAGCCCCGGGGTGAGTCCTTGAGGTGGAAGAAGAGGGACTTGGTCCTGAGCCTGCCCCGGATCCACCCGCACCAGAACCCTAGAATCCCAGTTTCTGGATGGGACCCAGTCCCACCCAGGCCAGACACTCCCTTGACCCGGAGCCCGGGCCCTGCCTGGCCTCTGCTGCCACCTCTCATGACAGAGTCCAGGGCCCCCGCGCCACCTCCGCATCAGCAGGGCTCTGGGAGGGCGGGGCCAAAGACGCCCAATGGGACTTCCCGTCCGTAGGGGGATCCTGACGCCCTAAGGGCGCAGAAAGGCGCCGCCTGCACTGGGGCGGCCATCTTCGCTCTCGCAGAGGAAGGGGCCTCTCCAGCGCCCAGACTCAAAACCTCCCCGGAGGCCCGGGCTGGTGAGGACGCCCTGGCTGGGCCTCTCATGTGGACGAAGGCTGCTTCCGCCCCAGCCGAGATACAAAACTCTGAGGAGAATCAAACCTGAAAAGGTGCCTGTCCTCCTTCCCAGAGGGGAAAGGCAGTTCCTGAAACCTCAGTAGAAGAGAAAACGCTGTGAGGGCTCGGGGGACCAAGGACACTCTTCCCAGGCCAGCAAGGCCAGAGTAGGAGAAAGCTGCACCCACCTCCAGGGAACATGTGAGGTTTTAGAGGGTCAGGCAAGTCAAGGGCAAACGCCCCGTACTCCCCCCGGGGACATGAGCACTCCCCACCTACTGGGGTTGGGCTCAGGGAGGCCAGGACATTATCCCCGCATCTCCCCTGCCTCCAGGACCCAGGTTGACTAGGAAAAGGTGGTGGTAGCTCTAGCTGGCCATGGATGCACAGGCTGGGACATGCAGGCCAACAAAGAGGTGCTGGGCCCTCAAGGGGACTGCTAGATTTCCTAGACACTCCAGAGACACAGGGACACCCAGGCAGGACAGGGAGAGCCTGGGAGCAGCTGTGAACAAGCGCAGGTGCCCATCCGAACACACAGAGCCAAGCTCTGTTCAATCACTTGCTAAGCCAGACCCATCCCAGGGCCCAGAGGTGCAAACAGTGACCCCACTCAGGACTTGGAAGGAGGAGCACAGGAAAAGCCCCAAATTGGCCAAAAAAACTGTCAGAAATGTGGCAGTTATTTCATAAGCACGTGAATAATAAACCCAAACAATGGAAAACAAAACTAAACAAAGGCAAGTGTGAATGGAAACGTGATGAGTGAGAGCAGGAGACTGTCTCAGTTGGAAGCAAGCACAGCAGTCACCACTACTTCATTCAATGACGTCAAGATTTATTCAAAAGCATTGGCCTGGGGAGTGTAGGGAACCTGGACTAAAACAAGGAATGGGGCACAGCTTGGAGAAAAAGGGGAGAGTCTCAGGGCAGAAATAGAGCACCAGCCTTAGGAATTATTTATTGTGGCATCAGACCAATGACTACAAGGACATCAGCATGCAAGGGGCGGTGTTAGCCCTGGGAGTGAGCAGCTGTCTTCAGATGAATTTTCAGGCCACATCATGCTGGAAGCAGAACTCTCACATGGAGCAGTCAGGGATTCGATTGAGTGTGGTTGGATGTATGTGGTTAAATAGGAAGAGAAAGTCTAAGGGACATTGTGTGTGAAGTGAAATGTGAATGTTTTATTTGAACTCCCTGCGGTTCTCCCCCTCCCTGCAGCATCTGGAGCCCTCTGCTGTTGAAGACAGTGGGTGTTGATGGGAAACAGCAAAGGGGAAGCAAGCGGTCCTTGGAATTACTTTCTCTCCACATTTCAGGGAATGCACTGACTAAGGACTTGGACAATCTCTGACCTATCAATGCAGGGGGTGACTCTTGGTTAAATCACTTCCTAAAGAGACATCTCTGTGCCCTGCTGGGAGGCCTATGGTGAACCCTGTGATAGATCTGGGGACCAGGAGTTGGTGAAGGGGGCATACGGCTGAGGGAGGAGGTGCACAGTAGCTCCATACCATGCAGGCTGAAACTGGAGTTGGCTGGTCTAGGGCGTCCCATGGGACTAGATGTGGGTGGTAGAGGGTAGCGTTGGGGGAAGGCTGCCAGACAGCATGGAATGCACAATGGGGTTACTAGAAGAAAAGGGCTGATCCCAGCTTTGTGGTTTGCTGGGGATATCATCAAGGGCTGGTGATATAGGGGTGCTGCCTCCCCTTCTTCTGCAGGTGAAAGAGGCACATTCTCTCCTTTCATGTCTGAGATGTCTCCATCTTGAGCATGGCACTCCAAGCTGAAGTCATCAATGGAAGGCATGATGTACTGGATCTGCACAGGGGACTGCAGGCCATCTTGTGACCTCAGGATATGCCAGGAACAATCACAAGGACTGTGTTCTCCACGGTCAGCTGCAGCGCTGTCTCTGGGGCCAAGATGAGGATGACCTCTTCCAGGCTCAACCTCACTTCTGTCCCTTGTTCTAGGACTATGATGAGCTCCTCATTGCTGGAATCCTGCTGCTCCCGTGAAAAGATGGCCGTCAGTATTCTCCAAAAAGGCTGCAAATGATGCTGATGCGGAGGGAGTTGCCAGGAGCTTCACCCTCTACAAGTTTAAAATACACTCCCTCCCAGAATTGACTCTCATGCTGACCCACCTAAATGTACATCCACTGGATGTCTCTTGAGCCTGAAGAGTGTGCAGCACTGTCCAATCTTTGCCATACAAGGACATACGAACTTACCTGGGGAGGTTTCTGGGACGGGCATGAATTCTGGTGTGGAGCTCCTGGAATTGAGGGTGTTTTGCAATCTTTGCCATGCAATGACATAATAACTTACCTGGGGAGGTTCCAGGGACTGGCCTGAATTCAGTGTGGAGCTCCTGGAATTGAGGGTGTTTTTGCACCTGCAGAGAGATCACAGTGAGGGAGGTTAAGGCTCTTCCAGCAAGAGTCTCTTGGATTTCAGAATATGACCTTCAGAAATCCACAACCCAGCACAGGCCAGCCTCAGGACACCAGCCCCCATCAATCAAGCATGACTTTCCACTCATCCTGCAGAAAGCACCCTCTCCTTTTATAAGATTGTGAGACATGACACTGACCTCCAGGCAGGGAGATCTTAAGAAATATCAGGGAAATTGCCTTACCTATACTGGTACCCTGCTCCACTTGGTGACGTTTGGGTGGATTCATTTGCGTGGTAGCCAAGCTGCAGGACAGAAAGGGATCCGTTAGTCTTCCACACAGAGTCTAATTCTCACAAGCCCAAAACTCCATTTATCATCCAGCACACATTCTTTCTGTGTCCCTCAGTCAAGTGCACTTGTGTTGGGCTCCAAATCCTACCTGCATCCAGTAAGTCCTAATGCTCATCTCCCACCCTCAACTTTTCTAATGGCTTTTCCTATCGGTGAATGTGTGTGATAAGGGATGGTGACCACAGGAAACAGTTTGCTTTCTCAGGAGCTCATCCATCTGAGAAGGGACATCTAATTTGGTCTGAGGACTTTCAGGGAAGACGTTGTTATTTCAGGTATCTGAGCACCGTGTCTGTGCAGTTACAGTGTGAATGGAGTGAGAGATGATGGGAAATGTTTCATTTTCTAATGAGCACAGGGAAGAAATTTAGATCATGCCCACAGTTTACCTGTCTCCGCACAAGAGGTGACTTTCATTTAGAGAGGGAACATAGATCGACAGTGGGAGGAAACCTGAGATGAGCCCCCTGACAGGTCCAGAAACCCCCCATGCTGGCAGGATCCTATGGCCTCCACTGTGGGTCTCATGTCTCCGGCAGGTGTTCTAAATTTATAACGTTCAATGTCATGGCAGGCCAGGGTGCTTTCTCTGCCCTAGTTTGACCCTTTATCACACATTCACACCACACACACACACAAATGCACACAGTCACACATAGTCACATGGCAACCTCCTGGCAACCCAAGGTAAACACACACTAACATACCTGCTCTCTCCTTCATTGTCATTCTGCGATTCTGTCCAGGAATCACTAAGGCTTCTTTGGCGCCAGTAACCATACATGGTAAAGGTTCTCTAGACTCACTTGTATCAGAAAATTTCAATCTTCCTCTTATTTTCTTATAAATCTATACAGTCTATGACTTGATCTTTTACTTTTCCTGAAGAAGATGATCAGCTCGGCACATCCAGAACATGGAATAGTGTGCCCTGGCCTGGGACAGGTTGAACGACGCTATGGTAGAATGAAATCTTGGGCAAATCCCAAAAGTTTTATAATAGAGAGAGCTGTGGGATTTATCAAAATGGATGAACACGATTGGCTAGTGCTGCTGATTAAGTAGTAGGACCTGCATGGGAGTGCTTTTATCAAAACTCAAGTGATATGGGTGTGCCCCTGTTAGAATTAGCCTAATCTAATCAAAATCAATCTAATGTAACCTCTACTCTGATTCACCATAGAAATGTGATATAAAATATCAGCATTTTAAAATAGTGCTATTTACATTCTATTGTATACTATTCATTAATTAGGAAAGACAATTATTTTCTGTAAGTTTCATGTGCATAATCATTTCTGGGTAAACATAAAGGATTGGTTCTAGGAAACTTTGAAGGTAACAATATTTGTGGATGCTCCACTTCCTTGTATAAAGTGGTAGAGAATTTAGATGTAACTTACTCATATTAATTCATATAGCTTAAATTATCTCTAGATTACTTATAATACCTAATACAATGCCCAGACCTTACATTACTTACGTGTTCTCAACAAAGAATTTGGTGAAGGGAAAATTCAAATTTTTTTTTGTCGGGGGGTGGAAATTGTGTAAATATTTTCTGAATATTTTCTATTCAAGTTTAGTTGAATCCATGGAGCTGGAACCCATGGATGTGGAGGGCTGACAGTATTTTTTTTTTTTTGAGATGGAGTCTCACTCTGTCTCCCAGGCAGGAATGCAGTAGTACGATCTCGGCTCACTGCAAGCTCCACCCGCTGGGTTCAAGTGATTTTCCTGCCTCAGAGTACCGAGTAGCTGTGATTACAGGCATGTGCCACCACGCTTGTCTAATTTTTGTATTTTTAGTAGAGACGGGGTTTCACCGTGCTGGCCAGGCTGGTCTCAAACTCCTGACCTCAAGTGATCCATCTACCTCGGCCTCCCAAAGTGCTGGGATTACAGACGTGAGCCACCGCTTCTGGTGACAGTATTTTTAAATAATAAAATAATATGTATTTTAAGTGAAAGAACTTTTAAAATGAATCTCCTGGGGAAAGTTATCCAAACATAATAGGCTCATATCATAAGATGAGCTGGGAAAAATACCAAAAGGACCTTTACTTAATTTCTAATATATCACTATGTGCTAATCTGTCTGTTGGCTTATTTCTTGCCTGTATCCCCCACTGGAATGGTTTCAGAATTATAATGCAAGTTTCCCTTTCAACATTACTTATTAATTAAAAATCCATGATTTCCATGGACAAAGTCACCTAAACTTCCATCAGGAGGCCAGACACCAAATGCCCAAACTCAGAGTTAATCATTTTATGATTAAAAATTATTTGACAACATAAAAAAGGTTGGATGGTATTGGGGAGAAAAGATGACCAGTAAATACCAAAATTGAACTAAATGGAAATTCTGTGAGGCTGCACCATTACTGAATGTGCCGTCACTAACAGGCCCTTGAGCTCAGGATGTCATTCTCTCCCTAGAAATTGTATAAATTTGTTTGTAGATTCTTTCCATTTAGCTGATATCCTCCTCAGTCTTATTAGGTGAAGTACAGGCCCTGCTAACTTCTTAAAAGCACCCACGGCGGACCTTAGTGTCTTTATTCAGAGGTCTGTCTGCTTTGTGGATTTCGGTCTTTTCTGAGCAGAACAGCAGATACTTTGCTGAAGATCAGATGTAGTTTGTTTGTTTGTTTTTCAGACGGAGTTGTGTTCTGTTGCCCAGGCTGGAGTGAGGTGGTGCAGTCTGGCTCACTACAACCTCTGCCTCCCAGGTTCAAGCGATTCTCCTGTCTCAGCCTCTCGAGTAGCTGGGATTAGAGGTGTGCACCACCATGCCCGGCTACTTTTTGTATTTTGGTTAGAGACGGGGTTCCACCATGTTGGCCAGGCTGGTCTCAAACTCCTGACCTCAAGTGATCTGCCCATGTCCGCCTCACAAAATGTTGGGATTACCGGCATGAGTCATGGTGCCCAACCAGATGTAGTTTTAAAGTTGGGTTACTTGGCCGGGCACGGTGGCTCATGCCTATAATCCCAGCACTTTGGGAGGCCAAGGCAGGCGGATCAGGAGGTCAGAAGTTTGAGACCAGCCTGGCCAACATAGTGAAACCCCATCTCAACTAAAAATACAAAAAATTAGCTGGGTGTGGTGGCGGGCACCTGTAATCCCAGCTACTCGGGAGGCTGAGACAGGAGAATAGCTTGAACCCGGGAGGCGGAGGTTGCAGTGAGCGAAGATCACGACATTGCACTCCAGCCTGGTGACAGTGCGAGACTGTGTTTAAAAAAAAAAAAAACGGGTTACTTCTCTACATTCTCTCTGGTTGTGGGGATCAGGTTAAGATATTCAAGAAACAGCTTACACTGAGGGTTCTGGAGTATGCATATTTTATGGTCAAGAAAGAGGCCCCTCATTGTGAGTTTGTGTGTGTCAATTCTAGCTGAAAACCTAGTAGAAGAAGAAAAATATGAGGGACTTGCCAAATATTCTACCTTTATAATCGCTTTGGCTATAAACAAAATGTGTTTTAACCAATAAATTAATAAAGTTATAGCTTAAAAATCTCAGGATATATCCTGCAACACAGAATAATGACTTATTTTTGAAGAAATATTTAAGCAATATATTTTCATTTGGGGTCCAAACTTGTTCACAAGTGTACCTCTTCCCCTTGCCTTTGAAATTAAAACCATTTTTTACATCTGCAGTGCTGTGATGAAGAGAAAGATGTGGTTCTGAATGCTTTATCGTCAACAACTGAATGTTGAATTAATGTCCCTCTCTTTCATTGTCTATTTTTCAGTGACTTTAGCACTGTAGGAAAGATGAGCCCCTCACAATGTGGAAATGCACGGAGGCAGAGCGCGGGTTTCCCTGCAAGGGCCCCTTTCCCACGGGCTGCACTGAAATTGTGTGGCCCTGCCCTGACCCGACCCCTTCCTCTGCAGGGTCCCCGTATTCTGTAGATTTTCCTCACAATTCTTCTTGTTTCTCCTCACAATCAATCCTCAATGAGGTCACAGGGAGGACATGTTACAGCCTGCTTCTATTATCTATCAGAAAGCCCTCCCTAACCCCAAATTTATACATTTGTAAAATAATGCTAAAGTATCCCAACAGAAAATACAGAATAAAACACGTGGCAACAGCCCTGAAAATGAAGTCTTTATGGCTGTTTCAGAAAAATATCCGGGATACTCTGCAGCGAATCTCCCTTCTCAGCAGTTAGGGCTGCGGACAGGAAGTTTTCCTCCTGATGGACATCGCCTTAGTTGCCCCAAAGCCAGGGCGGCGCCTCCTCCCTGACCAGAGGAAAGGAAACTCACGTACTTCCTGGAGACCCAGCCCCGCCTCCGCAGGCAGAAAGCGCATGCGCCCCGGAGGGCGGGACGGCGTGTTCCCTCGCCCTCTGCCGGCCATGGGGTTGCAGCGCAAGAGGCTTGGCTTCTACCGCTTAGCGATGGACCTAAGTCTCTGAATGGCTGAAATTCTGGTTTAGATTATTCAGTACCTTTCTTTTGGAGGATCAAATGAAAATAGAGCACGGTATCATTTGCTTTGATGGAAGATAACTGAAATAAAGAAGCAACGTCCAAGGACCATATACAAAAGGCGATTGATTCCCTGTATGTGGACGGAAGAGGAGCTTGAATAAGAGAAGGGTTCTGTGATACTTTAATGCTGGAAAACTGCTGCTATGCATTTGTCAAATCCCATACAATTTTACTGCATAAATAGTACATCTTAATGTGGCTCAGGACTACAGCTTATGTCATATAAGATTTGGGGGAAAATTACTATTTAATTAAATAGGTTAAACTGTGAACAATAATGTGAGCCCTGCCTGGACCAGATGGCTTGCCAAGCAGATGGCCATCCTCATCCTCACACAGTACTTGACAAAAACCCTGGCTTCAGTGTAGAATCACTTGTGGAGAATTTTTAGGATGTACCACTTCCACCCATGAATTAGCCCATTTAATTGGCCTCAGTAAGTCCATGGTTTCAGGATTTTGCAGTTTGCTAAAAGTTCAATGTCATCCCAATTTATTTCCTGGAACCATTTCTCCTTGAAGTTTACATTCAGTACTGAGATTTGCTAAAAGCCAATGCATTTCCAAGTTCTAGAGTCAAATCAGACGACGCCTCCTTGGTCAGAACTTTTATTTTGCTTGCGGAAAAGTATATTGAATCAAATATAAGAAGGGTTTGCATGGTGGCTGAGTGGTTAAGGTGCTTTATCTGCTAGTCCATAGTAAGGGGAGCACAACTGTGTCCTCTGTGTCATAACTCAGGACTCATGAATAAAACGTGGAGTGTCAGGAGATGAACTTCTACTCCCACCTAGGGGAGCTTCAAGGAGAACGTCTCAAGGGCTTTCTGAGGGAAAGAAGAGCAGGGATGCCTAATTCTCTGGCCCCAGGCAGTTGTTCATGGGCAGAGACAAGGGCTGGGGTAATTCAATGGTTTATACTGGGTGTTTTTGATACTGCCCCCATTTCCCTGTTAAATCTGTGTAATGGATCACTGAGAAACCTGGCACCTGGGGCTGAAGATCCCTGTTGTGTCAACTCCAGGGATGGATCCAGAGAAGTGGTTTTGGTGGAAGTTGGAATGAAGGGAGTTTGGCTGTGGGAAGAAAAAAAAGCTGTTGATGATGGGGAAACGGGAAGAGAAGGATGAAATCTCTACTCACATGCTAAGGATAGCTTATGCAAATCTATGTGTCAGACCTGCATAAATAAAACTAGAACTTTAACAACATATTAGATTTTTCAGCAACAGGTTTTATTGTTTCAATATTTGCAAGTATTTTTCTATTAAAAAATAATAAAGTTGCTTACATAATTTTGTATTCAAAATTCCCAGGTCACATAACTGTTATACATTTACACTTCACATTTTTAATGAGTAGATACATTCTCTAAATTATGAATTATTTGCTCAATTGTGTGTTAGTTTTTTCTTTTTATTCTCCATGACTCCGTTTTCTGACCTGAAATCTGCAGTATTTGGTAATCCACAAGATGATCAGTTGCCCTTGTAAAGACTTTCCTTTCCTATTTCCTTCTTAAGAAAGCATTTTTTACTGAGTTTTTTTGGTAACATACCAACGGTGGTACCTGGCTGAATGTTGGTTCACAGTGAGTAGAGACCAAGGCTTCTCTCAAATGGAGTCCCAAATTCTTTACAGAGCTAGGAATTCTCTACTCTGAAAGTCCTGTGTGTTTTAAGTTAGAGCTTTTGCAAACTATTTATTATATTGACAGTTTTCATTCTCATGTCATTCTCATGTCATTTATATTCATTTATAGCACCAAGTGTCCCCTCCTACTTGGAGAGATAATTTTGTTCTGTAGTTAGTTTAAAAAGTCTTGACTCTCCCCTCATCAAGCTGCCTTGTCATTCTGTACTTGGCTCTTGGGGCAGGCAAGGTCAGTAGGAGATGCCAGTAGAGAGTAACCACCACTAGCTTCACAAGAATGATGTGCTGTGACGAATTGTGATAGGGTTTTTCCTTCTCTTTGCCCTAAAGATTCTATACCATATTTCATGCTCTGGAGCAAGAGCAACTTCTTTCTCATGGTTTTAATCACAATAATCTGATTTCAAGCATTTAATTCCTTTTTTTCCAGAACAACTCATTGAATTATCAAAAATATGAAATTAAGGATACCTACTTATTGGCTTGAACTAGCTCTGAGCAATTTAGTAATCATGAACAGAATGGCTCTGCTAGAACAAAATTCCTGATCACTTCAGTCCATCCTTGAAAATTTGCAGAGAGAGGTCAAGGGAACATACACTTCCCTGAAAATTGTATTTTACAGACCCAGTTAAAAGGCCATGTAAGGAAATAATGGAGACAGTAGAAGAATAGACTTACTGATTAAACTAGGTTTTGACTGTTAATATAAAAAAACCAATACCCTTTCCAAGAGCACATTGAAATAGCGTAAAATCCTTTACTAAGTACTAAAAGATATTTCCAAAATATAATAAAGACTAAAAATCTAAAGAGGCCTCATCATCTGAATCTGAAACAAAAGAGAATATAATTAAGACTTTTTAAAAAAACCCTAATGAATTGGGGATCTCTTTCCTTTACTCCTCTGCTGTGGTTGGTCAGAATCCCCTTTCTATTCTGTCCTCCACCTCTCTCCTGATTCTCTTTGTCTGTGTCATCTATCCCACTATTTCTTGCCCACGTAACTTTCACTATTTTTTTCAACACCTTCTACAAAGCTTCTAGAACTCTTTCACTATCACTGCTTTTCAAAATCCATCAGAGACAGCTTCCCAATACTCAACGTTACCTTCTTTTTCAACCTCACTCTCCCTAGCTCCCTGGCTCTCTGGTTCTCTTTTGGCCTCTCTTTTTCTCCTTATGCCCTGGCTTCACATCTACATTCACAAGAAGAGAATGAAGAAGCCCCCTTCCCAATAAGAGCACGCCTTACACTGGGACTCCAAAATCTAAGCACACCCTGACAGGCACAGCCAGTGGAATGAGATCTGGGACAGAAGATCACAGGGCGTCACAGGACTGTGGCCGGTGATGTCCAAGCCGAGGGGGTTCAGGGGCCTCCCCGAGTCTGTGACTAAGGAAAGGCCTGAGGGCAGCAGGGCAGTGTCCCAAGAGACGCGAGGATGAAGGAGGGGTGCGGGCAGGGTGGAGGGCCTTAGAAGACTACTGATGTCTAAGAAATCCCAAAGCCAGCGGGAGGTTGTGGCCTTCCTCCTCCTGGCTTTGCCCACAAAGGGCCGCGAGGGGTGAGAATCCACTTCCGAGTGGGGACTTAGACGGGGCACTGGGTGGGGAGGGGAGAGGGTGAAAAGACAAAAGACACAAAAGCATGGCGGGGCACCAACCTCCCAGTGTCTGACAGCGACGTAGGGCTACTGCGGCTGAGACACGTAGGTGCGGGGATTGTGACGTCGGCAGTGACACCAGACGCCAGATCCTAGGTGTGGAGGATGGTGACACGGAGTTGTGAACAGAAAATATCAAAGTCCACTCCAGGAAAGGGGCCTTTCATCCGGAAAACCTGCATCCGGGTCCGCCGGAACCTGCGGTCTCAGGATGGGGTAGTGGGCCAGAAAGAGGGCAGAGCCAGTGTGGACCAGGCCTCAGCATCCCTGCTCTGTCCCCAGGGCGTATCGGGATCTGTCCCCACTTCCGGCCAGTGCAGCCTTGGTCTCCGCGTTTGCCACAACGCGAGTGTTTTACGTGCAGTGGGGCTAGGCTGCTTCCACCAGTTGCAAGTTGAGTGTTTCCGACACTTTATGGTCAGGGTAGTCAGACCACTTACAGTGGTTGATGACCCGGTTCATTCTGCACAAATTAAAAACAGTTTAGGAGGCTGGGTGCGGTGGCTCGCACCTGGAATCCCAGCACTTTGGGAGGCTGAGGTGGGCGGAGTTTGAGACGAGCCTGGGCAACAGAGCGAGACCTTGTTTCTACAAAAATACAAAAACTTAGCCAGGTGTGGTGGTGGGTGCCTGTGGCCCCAGCTCCTCCAGAGGCTGAAGCATGAGAATCACTCGAGCCCAGGAGGTCGAGGCTGCAGTGAGCCGTGATGGGGCCACTGCACTCCAGGCGGAGCAACAGAACGAGACCCCGTCTCAAACCAAACCAAACAAAACAATAACAACAAAAGTTTATGGCAGAAGTTCTTCTTCCTCTCTAGCGTGAGTGGGTGGAGCTGCACATCTTGAGTGGAGCAGGTCGTGGCGCCTTCACGACCCAGGGACCCCTGGCTGGAGGTGGCTGGACCAGGACCCCCACCAGCCCAGTCAGAACGGGCCATTTATTGTCAGAACTACAATGTGAATTGCCACAGTTGGCCGGTGGGGAGCGTGGAAATTCACACCAAGGATGAGGAATGTAGGTTCCTTTTCTACTCCTCAATCACCCGGGAGGCAGGGACAAAAGCAAGGGCTCTGTTCCAGGGACTTTTTGAGCCAGGACCTGAGCTGGGCCCAGGAGGCCCGAATCATTGCTTTAAAAGAACAAAAGTTACTGTGTATATTAATAAATTCCTTTATCCATCTTTATATTTAATGTGTTCTTTTCACATTTCTTAAGATGAATCATAAATCTGAATTCCTTTGAGACAAACGTGGATGACATCCCCTAATTTTCTTAGGTAATCGTTTTAGAATATATTGTAATTTCACATATTTCAGTGTTCTCAGCGCTGTTTGAAAAAATATTTTTAATTTAAAATATGGGATAGTTTAATGTTTTGTTTTCTGTTTCAGAGTATTTTGTGTCAACTATGGGTATTGAGGCATGTAAAATGCGTACCTTTTAGGAAATACATGATTTTGTTTAGAACTAATGAAAAATTAAATGTTCAATATTTCCATGGACATTTACCAAGGGATGTCTACTCTCACACAAGAACATTTTTTAAAATAGCAAAACTGCATTTTCAATTTTCAATAGGCCCATTAATATCCTTAATAAATGTTAAAGTGAAATATGTAAGTTAGCATTTCATTTTCTACATTTCCTGATTTTCCTTTTTCTTAAGTGCATGCTAGCTGGATTTTGGAAAGACCAAATCCCAACTGTTCACACTGCAAAGATTTCTCAAAGATTATTTCCAAATGAGGGTACCCTTCTGGTTTTCCCATAACTAATACCAGTTTCTTTAAATTTTAAGTTTTTTTTTTTTAAAAAATCAATATTTTGATTCAAAACGGACTTAAAACTTGAATAGCTTCCCTTAGGTAATTGAACAGAAAGAACACTGGGATTCATCAGGGTACTTGGGGGATCAGCCCTGCTCACTGCTTCTCCAGATTTCCAGAGCTAAGTTTGTTAAGTTTGTTTCCCCTGAGCTGAGCTCATACCTCCCATAACTGCTGGGAAGTGGACACAGATTAAGGAGCCAGGATTGTATGCAATTTCAGTTGAAGAAATTCATACATCTGAGCCTTCCCATTTAGTTTTTCTGCAGCTCCCTCTCTCTTCACATAGGAGCCAAGTAATGTAGCTCTGCCTGTATGTACCGTTCAGACACTTCGACCTTCTCTACCAAATATTTTGTTTTTTGGTTTCTACAAAATATGAGTTTGGGGAGTCTTCAAATAGACTGAATTGATTCCTCTTGAGTCTGCACGGGACACACATTGTCTACATTTGGAAGCCCCTTACGAGAAACTAACCCACTAAATGAATGTCTGGGTAAATTAAGGTCTGCTCACTGTGTCTCTGAGTCTCTGATTCCATGCCTAGAAAATGGATCTGATAAAAGACGAGGAGTGGGCTGGGCGCGTTGGCTCAGTCCTGTAATCCCAGCACTTTGGGAGGCCGAGGCGGGTGGATCACGAGGTCAGGAGATCGAGATCATCCTGGCTAACGCGGTGAAACCCCGTCTGTACTAAAAGTACAAAAAAATTAGCCGGGCGTAGTGGCAGGTGCCTGTAGTCCCAGCTACTCAGGAGGCTGAGGCAGGAGAATGGCGTGAGCCAGAAGGCGGAGCTTGCATGAGCCAAGATTGTGCCACTGCACTCCAGCCTGGGTGACAGAGCAAGACTCCGTCTCAAGAAAAAAAAAAAAAAAAAAAAAAAAAAAAAGCTGAGAAGTGAAAAAAATGACAATACATTGAAGCATAATTTTTAAAATTATGATTTATGATTACTATCTAAAACAAGATTTTTCTGTCCTACCTTAGAAAATTTCCTTAGCTTTTCCAGAAGAAACTACAACTCTACCAAAGCACAATGGTTGTAGGAAGGCTGTTTGATTGGGTCACTAAGAAGTCCTGATGAGAAGATGGTCCATCTAAAATGCAATGCAGTGTATATAAGGCAACATGTGTCCACATCACTTCCTGGGCATAACCAGCCCTACCTCCTCAGAGGGGATCTGATCCTAATGCACATGCATTTCCTTGGACAAAGGTAGGGAGTCTGATTCAGAGCTGCTCCAAAGCCTGTCCATGCAGAAGACTTTATACCTGTAGTTCTTGTTCCTACCTTGAATGTGAAGGAGTACACTCAGTTTCAGAGTGAGAGTTTTGATCTCTGTAAGTTCTATTTGAAAAGACCAGCGGTTGACCAAAAAAAAAAAAAAAAAAAAAAAAAAAAAAGAGGTACAGCCAAGGATTGGAATAAAGTCATAGGAACAGAGTCAAGCCCAGAAGAGCAGCAGTATTGAAGGACAATGGATTAGGTTGCTAAGATTGATGGTGATCCTTATAAGTCAGCCTGTTACACTGTTTGCCTTGGGTCCACAGAGCTTTGTCATAGCTCTCTCTTGTAAGTTTCTTAAAATCACTAAAGAGGCTTGCTTGAACTCAGGTGTCTGAGATCAGCCTGAGCAGTATAGTAACACCTCATCTCTACTAAAATAAAAAAATTTAGCCAGACATGGTGGCATGTGCCTGTAATCCCAGCTATGATGGTGCCACTGCACTCCAGACTGGGAAACAGAATGAGACCCTGTCTCAAAAAAAAAAAAAAAAAAAAAAAAATCAGGAAAGTGCCCCATTTTCTACTACTCAGATCCTGTTGAGTTTCAGTGATGAAGGAGAGGTGGATCCAGACACCTGGAGCACCTCTTACTGCAGTTCATCTAAGTCAGCCTTTACCTGGCCCGCTCTGCTGTTCACACAGCCGGAAGGGCTTGTGCACGGGTTAGAAGACTACAGTTCTCTCTGTCATCAGTTTTCCTGGTTTCTCATACAGCCCCTTCTCCACATATAGATAGTGGAGATTTTGCCCAGGGGATTCCCTCAAGGTCTCAGTTTCATTAAACTTGTCAAGGCTTCCACAGATTGTTTTGCCACCTAGTGAGACTTGTTTCGAAAAAAAAAAAAAAAAAGTGAAATGGGAAAAAAATTAAGTGGCAAATGAGAATGATAATAGTCCTCACAGGTGAAGGTGTCCATAGAGACAGAAGATAGGTGGCTTCATTTTGGTCAGCAGCTCACCTGGGCCAGTGGAATGTCTTTGTTTGGATGAAAAGGACCTTTCTATACCTCGATATAGACAATCAGGGACAGAAGTGCACCATATGAGCAGAATGGCTTTCATAAGAGAACAGAGAGTCCTTAACATTTTCGGTTCAGTTCCCCAGAAGAATGAAAGTGAGCAGTTTTGAATGGAAATAATTGTCAAATGGGAACATAAACTACAAATATATTGGCAACAAAGGAAGTTTAGCAGCAATACTCCTTCAGTTTCAGTTAAAGTGATTTACGCTAAGTTGATAAACCAGTTGGTTTAAATGGTCACAGGACATTTTGTCTGTGAAACCTCTCTGGACCCCAATGACTCCAGTCGTAATTAGTCTAAATGCACATGTTCTAAACTCCCACAGGTCTCGGATCAGGATGTAGAACTTAACACATGGAATGTTCATTTGCTGTACATGTGTCTGTCTACCCAATAAAGTTTGAGCTTCTGTTCCTGGGGTTGAGCAAGGTGAACCACTTGGTCATGCCCTCTCCATACCTCCTTTACAAATGGAAAAGTGCAACACAGTGATATGCCACTGGACATGAAGGCAGCAATCCTGGATTTGAGCCTGAATCTATTTCTGCAACTAACTGGAGGTGTGTGACAGAGATCAATGGATCTCAGATGCTTCTGTGTTCAGTGATCAACAGGTCTCAAATGTCACTGTGCAGGAGACTTAATTGGAAAAGTCATTTTACAAATTTAGATTCTGAAGAGATCCCCATTTGAAAGTGTTAGAGTGGGGCATAGAGCTCTAATTATAAGTATTCTAGGCTAGTTACACTGACTATAATTAACCAATATAGTTCTGGAAGCAGGGACTTAAGTGATCTCTAAGGCTACTTCTAGTTCTAATATTTGAGTGTTCTAAGGATTCGTAGACATCTGAATATAAATCTTAGACTAATTTTTATGGTTTTTCAATTCACATGGGTGTGTGTATGCTCGTGTGTGTGCTCATACATCATGAAAAAGTAGAACTATTCCTTTACTTCATGCAAAGTTCAATCCACAAATTATAAGTAAATTTTAGATAATTGGCAGTGAGGGTGAATTTGTTAACACCAAGTTTGACAGAGTAAGAGCAGAGGCTGAAGATAATAAGACACTGATCTAGAACAACATCAGTGAGGAGAAAGAGGGAAGGAGATAACTGCATTAAGATTTACAGGGATTAATAAGCAATTTATGCAGATTAATGTCATGAGTAAATTGTGTGACTTATTCAGAAAAGTAAGCATTCCTGAGTAAACCTCTACTTTTACCCTGAATGTCAAGTAAACGATAGTAATATTTTCTAAGATTTAGAATATTAAATGAAGGCCAGATTTGGAAGCAAACCAATAAATTGCAATAAAGACATTACCTTTGAAGTGTCTATCAGAAATCCACTTAGAGTAGCTCAGTAAACTTAAATTGGATACACAAGTAATGGAAGGTTGAAAAGGCACAGAGATAACCATACAAAAGGGATATCGCCTTTTAACATATAGGAACAAAGGAGTAAAGTTACTCTCAGGGGCTAGCGCCCAAAATTATCTTACTTGTACGCAGCTAGAGCTTGAACCTATGAGGAGGAGACACAGTACCAGGTGCCCATGTCTCCTAGTGGGTTACACCACATCAGCCACGCTTAAAATTTGAAGGGAGCAATGCTCAATGACTGATGTGCAGGCAAATGAGGCAGAGGCACTTGATAGCCAGTGTTCAGACTTCTGAGGAGGAGACATGGTCCAACAGGTGCTTGGATAGACAAGGTGCATAGAAAAGCAGATTGTAGCTCAGCCGGTCCTCTTAGAACCAAGGAGGTAGAGCTAGGATGCTGCTGGTCCTTTTCTGGCATATTTGTGGGGCTGCTGAGAAAGTGGAAAGAATATAAAGCCTGAAGCCTGGAGCCAACCATCTGCTGCTATTGGAATGGGGCTGACAAAAACGGCATAGAACAGATGCCTTCACTCTTGGTCTTGTTTTCCACTCTCCTGCTAATACCTTTCATTAAAGGTGCTAACAAGAAGCTAACTGGCCAAGCAGTATAACAAATGCTGTTTTCAGAGTCCCAGCACAGCACCACAGAGCAGAGTAAAGAAATCATAAAAGTAAAGAAGTAACACCATGTCATTAGTCCATAAAGAGTGGGAACCATGAGAATGGAGGAGATTGTTTGGAGATAACACGTATAATAAGAAGAGAATGAAACATAGGTGAAAGCAATCCTAGCCAAGAGAATATGAGGAACAGTCAGCAAAGAAGACTGAGAATGTGTGGAGAAGACAAAGAGAAATGTCCAGCAGACAAACATTCTCACGGCCAGAAGAGAGAGAAATTAAGGTGCAGGAGATAGATCACCTTGTAAAATGTTTCAGAAAGGGCCTGAAGGATGAATACTGGCCATAGGTCACTGGAGTTGGCCCTGGTAATTTATTAAGAGAAAAACTACTATTAACTGACTAAGGAGGTACCTGGTACCTTTATAAAGAGAAATTCCAATAGTATGATGAGAGCTAAAATAATCTTCTTCTTCTTCTTCTTCTTTTTTCTTCTTCTCCTTCTTCTTCTTTTGAAACAGGGTCTCTTTTTTTTTTTTTTTTTTTTTTGAGACAGAGTCTCCCTCTGTCACTCAGGCTGGAGTGCAATGGCATGATCAGGCTCACTGCAGCCTCAACTTCCAGGGCTCAGCCCCCAAGCAATTGGGGCTATGGGTGTGAGCCACTATACCGGGCTTTTCTTTTCTTTTTTTTTTTTTTTTGAGACGTAGACTTGCTCTTGTCACCCAGGCTGGAATGCAATGGCATGATCTTGGCTCACTGCAACCTCTGCCTCCCGGGTTCAAGCGATTCCCCTGTCTCAGACTCCCAAGGAGCTGGGATTACAGATGCATGCCACCACGCCTGGCTGCTTTTTGTATTTTTAGTAGAGACGGGGTTTCACCAGGTTGGTCAAGCTGGTCTCAAACTCCCGACCTTGTGATTTGCCCACCTCGGCCCCCCAAAGTGCTGGGATTACAGGCGTGAGCCACTGTGCCCAGCCTAAATTTTTAAATTTTTGTAGAGATGGGGTCTCCCTATGTTGCCCAGGCTGGTCTCGAACTCCTGGGCTCAAAGGATCCTCCTGTCTTGGCCTCCCAAAGTGCTGAAATTGCAGGCATGAGCCTCCATGCCTGGCTTTAAGAGATTTCTATAGGTTGAGAAGGAAATAGGGTATAAAAACACTGGAGACAGGAAATGTATGCTATATTTCAAGTCATTTGACTGACAGAGAAAGAAGAGGAAAAATAAAAAATGAAGAAACGAGAAAGTCTAAACACACTTAGATTCTCAAAGGCAGTTAGTTTTATCTGAGACAATGTTTAAGGAATTTCTAGGGAAAATGCAGAACAGAAAAATCCTCTGATTGAAACAGATAACTTTACATATTTTCCTCCAGCATAGTTTTCAGAATAAGAAAATTAGCACCATGAAGACAAGTGGCAATACCAGAAGATCTTTCAAAACACATTTTATTTTTTATTTTAAAACATTTTACACGTTGTCTTGTTCCAGATTTTTTTTCCTCTTTTATTTACATCTCTACAGGAAGCCAGCTTAACTGAATAGAGAAGGACATTTTCTAGAGCAGCGCAGAGGGATTTTACTTCTTCTGTTCTGGGATGGTGTACTATAAATCTTCTACGATGAAATGGTCTGTGATATATGCTTTCTTCTGCTGGAAAGCTGGGACTCCAAATTTTGGCAAATTAGGGAAAAGGTAAGCCTCAGTTTGCCATTGTTATGCTCTGAAAGGGCAGGGTTTGCAGGATTACAAAAGAGATTCTTAGAAAGTGTCTTTTTTTCTTTCTATGGTTTTTTTTTTTTTCAGTTTGTTTCAATTTCTTCCTCCATTTAACTGTTCACCTGAACCCGCTGAGAAACGTTCCATCTTTAGGACTGCCTTTTGTTGTTCTATTATCTTCCAGCCTGCTATTTTGTGGACATGCTAAGCAGACAAGTCCAGAAAGCCCGAAGTTGGAATATAAATGTGACTAAGTCAGTAACTGTATAATCTTCTTCAGTCTCACTCTCCTCCTTTGTAATAAGGGCACTGAATTCGATGACCTTTGGGGAACTTACTGCTTCAGAAACCCATGATTTGATCAATTCTCACTGCAAATGGCCAGAATGAAGATGTTGCTCAAGCTACAGCCAACTTGAATTTTGATATGGGTGCATTTCATTCTAAAACTTGATGTTTTAGATCGAACAGGTAAATGAACAAGAATCTAAACAGTTCCTACCTATAAAAGAGAGAAAGGAGTACATGACAGTGATACTGCTGAAGCAGCCACAATGAGCATCTAGCAGGTATACCGTTTACTGAGAGGTTCAATCTGCTCACATTATAGATACCAGAATCCTGGCACAGAGGGCCCAATGTCCTACATCTGTTTAAAGCCAGAGCTATGACTTTAGAACTCAATTCACCTGAGTGCCAGTCCAACCATTCCATTCCATCTGTTTTATCTGTGTATTCAATGGCTCACTTTTATATAAAGTAAAAGAAATCATTAATAGGCCCTGTGTCAGGAACTGAGAGTGCAAAGGTCAACAAGATATAGTGTCTGCCTGGAAGAAGTTCACAGCCTAGGAAGGGTATCTCCTTGTAGCACTGGGAACTGGACAGACATGGCTTCAGATAATCCAACCTTTGCAGATCAAAGAGAGATGGTCCAGAGAGATTTATCCCACTGATATCGCAGCCAGAGAATCTTCACCTCTTTGTTTCTTGCAGCTGGTGCTTAGTTTTTAATGTTTCTTTCTGTTTTTGCAGCAAAATGGTGCTAATTCAGCTCTACAGCCCCCAATCTTTACTTCAAAGGTAAGACATTCGGCTTCACAGTGACCTTCCATTCTCTTACTAATTAGTGCTCTATGAATTGCTGTCCTGGCTAAGTAAAGAAAGCAATTTGTCTTCAGTTATCTAGTAATTAGTAACTGTAAGATAAAATTACATCGCCCAGGCCAAATTCAGACTTCCTCATTACCATAACTCCTAGAGACACAGACTATAAACCTAGAAATTAGAAAAATCAGATGTTATCTGAACAGTCATGTCTGAGCTCAGACCCCTGGTACAATATAATCAATGTCCTTATTAAATAGCCAATTGGAAAAAAACAGAAAAGATTTTCATATGTCAAAATCATATCTAGCTTGTACAGAAACAGAATGTTTCTTCCAAGGAAGATGACAAAATACTTTCTAATTCCAATGAACGATCCTTACCAACAGATTTTTTTTCCCCTGTATCCAAATAGTCTCTGATTTATAGCAAAAGTTAAAGATTGTTCTGTTACATTATAGGCAGGCCAATAGTAGATCATATGCCCTGGCATATGATTTCGGAGTCTCACAGTTTTAGGTAGAAAGATAAACAACATGATGCTAGTCCTTCTCAATTTACTGTGCAAAGAACACCAATGGAATCGTGTATTTAGCTCTGGCAAGCAAATTTAGAGAGACACAGGCAATGTGTGTTCATTCATAACAGAGATTAGGTTGAAGAGGAAAAAATATGTCAAAACAGGAATCTTTTTTAATTGGTAAGATACATTCTTAGGAAACAATAGTGGAAGAAGTAGCAGTTCTTCTCAAAAGGAGTAATGTTTATTCCTGGAAATAACAACTTTGGGGGAGAAACAGTACATATTAGCTGCCATATATCTGAAATATTATCATGTGGAATATATTTTGTTAGTGCCAAGTTAAGGCAAAGACTAATGGAAAGAAATTGCAGGGACTTAGATTTCTGCTCAAATTAAGGAGAAATTTTTGAATAGTCCAAAGTTGAACTTGGGATACTGTGAACTACAGATCACTTAAATTTATCAGGCAAATGGACAATCAGTTGAGACACACACACGCACACACATACACACACACACACACACACATATATATATATATACATGTATAGGGTGTTCAATACTGAATCAGGGCAGAGAACAAAAAAATAAGTAGAAGAACAAATGACCAACAATGGTAAACTCTAACATAGCATAGAGTATGTGCCTGCCACTGCTCAAGCAGTTATACAGAGAGATTGTTAAACTGTCCCAAAGCAGTCAGTTTTACCTTCAGACTTTTAGTCATAGAACCTCTGGGTTTAGCTGGACACATGAATACTTAGCTATTCACATCAGCTCCTAGCTTCCTATTTCTATATGTCCACATGAACAAATTTGGAAAAATGAAAAAGGAGTGGAATGATGTGAGCTGCTTCTATGTAATCTTAATCAGGTTCTATACTTTCTAACCCTGCCTGTTAGAATATCCTTGGAACCAAATAAAATGGTCAACTGTTTAGGATGGCAGGGTTGACCTTCAGCCCAAATCACAACATAACTTGGTGAAAAAGAACCCTCTACCCGCACCTAGTCAACTTAGCTATTTTTGGACTTTTACATGAAAGAGAAATAAGGTTTTGTCTTTCTTCAGTCATTCTATCATTAAGATTCTTTATTATAACAAGTTAGTTTCTAATTAATATAACAAGTTTATTCATCTTCAAAACAATGCTATTATTATTATCATTTATAGAATGGAAAGTAAAACACAGGGTGCATACAGCTTATAAAGATTAGCACTGAGATCCAAACTCATATAAGTTTGGCCTAATAACCTATGTTTATTACCTTTTATATTGATCATTAAATTCACTTCTAACTCTGAGATTCTATGTGATTATGGTGATGGTGGTGGTTCTAATTTGTGCCCAAACTATGCTTATTATTGTAATTCAAATACATCTGAGATGAGTTTTGTGGACAGGGAGCTATTAGGCATCCACATCTATAGACTGATCTGAATAAATTGGAGTACTGATTAAAGTGGATGGAGAAGACAATTTTAAATGAGTTTATCTATTCTGGAGCATTGTCTGACATCTGCAAAAAGATGCTGAGGGCAGAAAATCGGGAACTGATTTTACAACTGAGACTTTCATGGAGTCACTGAAACTTTCATGGGGACATTGTTCCCTGGCTCTGTTCTTTAGTTCTAGTCTTGCCTATTTCCAAATGTGCAAAACAAATACTACTTCCCAGGAAGCCTTTCTGCATTTCCTAGTTAGAACCAAGTTTCCACATCTATGACTTCTCTTTATAATTTGCATCTTTTATGGCACTTGTGAAAACTGTTTCATATTAAAGTTATTTGTGAATTTTCCTGTCTCATTGATATACTTACTTATACATGTTAAATGTATTGAAAGCTTATTTACCACTACAAGCAACCTATTTTCGAACAACACAGAAGGAATAGACTAATAACTTCAAGCAAATTAAGGTCAATGTCCATGCTTTATATTTTTACCTCTTCATTTTACCTACCTTTATCATAGTGGACAGAACAATTTCTTACAAGTGGTTAGCACACATTCAATATCTATTGGTTTTCTAGGACTACTGAGGACAGAATGTGTAATAAAGGAATGTAGAAATTCAGGAGCCATGAAGGAACAGACAGGGGGCTTCATGATGCATGGAGAACCTCTAATAGGAAAAGCTTCACAACAGAAGGAACGAAGGATAGTTGAGGAGGTATGGACATAAACATTTCTTAGGAACAGAGTCGTGGTTGTATGAAGCAAAGAGAATCTCAAAGACGCAAAGACTTAAGAGAATAGTAAGCAAGATGTTAGTTTAGTGGTTTTAATGGCATAATTTCCAACCAGTGTGTGAAAGCCAAAAAGTCTAAAATAATGTATGGATAAGAGATTTGGACCGACGACTCAGACATGAAAAAAAATTAGCTGTCTAAGAATCTAGTAACATAACTTTAGTTTAATTTAGACTACAAAGGCTGTACTTCCCTAACTTAACAAATATGTTTGGCATTTCCTTGGATAATCTTTTCTTTCTTTTTTTTTTTTTTTTTCATTTTAAAGAAATCACTTTAGAATATGCTGGCCAGGCGCGGTGGCTCATGCCTGTAATCCCAGGGCTCTGGGAGGCCGAGGAGGGCGGATCACGAAGTCAGGACATCAAGACCATCCTGGCTAACACGGTGAAACCCCGTCTCTACTAAAAATACAAAAAAATTAGCCAGGAGTGGTGGCGGGTGCGTGTAGTCCCAGCTACTCGGGAGGCTGAGGCAGGAGAATGGCATGAACCTGGGAGGCAGAGCTTGCAGTGAGCCGAGATCGCACCACTGCACTCCAGCCTGGGCGACAGCGCGAGACTCCGTCTCAAAAAAAAAAAAAAAAAAAAAAAAAAAAAGAATATGCTGAACCTGCGTTGCAGATTACAAAAGGAGGAAAGAGATCTAAAAGTACAAAGATGTCTGAATTCCTTGGCAGAGCTGTTAGGGAAGTTGACTAGAAACTATTATGGATGGAGATGGTCCGGGTCAATGTGGTCCCATTGTTTTGTGTCGGAGCTCAGGAAAAGATTTTCAGTGACTGGTTTGCCTTGGAACCTTCAACTTTGTAAAAGTTGAGCTTTCATCTCAAAAGACAGATCCTGAGCAGACTGTCATCTCTACTTCTAGAAGAATTTCCCTCTTACCTTGGAAAATTTGAGCAAGAAGAATGAGAGCAGCCAAAATAAAGACAAATATTTTCATGGCTCCAGGCATCAGTGGAGAGCTGATGAAGGAAGTGCAGTAGCTGGAATCAAGCTCTTTTATCAAGGGGCATTGATTAAAATATGTTCTACTGCCCTGAAGGGACTGGAAGTCATCCTCGGTTTGTAATGTTCATTGGGAACATACTATTTTCCATGCTCCACTGATTAATGTGTGGGCTGATGGATCAGATTTTAACTAAACCACATTTGTGGGAGACAAACGCAGAGAACCCTGCCTTTCTGCCTGGAATATTCTATTCTGTGTCTCTGCTTAGACTTCTCTCATTTTTCCTTCAAGTCTTATCTCAAGTATTACCATGTCTATAAGATATATAGCCACCACGCTTTTCCTAGTACATGATTTTACATAAAACCTATTCTTAAAATAATAATTAAAACAAACACACAAAAACCTTTAATTTTAAATTCAGGAGTACGTGTGCAGGTTTTTTTTTTTTTTTTTTTGACAGGGTCTCGCTGTATTGCATGGAGTGCTGTTGCTTAAGGAGAAAAGGGTTAATCCATTGAAAATACATAAAAACCATTAACATGTTTTTATATTATTTGATTTAATTAAAGGGAGAAATAGACACTTCTATATTCATAGTAGAAAATTTTTACACCACTCTCTCAGCAACTGATAGAACACAGGGAAAAATTAGCAAAGTCATGCATTATCTGAACAATACCACCATTCCACTGACTGCATTGATATTTATAGAACACATCATAAGACAACTGCAAAATACACATTTTTTTCAAGTACATATGATACATTCATAAAAATGAACCATATGCTAGGCCATAAAACAAATATTGATGTGTTTAAGCACATTTAAATACTTCAGAGTGTATTTCTCACCACAAGGGGATTAAATTGGCAATCTATAAAATAAGCTATTTAGGATATTTTCAAATATGTGGAGATAAAGCAACATCATTCGGGATTGTGTTTGTATCAAAGAATAAATAATGAGAATAATTGGAAAGCATTTCTGCATATCGAATTTTGTGGAGCACAACAAAACAATGACTTCGAAAGAAATTTGTATCCAAATACTTATTGTAGAAAAGAAGAAATGTTTAAATCTATGACTTAAAATTATGCTCTAAGAACCTTAGAAAAGGGAACAATGTAAGCCCAAGTATGCAGAATAAGTGAAAAAGAAGTTATCACTACAGATCCAAGAAACATTAAACTAATATAAAAATGTTGTCAACAGGTATATGCCAAAACATTTCACAACTTACATAAAATAAAAGAATTCTCTCAAAAATTTAACTTACCAAAATTGGCACAAGAATTAGCAGAAAATATAAGTATTTCTGTATCTCTTAAAGAAAGTAAGTGTGTTATTAAATGAAGAATGGCTTCTGCTTAAGATATAGAAATACGTAAAGAAAATCATCCCACATGAAACAAATACACAGCAAAACACACGGCAGACTGCAAATATTCAGTTTCTTGAACTCATTGGAAAGCTAAGGTCACAAATCAGCCACCTACCTAGAAATATAAGAAAAGACAGGAACCTCCAAAAAATAAAGACCATGAGTGCTTGCTTACCTGAAGCAGATTACCCCCAGAATATGATTTAAAAGATTTCAGGTAAAGTCTGTAGAGAATTGCTAAGAGCAAGCATAAACTAGAGAAACAATATAAATGTCTGGGGTCACAGACAAAAGAGAAGTTCACAGCAACTTCTAATGTCTTCTCCATAGACTCAGCAGGTGCTTACAAAAAAGATTAGAGTATTTCATGATGTAAGTCGGCTGAGGGGAACAGTAGCCACTGTGAGAAAGAACGAAAGCTTGCAAGAATCTTTCTCTTTTATGGAAAAGAAAGTCTTAATTTCTTAATTAAGAAACTGAGGGAAGAACAACAGTTGTTTGTACGGCACTGGTGAATGAACAATCTAAAAAAATGCAAAACAAAATATTAAAGCTAGGAGAACGAGGAGAAGGGAGCACATTAAAAAAGAAAAACAAAGAACATCCTCTACCTTTGTCAACAGAGAAGGCATACATGCCTCCTGCCTGTAGAAAGATGACAGAATAACTGCAGCAAACTTCTCATCAAAAAATATGCAAGCCAGGACAGGTGTGGTGGTTCACGCCTGTAATCCCAGCACTTTGGGAGGCCAAGGTGGGCAGATCACTTGAGCCAGGAGTTTAGTTCGAAACTAGCCTGGGCAACATAATGAGACCCCTATCTCTACAAAACATACGAAAATTAACTGGACATGGTGGCAGGCACCTGTGGTCCCAGCCACTCAGGAGGCTGAGGTGGGAGGATCACTTGAGCCCCGGAGGCAGAGGATGGGGTGAGCCGAGATCATACCACTGCACTGCAGCCTGAGCTTCAGAGTGAGACCCTGTCTGAAAAAAAAATCGAGGCAAAATAAAATAGAGTAACATCTTTACAATGTTCCAGTGGAGCCATTTGGCCCTGGGTTTTACTATGTGGGATTTTTGTTAGTGTTATTACTGTCAATTCATGCACTTTATTTGTTATAGGTCCATTTTAGACTTTCTATTTCTTCTTGAATTAGGTTTGATATGTATGCATTTCTAGGCATTTATTCATCTAGGTTATCAAAATTGTTGCCATAAAATTGTGTATAGTATTCCTTAATAATATTAAAAAATACTTTTGTAAGATCTTTTGTAAAACTTCTCTTTCACTCATGATTTTAGTAATATGAGTATTCTCTTTTTTTCTTAGTCAGTCTAGTTAGAGGCTTGCCAATTTTGTTGATCATTTCAAAAAATAAATTTTTGTTGTGTTGATTTATTCTATTGTTTTCTTAGTCTCTATTTCATTTATTTCCGTGCTAATATTTATTATTTTCTTCCTTGTGCTTGCTTTGGGTTTAGTTGGCTCTTCCTTAATTTTCTTGAGATGGAAGATAATTTACTGATTTTAAATCTATCTTCTTTATAAATACAGGCATTTACAACCATACATTTTCCTGTAAGCATTGTTTTAGCTGCATCTCACAGTTTTGGTAAGTTGCTGTTGTGTTGTATATTTTAAAGTGTTTGGGGGCTCCCTTTAAAATATTTTCTACATTCCCTTATGTTTTCTGCTTTGACCCATCATTTATTCACATTTATGCTGTTTAATTTCCACATAGTTGTGACTTTCCCAAATTTCTTTCTATTATCCCATTTTGTTCAGAGAACATACTTTGTATGATTCCTATCCTTTTAAATGTATTGAGGAGCTTGTATTTAAATCTAACATACAGTCTATTCTAAAGAATATTTCATGTGAACAGAAGAAGAATGTGTATTTTGCTGTAATTGGTGCAGTGTTCCACGCTTTGAGGTCATTGTGTTACAGTGCTATTCAAATCTTGTATTTCCTTGCTAATCTTTTTTCTAGTTGTTTTGTCTATTATTAAAAGTGGTATATTAAAGTCTCCTGCTATTACTGTTGACTTCTCTATTTCTCCCTTCAATTCTGTCAATTTTCTCTTCATGTATTTTGGCACTCTGTTGTTAGGTGCATGTTTTTATACTTGTTATATTATCGTGATAGATTAACTTGCTAACATTACAAAATGCCCTTCTTCATCTTTAGTACCAATTTTGTCTTAAAGTTTGTTTTGTACACTATTGGTATAGCCACTACAGCTCTCTTTTGGTTATTGTTTGTATGGCAAATCTCTTTCCATCCTTTTACTTTCAGTCTCTTTGTTTCCATGAATCTAAAGTGTAAAGAAAGTGTTCCTGGACCAAACGGAGAGTTGGGCTGCTATTTCTCACAGCCCAATAACAAGATGCAAATAAACTCGGGAGGAAGAGAGTTTTTATTTCTGCAACCAGTTATAGGGAGAAGTCCTGGAAATTATCGCCAGACCAACTTAAAATTACAAAGTTTTCCAGAGCTTATATACCTTCCAAGCTATATGTTTATGTGTAAGTGTGCATTCATCTAAAGACATAAGTTATTAACTTCTTTTAATCTATAACTAAGGTCTGAGTCCCGAAGACCTTCCTCTGGAGCCTCAGTAAATGTACTTAATCTAAATGGGTCCAGGTGCTGGGGTTATTACCCTCACCTTGTCTCCTGCTAAATCACTGATATTTGGGGAGTTTCTTCAGACCTCCTATAAACTTGTTTAATCCTAAACGGGTCCTGTTAAGAACTCCTTCATTAGTTTGTCATGCTTTAAGGCCCAGGAAAGGCCTAAGCAAAACTCTTAGTGGG
Organism: Homo sapiens; assembly: GCF_000001405.40. Taxonomy (NCBI): domain Eukaryota; kingdom Metazoa; phylum Chordata; class Mammalia; order Primates; family Hominidae; genus Homo; species Homo sapiens. The sequence continues at coordinate 5,417,090 of NW_018654717.1, forward strand.
CTTTTGTTACATTCAAGCCTTTATATCAGGGCACTGGCTTTTTAAGCTTTTAATATTTAACTTAACCCCTCAGTGGGTACTAAAGCAGTTGTTATGGAGTCTTGCGTTAGTGAGACTTGGCCTGCCATGAAAGGGAACAATTTGTGACTAGGTGAGCACCTGTGGGAGGTGTCCTCTGCAGCTGCCATCTGGATGCTACATGAGGTCATTAGTGAGGTAATATCAGGGCACAGCTACTGGTCTACCACTTTGTATGACTCTGAGACACTCACATGAATCTTTCATTAAAAGAAACTTCAACTAGGTTCCAGAGCATTTTTTTAAGATAAAGCAATGCAGTATTTGGAATGAGTAAGTAGTATTCCAGTTTCATGGTGTTCTGTAAGCTAGCAGCTGCATTTGCACTGTGGAGACCTGGGGAGGAAGACCATCTGCCAGCAGAAAATTACTGTGAACTGGACTCTTAAGACCAAATACCCCACTTCCCACTTCCCTGGGGTAATTCCTGTGTAAATGAAGGAAACACTCTAGGCTTCTTGAGGGCTGTGTTTCAAATCTCTTTTGGAAAACAGTGGATCATATGTAAATAGAGTGAATCTAAAAATTGAACCAATCAAGCATTAAAAGGGTTCCCCCAATGGATAGTTCTATAGAAAGAATTTAATATGTACAGATAAAGTGTTGGAAAAGATGACAATGCAAAGCGGGAGCAATGAGGCAACCCTACTGATAGTCACAGCAGAAATCTCCCACTGCCCTAAGGTTTGAGGAAAAATGGAAGGATTTGTGTGAGCCTGGGAGCAGCACTGGCTGGCAGAAGCTAAACTTGCGGTGGGACTGCCAGGTGAGTGCAGAAGACAGAAAAGCAGCGGCCTTGCTGAGCATGAAAAGCCACTGCTGGAAAAGAGAGGGAGTCGGGGAGAAATTCACATTGTCCTTCCTTCTTCAATCTCCCATTCTCCTAGGAGACACATTGACCAAAACTAGCCAGAAGTCAGGAAGCCTGGAAAATGTAGTTTGCAACTAATAGTTCCCATTTTACTCAGCAAAGCAGAAAAAAACAAGGAACAGATTTGAGCACAAAGAGACAAATAATAGGCCCAAATGTTAAACAAAACATTGTTTAATCTCATACGTTAAAACTAAGTAACCAAGTTCAAGTCACTGGTCATAGGGCTGGTAATTTTGGCCTTTATTTTGTGAAGCTGGATTTTATTTCACAAGGCAAAATTAGACAGTCAACCATTTATGCATATTCTGTGTTGAACATTTTAAGTTAATCTCTAATCATTTTCTTTCACAGGTAAATACACCATAAGTACTAGAATCAATGAATGACAATATTTAGACAAACCAAGAAATAATGTGAATATAAAAATAATGTATTATATTTGATAGAATTATTATTCCATTAACATAGTTAGTACATATAGATGGATACATAAAACATGACAGCAATGTGCACAGCAGTTACTGGATCCTAGCTATGGCTCTGAAGAATTAACAGCCTCTTGAGCCTCAATATTTTCAAATGTAAATGGCAGTAATAAAACCTACCTCATAAGGTAATCATGAGTCATATGAGAGAAGTATGGAAAATACTTCATAAATTGTAAGGTACTCTACATATACATAGTAGTGGTATCTGATTGAGCAGATACTAGGTACACACTCATGTCTTGATGTTTTTTAAAGGTCATCTCGCCCAGCATGGTGGCTCATGCCTATAATCCCAGCACTTTTGGAGGCCAAGGCGAGCAGATCACCTGAGGTCAGGAGATCGAGACCAGCCTTGCCAACATGGTGAAACCTCATCTCTAGTAAAAATACAAAAATTAGCCAGGCATGGCGGTATGCGCCTGTAGTCCCAGCTACTTGGGAGGCTGAAGCAGGAGAATTGCTTGAACCCGGGAGGTGGAGGTTGCAGTGAGCCAAGATCGAGCCACTGCACTCCAGCCTGGGCGACAGAGTGAGACTCCTTCTCAAAAAAAAAAAAAAAGAAAAAAAGTCATCTTTAAAAAATAAGCAATAAAACGTAACAAAGGGAGAAAGAAATGAGAATGATTCTGAGACTCACTCACTGTGTGATTTGGATAAGCCACATAACTTCTCTTGAACTTCTTTGAATATCCAGGTCTGCTTCTAAGGCCAGAAGTGTGCTGGTCTGGTTTGTCAGATCCTCTGTCTGCAGCAGAGAAAGTTCAGCCTGCAATTTCCATCGGGCTTCTCATTCTCCAAGCACTCCTTCCTGCATTTTCCCCGACCAAGCTTGCACGACTCACAGACAGCAAACTCACCTGTGCCAAGAAAGAGCTGCTGAGGGAGCTTTCCAGGAAATGTCTAGAAATGGGGAACATGTCAAAGACCACCAAAAAAAAAGGGACAGTTCGTACGTATGATTACAAAGAATATTTTCAAGAATCAGCCCAGATTTTTCAAAAATAGTTTCTGCTTTTTGCAGTAGGGAGTTGGGGAGAGTTAATTTTTATGCAACAGATCATCGCAATTCCTACTCTCCAAGTGTTTATAATCTGGCAGGGATCAAAAGTAAACCACAGACAGACAAAGAGACATACATATTACAGAACTATAAAAATACATACCTGATATGACTGTGAAGTTTACTAGACAAAAAATGGGAGGGGTATATTGTGGTTTTTTAAAGATCCTTGAAGATCAACTCTAGTTTGGGCCTAGTAGCCGGCAGGTTAAGGTCCATATTCTCATTTGTCCAGTGGCCATTCTAGAAGCACCTGACTACATTTTTTAAATCAGTTTAGGGATCAAATGGAATATTATATGTAAATATTTTCATTATAATAATACCTACCACATAGGACTGTTTTGAGGATTACATGACAAAGTCCATGTAAAGTTTTTAGCAGGATGCCTGGTACAGAGCAAACACTCAAGGACTAGTAGCAACCTTCATATTTCTCACTTTGAAATTCTGTCTAAAACCATTTCAACTTTGTCTACAATATTTCTTTTAGTTTTGTTTACAATGTCCTTTCTTTCTGTATAAGATGACTTCAAAGAAAAAGAAAAGATCTGGGGGCTATTCGTTATGAATAGCTTTTCTGCAATGGTGCTGAGTTTTCACTGAGGCAACCTCACTCTTTAATTTGAGCTTCCTTCAACTAACCTCATGCATTTGTGACATATATTATTACCAGACTTAGCAGCAGAGCTTGCAAGAGATGGGCAGGCGTGTTCACAGAGCAGTGCTAATTGGCTGGTACAAGAATAAATCTAAGAACTTGGTTTAGTGAGCACCAACAGCTAATGGGAAAAGCCACTGAGTCCAAATCTCTATGGCCAAATTACAGTCCAGTCACAAAGATATTTTTCTGTGAAATCAAAAATATCCAAATATTATACTTGGAACAAGAGAAAGAGAAGGAGATAAGTTAGTGAACTGATTTTTCAGACAATTCTATTTCTGCCACTATCTCTGTCCCCTCTTTGCCTCCAGACATCAGAGAGAGCTAACAGCGCCAGAGCTCCTAAGAGAAAAAATAATTATATACAAGAGATTTAACTTACCTGATGGAAATGGTTGGGAAAAATCAAGTCCTGCCTGGCACCCTAAATTCAAAACAAAATACATTTTGAAAATTAAAATCAACACAGGAATTAACACTGTATAAAACACTCCCAACTTCACATGTGACATAGCATAACAGGAGACAGTAGATCACAGAGTTGCAATCTTTATTCTGTTTCTCAAGGCCAGCATTCCAGGTAACCAGCAAAAACAAATTACAAAAAAAAAAAAATACACTATATGCTGTTTGCTCTTAGTAAATGTCACTGTAGGTCTAAGAAATTCCCATGACAGGTGCCATGAGAGCTTGACCATTAAGGTCAAACATGGAAGAATCAACAGGCTTTATAATCTGCCCAATCAAAATCCCATCCATTTTTACTTACCTGATGGCAGTTGAACCAAAATGAAGAACATAGCAAATAGAAAATAAAATGTCTTCCTGATCAGGGCCATCTTTTAGGGAAGACTCTTCGGAATAGAGATTGGGATTTCCTTGAGAAGACCCAAATGAGAGGCTCATTTTTATTTAAAAGTAATGGGGAGATGCTCTTGATCCGTGAAGTGAATCAATAAAACACAATTATATGCTCCATTTCCCAGGATAAAGGGATGATATCATGGATAATAACCCTTGGCATCCAGAAAGCCTTTTATTTTGGGGAGTCTAACTGGTGTAGTGGAAAGAACACCAGGCTAGAGGTTGAAAGAGCAGGGGCCATGTGAGTTTCCACCATACTAATGCAGGGGCCAGAAGATAGTGACCCCTTTCATCTCTTCCAGCTTCTGTTTTCTGGGAGAAAATAAGAACCCACTTGCAAATTCTGCCTGCCTCTAAAGGTGTTGTAAGAATCTAGTATGATTATAATGCAAAAGTGTTTTGAATATGTGGAATGCTTGGAAGGAGGCCTGGTACCATGTAAGAACTCAATAAATGTGGACTCTCACTTTTCTAGCTTTCATTTTTATTCTCTACAAGTATCACAGGGAGAAAAGGAGGGGTAGCAATCATTTTGTCAAGTTAGCTCTGAGTCCCCTTTCCTGTAAGATATCACCTCACGCACCAAAGCCATAATTACTGCATATTTTAAATTCATTAAGGACATGAATATTGGCCCAGATGGGTGGCTTATGTCTATTATCGTAGCTTTTGGGAGCCTAAGGCAGGTAGATTGCTTGAGCCCAGGTGTCTAGGGCAAGGCATGATGGTTACCAGCCCCTTGCTGCGCCAACAGTGCCATGGTACAGGTGAGCAGCATGGCAGGACCAAGCACGAAAAGCGTGCAGCATACAGCAAGATTCACATTTTTTAACAAATATATGCTTAGGTCAAGCCCTTTGCCAAGTTTACAAAGCTCAAAAAGACTGAATCTGGAATTCAGATTCCACCTCACTACGGTTCCTCAGCTCTTAACTGAAGCATTGAGATATTGTATAATTACTCCCATTTTACATATGAGTAAACCAAAGCTGTTCAGGAACACAGCCAGGATTAGAAACCAAACTACTGGACTCCAGATTTTTTTATTTTTTCTGTGTCTGCCCTACTCTGTCCTCCCTTCATCCCCACTTTCCTTCTTCAAAACTTTCCAGAATCAGAAATATGATGAGCTGTAGACTGAGTGACACCCACTGAGGTTGGGTGGGCTCTGTGCAGCAGAGCATGGAAATCCTCTCGTTTCTGCTAAGCCTCACTGATCAAGATGTTACTTGGTCTGGAGAAATGTATAAATGTGGGTGTTTGCGGCTCTTTCCTCATGGACACGGTGCTGATCTCTCAAGACCCACCCAGTCATGAGGACTTTCCTCTTTCTCTTTGCCGTGCTCTTCTTTCTGACCCCAGGTAAAATGGGCATCTTTACAGGGAAGGTGATCGGAGGTGGTGTCCCACAGACAGGGTCCCCTTCAGTGAATGCCTGGGCGTGATCAACCCATCTACTACAAGAGGTGATATCCCCCAACGCCTCTTCTGTAATTCCTTTGCATTTTACATTGTTATCTAGGAGGGGCTGTCACAGGTTTGAAAGAATAAAAGAAGGCCAGGAAAGATGCCTTTTGGCATCCCATCTCATGCTCACTAACAAAAACAAAAATTGAGAAAAAATTAAAAACAAGGATAGCAGTCTATGAACCTTTTAAAATGTAGTTATGGTAGAGATTGAGACAGGTAAGGAGAAGGGACAGGTAAGGATCTGAGCTTAGAGACACCTATGCACTCATGCCAGTCATGGCAACAGGTAAAGCAGCGTAACTTGGACTGCCATTTCTTGATCACATATCATCAAGCCAAGTACTGTGATGAGAGCTTCACATAAAATGCATCTAGTCTTCCAGTGCCAGCGCCTTTACGGAAAACTCTGTCTTACCCCTAATTTAATGGAAGTTAGAGAAAATCTTTTTGGGTTTGAAGGTCCATTTTACAAATTTTATTACAGATGCAGAAATTGTGCCTCAGATGGGCTCAGTGCTTCTCAGAGTCTTATAGATAACCAAAACAAAGCCAGGGTAGGAGCCCAACTGTCTTGCCACAGTAAGAGGCATTAAAGACACCCTTCCCATATCAAAACTCTCTTCATTTTCTCCTGCTCCTGGGAATCTCCAGTGGCTCCAATTGTATCCTCTTCAAAATTAAGGCTTAAGACCAGGCTCATGTGAGCCTCCAGAGAGCTGAAGAAAGGGATTCTCAGAGCCCACAGTAACTCCCAATTTGTGCCAGATACCAGTGATATACGATCCCAGGTATGATGCTCAACTTTTCACATCAGCTGCTCATAGCTCTGGTCTGTTTTGTGACAAGCCTGTGAGAGTAGATTCTGTGTCAAAACATGAGGATCTAGGACCCACAGTGACCTATGCCGTATTCAGGCCACTGGTTTTGATATGCACGTTCGAAACTGGCCAGAGGTATCTTTTTCAGATCACTCATACTTATTATATAATAAGTCAAAAAAAAGATGTTATATACTATAAAATTATCTGTTAGATAATACTATAATTATAAAAGTATAATTAGTTACTATAATTATTATGTAATTACAGATACTTATCTATAATTACATAATGCTTGTTATATAATTATTAGATAATCTAATAATTACCTATTAGATATACTAGAGTATAATACTATAATACAATAGTATTAGAGAAAATCTTTTTGGTTTAGTATAGTATTATAGTATAGCATAGTATATACTATAATTATTTACTGATGTTACAGTATGGTATTGTACTAGTATTATATACTATATAGTATTGTACTAGTATATATTTTATATATATATATACATATTTTTTTTTTTTTTTTTTGAGATAGAGTCTCACTCTGTTCCCCGGGCTGGAGTGCAGTTTCACAATCTCAGCTCACTGCAACCTCTGCCACCGGGGTTCATGCGATTCTCCTGCCTCAGCCTCCTGAGTAGCTGGGATTACAGGCATGTGCCACCTTGCCTGGCTAATTTTTTGTATTTTTAGTAGAGACGGGGTTTCACCGTGTTGGTCAGCCTGGTCTCGAACTCCTGACCTCGTGATCCACCCTCCTCAGCCTCCCAAAGTGCTGGGATTATAGGTGTGAGACACTGCACCTGGCCAGATACTATATTATACTAGTATATTATTACTAGTAGTATTATATACTAGTATGTAATATAGTATATATACTAGTATAATACTCTAGTATATAGCATAGTATACATACTAGTATAATACTCTAGTATATAGCATAGTATACATACTAGTATAATACTCTAGTATATAGCATAGTATACATACTAGTATAATACTCTAGTATATAGTATAGTGTATATACTAGTATAATACACAAGTATATAGTATAGTGTATATACTAGTATAATACACTAGTATATAGTATAGTGTATATACTAGTACATACACTAGTATACAGTATAGTGTATATACTAGTATAATACTCTAGCATATAGTATAGTGTATTATACTAGTATAATACACTAGTATATAGTATAGTGTATATACTAGTATAATACACTAGTATATAGTATAGTGTATATACTAGTATAATACACTAATATATAGTATAGTATATATACTATTATAATACTCTAGTATATAGTATATATACTAGTATAATACTCTAGTATATAGTATAGTATATATACTGGTATGATAATATAGTATATATACTATATTATTACTAGTAGTATTATATACTAGTACATAGTATAGTGTACATACTAGTATAATACACTAGTATATAGTATAGTATACTAGTATAATACACTGGTATATAGTATATATACTACTATAACACACTAGTATATAGTATAGTATATATACTAGTATAATACTATAGTATACACTATTATACCAGTATATACTATAATACTAGTATTTTTATAGTATATACTAATCTATACTATGATACTATACTAAACCAAAAAGATTTTATCTGAATACCACACTATAGTCTATAGTATAGTATTATATTAGTATCTGCCTTACAGTAGGGCAGAGAGAACATAGACCCCTGCCAGTGAGAGCCAGAGTTCATCGAGCTTTGAAATAGTGGAGTATTTTCACTTATGAACTGATGTGCTGATCCTGGATAATCATTAGTGCATATGCTGGCACTAATCCACCTGGCTGTAAGTTTTATGTAGATTTGAATTAGGCACCTTTATATGTTGACATTAAATGTATATACATTATAGTATAGACATTAAATGCAATCTCTGTACATCTGATGCCTTCATTATATATACACAAATTGGGCAGCTCTAAAATGTTGATCCTGATAAGACGTGCTGTCTGTCCTTAACTTGAAGCAGGCTGCTCTTGGGACTGCTACTGATAAAGCCCTAAGGTGGGAACTGGAATTCTCCACAAAATGAACTGAGAAAATCTTAGAAAAACATTCCCAACATGCTGCACCCTCCTTCTCTAAAGCACAAGTTTTCCGCAGTCGTTGCTTTGGTGAATATGGAGGAGAAATCAGGCTGAGCCTTCCAAGCAAGTTTCTATCTACCACAGTAAACTCATTCTCTTTTTATATCTTTATCCCTTCCTTTGCTCTGGTCTGGAGCTATCTCCTCAGTCTCAGCTCTTGCTCTACTCTCACCAAGTAGCAGCCTCTGAGAGTGCACTAGGAAAATTAGCAGCCTCTGGGAGTGTTTATGGGAACAAGTTGATAATTATCCCCAACAGATTTCGATTAAAGAACCATAGCTTAGGGACGTTTCCCAAAGCTCCTACACAGCTTGGTCTCAAATGCTGGAAGACAAATGTATTCTTTCCGGTATTTCACCCTGTGTGACTATGAGACTGAAATATCAGATAAAAATCAGGTCCCCTACCATCTCATCTACCGGTAGGATATGGCACTATGACAGCTTGTGAAAAAATCTTCACCAAGTAGTCATACAACCGTATCTGGTAAACATACATGTCTGAAAAGGGAATTAATCCAAATGGCTCCTTCCCTCGTGTAGCCAAGAATGCATTTTTTGATGAGAAATGCAACAAACTTAAAGGGACATGCAAGAACAATTGCGGGAAAAATGAAGAACTTATTGCTCTCTGCCAGAAGTCTCTGAAATGCTGTCGGACCATCCAGCCATGTGGGAGCATTATAGATTAATGCAGAAGATTTAGGTTTCCAGAGAAGCATACATAACCTAGCTTCTTTTTACTCTTGCCTCTGCTGTAGGCAGACACTTTAATAAAAATAAATGACTGTCTTTGCTCAGTTTGTCAAGTGTTTCATTTAGAAAGGAGAACAACACTGCCTGACCTTGATGCTCCCTCCATCCCGGTTTATTTTTCTATCATTCTGGAGTAGATAAATTGTCCCAAAGCCATCTGAAATTTTTCTTAAAAGAGGACTAGAAGAGACTAGAAATCAACAAATCTCTAGCTTGTGCTCAGTCTAGTAAGTTGGCGCTTACTAACCTATTGACATGAAAGAAGTAAACAAAAGAAAATAAAGAAAAGAGAGAGGGAGGTGGAAAGAAGATGAATAGGTAGAGAAATGAGCACACTTTTTTTTAATACAAAACAAAATTTTATTCTTTTTTTTCTTTTTCTTTTTATTATACTTTAAGTTCTAGGGTACATGTGCACAATGTGCAGGTTTGTTACATATGTACACATGTGCCATGTTGGTGTGCTGCACCCATTAACTCATCATTTACATTAGGTATATCTCCTAATGCTATCCCTCCCCCCTCCCCCCTCCCCCCTCCCCCCACCCCACAACAGGCCCCGGTGTGTGATGTTCCCCTTCCTGTGTCCAAGTGTTCTCATTGTTCAATTCCCACCTATGAGTGAGAACATGTGGTGTTTGGTTTTTTGTCCTTGAAACTGGAAACCATCATTCTCATCAAACTATCGCAAGAGCACACTTTTTAAAAATTTTTACCATCATGCCATATGCCCACATAAATGAGCATACATTTACATGAATAGCTACATGAACGACAAATTGATGGATAGGCGGTCCATTTATCAAAGACTTTTATGTGTCACACACACACCTGTCTAAATTAATCATCATGACCCCATGTCTTTAATTGGGGCTAGTTAAATATTTTCTATAGACTTGTTCTCTACACGTAAGTCTGAGATAAAATTTGCTGACAGGCAAGGGAGTCATAATTACCTCTATGAGTCTCAGTAACTCTAGTGATTTAGACCCTCTTCCCCAAATCACTGCCTACGATTTTCCTAGGAACTGGCTGACAGTTTACCTTCTGATTCTAAGCCTCAAAATTACTGTTATGGTGGGAATGTGTTCTTCCAAAATTAATGCTGAAGCCTAATCCCCACTCTGGTGATTAACAGATGAGGCCTTTGAGGAGGTGATTAAGCCTCAAGGGCCCTGCCCTCATGAATGGAATTAGCACCCTTATAAAAGAGGTTGAAAGAAACTGCCTTGCTCCTTCCACCATGGGAGGACACAGCGTTTGTCTCTTCTGCCATGTGAAGGCTGAGCAACAAGGTGCTATCTTGAAAGCACAAACTGGGTCCTCAGGATATAGTAAATCTTTTGAGGTCTTCCAGCCCCTAAAACTGTAAGTAATAAATTTCTATTGTTTATAAATCACCCAGCATAAGGTATTTTATTATAGCAGCATGAATGGACTGAGACAATTACTTAGTTTAAGTAAGAATTTCCTATCATGTTTCCAGTGCTCAAGAGTTAGTTTTGGTTTCCTGCTGGCTCAGAAATCTTGCCTTACCTCCCCTTTAATTTTTCAAAGTCGATAGATTTAATTCTATTAGAATCAATAACCCTTTCATGAAAAGGATGTTTTAGTTACACTTTCTAGTTTGAGGTAATTGTAGATTCCTCTACAGTTCCAAAAATAATAATAATAATGCAGAGAGATACCCAGATCTTTTACTCTATTTTCCTCAATAGTAACATCTTTGTAAAACCATAGTGCAATATCACAACCAGGTTATTGACACTGATGCATAACATTTCCATTATCAGGAGGACTTCTCATGTTACCCTTTCAGAGCCACTCTCTCTTCCCTCACACCTCCACCTCCGTCTTAACCCCTGTATAAGTGATTTATTCTCCATTTCTACAATTTTGTCCTTTTAGGAATGCCATATAAATAGAATGTATATATCCTTATTAGACTGGCTTTTTTCAGTCAGCATAACTTTCTGGGGATTCATCCAGGTTGTTGCATTTATCAATAGCTCTTTCCTTCTTATTGTTGGGCAGTATTCCAGGATACGGATGAACCACAGTTTGTTTAATCACTCCCTCATCGTAGGCCATCTCTCTCTCTCTCTCTCTCTCTCTCTCCCTCCCTCCCTCTTTTCCCCACTTCATTGCCTCCTCTTCTCCTCTCTACCTCTCCTTCTCTTTCTCTTTTGCATAGGGATATCTAATTGTTCAAGCACCATTTGTTGAGAAGACTATTCTTCCTCCATTATATTACCTTTGCTTCTTTGATAGAGAGGAGTTGCTTTGATCTTTTCTGAGCTATCCATTCTGTTCTGTTTCTCTGTTTGATCTATTTATTTATTGCTTCACCACTCCCACACTGCCTTCATCATTGCAGTTTTTTAGTGAGTCTTGATATAAGGTAGTGTAAGTTCACTGTATTAACCCATTTTCACATTGTTATAAATAAATATCCGAGATGGGGTAATTTATGAAGAAAAAGAGGTTTAATGGACTTACAGTTCCACACAGTTGGGGAGGTCTCACCATCATGACTCAAGGCAAAGGAGGAGCAAGGTATGTCTTACATGGTGACAGGAAAGACAGCGTGTGCAGGGGAACTGACCTTTATAAAACCATCAGATCTTGTGAGACTTACTCATTTTCATGAGAAAAGCACAGAAAAGAAACACCTCATGATTCATTTACTTCTCACCATGTCCCTCCCATGACTCATGGGGATTATGGGAGCAAGAACCCAAGATGAGATTTAGATGGGGACAGAAACCCTATCATCCACCAACCTTGTTCTTTCCGGTATTGTATTGACGATCCTAGGTCTTTTGAATCAGTATGGAAATGTCAACAACATATTTTGCTAAAAGTTTGACTGGGATTATATTTAATCTATAGGTCAAGTTGTAAATATTGACATCTTAACGTTAAATTCTCTATTATATGAACACAGAATATTTCTCTTGTTAAAATAATTAAATGAGAGGCCATTAGACTGCGGGAGCTTCAGTGCACTCGGTTTCTACATAAGCAAACTAAAACCCAACTCGGTTTGAATGGTAAAAGAAAACTTTAACCAATCAGAAACCACCAACTAACCTCTAACAAGGGAATGGAATGATTCGAATAAGGCTTATACTCCACCTTAACCAATTAGATGTTTAATTTGCCTTTCTTCCATTTTCACCCTATAAAAGCCTTTTCCTCGTGCCTCTTTGCGTGAGCCCCAAAAGACTTGTGTTTTGGAGCCTGCCCGATTCTTAAATTGATATCTGCTCAAAAGAAAACTCTAAGATTTTTATGTGCCTAAGTTTATTTTTTAATACTTCTGTTGTCAGAAGAGGGACCCAAAGAAGCCCTGATAATGGTTCCTGGGACAATGAGTAGCCAGATGTAGTTACCAGCTGAGCCGGTTTTACTCACCGCTTTCTCTCTGTGTCTGGATCCAGCAGAAACTGGACTGGGTCCAACAGAAGGTCTTAAGAAGGCAGGGTTTAGGGAAGACAAAGAATCATGAGTTCATCTGTATCCAGGTAGTCTGGAACCTCTCCATCTGGGACTCTAGCTACGTTCATGTATAAAAATTATGGACCCAGAACCTGTGTTTTTCTAAATAAATGTGTAAACTTTACTAAAGACAACTTAGAATTACACTGGTCACAGTGAAGAAATTTTAACCTAAACAGTTATTCATCTATAAGCTACATTGAAAGAGAAGTGATCTTAAATGCCTCAAAAAAATGAGATATGTTTTTAATTGGCATGCAGAAGCTTCTAAAAGACTAAGCAAATCAAAACTTGCCTTTCTTAAAGACTCTTTACAAAAGGCAAATTAAAAGCTTAAGCACTTAATCAGTGATGATAAAAAATTGCACATTGACTCACTCAACTCTCAATGCTCCTTCTTTTCCTCCTGTCTCTCTTCTTCCTCTGCCTAATTACTCTGATTCCACTACCCTCTTCACTCAGCTGCCTTTCTACTCTGAAGATGAGAAGCAAGTTAGGAAAATGCCTTCTAAAGTTAGTTCCTCAGATCAACTGTGTCTGCCTTCTTTAATTACCTTTATGTCTTGGTCAAAATCCGAACTGACAGAAATAGTGAAAGACTTCCCTAACCCAAAGGAAAACCCCCAGGAATTTGCTGAGGAATTTAGAATCCTCATTTAAACATACAATCCATGACTTCCTGATCTTTGTCAATTTATCCACATGATACTGGGACCTGGTCAAGCCTGCAAATGGAGGCGATGGTTGAATGGGACTAACCTGAGGATGATATTAAGGATCTTATGTCTCAGACAGCTGCAAGGGATGAACAAAAAAGAGGCAGGGGAAAAGGAAGCATTCTATAATCTTATAAGTAAATCTCATCTTTACCTGAGCCTGTGTGTCCCTGCACTGTGACTGTCACTAGAACTTTTTTTTTTTTAAATCTCTGTCACCAGGCTGGAGTACAGCGGCATGATCTTGGCTCACTTCAACCTCCTCCTCCCAGGTTCAGTGACTCTTCTGCCTCAGCCTCCCAAGTAGCTGGGACTACAGGTGTGTACCACCACACCTGGCTAATTTTTGTACTTTTTAAGTGGAGATGTGGTTTCACCATATTGGGCAGGCTGGTCTTGAACTTCTGACCTGGTGATCTGCCCACCTTGGCCTCCCAGAGTGCTGGGGTTACAAGCATGAGCCACCGTGCCCGGCTCTCAAGAAATTCTTAGCTACCCCCATCCCTCAAGTGAGACAGGAAGGTCAGATGGGGCTGGAATAGGGAAACGTCTTCCCCTCCAGGTGGGATATGGCTCGAGTAAAATCGTTTTTCCTGCAGAGGAGGAGGCTTTGGTTATGGGGAATCCTCTGGACATGTTTCACAATATCACTCTTCCCTTCTCCTTTCAGGGCAATGAGGGCTTCCATTCTGGCTCTTCACCATGATAACCTTGGGGGCTTCCTGGATTTAAAACCCAGGAAAGCAGGGGTTGAGAAGGGAGAGCCTTTGACCATGGTCTCTAGCAGTTTTTCACTCTCCTAAATGTCCACGTTCAGCCTCCAGCAAGTTGTCGAAGTCACCGTAAGTGTTCCTGCTAGTTTATGGTTTCAGAGCTTCCATTCCAGGTTAGCTCATCTCAGCTGTGACTCCAGATTTCCACGCAATGGGTTTGCCCGGAGCCCTCAGTTCCCTAATGGGTCCAAGAAAAGTCATTGATTTTTCCATTTATTTGGCTTTTTTTTTCTTTCTTTAAGGAGTAAAGTAGTTACTTTCAGTCTTTTTACTTGTAGCGACCGAAACCAGAACTCTGAAATACTTCATAAGGACTCAGCAAATAAAGCTTTTATTATTTTTTTCTCCTAAGAAGATATAGGATTTCTTTTGAAGTTTGGTTATTCAGTCCCTGTATATGAATTACCTTTTTTTTTTGAAGAATTGCTGAATATTTATTATCATCAGAATTTTTCAGTTTTCTTCAGAATCCTGGTCACATAGATGACCTTGAATATTGGCTGATGTTTTTCCCTTGAAGCTCATCATCAAAAATTACTAAAGCCTGACATGTGGCAGGCTAGGAGGGTCCCATGGATCCTGCACATTTGTGCTTGCTGTGTGTCTGCTGTGAGGAGAGTATCCGACGGCCTCTACGTGCTGCACGTTTGTAACCTGCGGCAGGATTCCCATGGCTACCACTCTTGCCCTGGCTGCTTCCAGGCAGTGAATGAGCACAATGTGGACTAGAGCTGGGCCATGTCTGCTGGTGTAGGACAGTCTTTGCCCTGGGGTTCCCCACTGGCAATGCTGAAATTTTCTGCACTGTAGTCTGAGGCTCCCCCGACTCCAAACCTTTTCACAGGTGTTAATTGACGTCATGTTCTGAAGACTTTCCCTACTCAATCTTGCTCCCTCTCCCCATCATCTTTTTGTTTTGAATTTTTATTTTATTTTATTTTTTTCAGAGACAAGGTTTTGCTGTATTGCCTACTACACTGGAGTGCAGTAGTGCCATCATAGCTTACTGCAACCTCGAACTTCCGGGCTCAAGAGACCCCCCTGCCTCAGCCTCCCAAGTAGCTGGGACTACAGGGACACACCACCATCCCTGGCTAATTTTCTTTTTGTGTAGAGTCGGGGTCTCTCTATGCCGTCCATGATGGACTCAAACCCCTGAGCTCACATGATCCTCCTCCCTCGCTCAGCCTCCCCAAGTGCTGAGATTTACAGGTGTGAGCCACTGCGCCTGGCCCCCCTTTATCTTTCACAGGCATTTCCCAATAAATTTATTTCCTTTCTAATTCCTGTTGATAAATGCTTCATGGAGCACCCAAACTGGCATAGTTTATGATTTCTGATGTTCTATTCTATTCCGTTACTGTGAAAGGAGACCTGGTTTTCCATCACATTCTCCCCTAAGTGAGAACTCTGGGGAAGACACACTGACTGCTAGATTTTGCTTAGGATGTGCAAGCAACGTATGTCTGTCAGGCTTTGTCTAATCTGTGTTCTAGAATAAGGGGAGCTTATTCGAGAATGTCAACTTCCAAGATTGGACGTTTTTACTTTCTCTAAAATACTTCATTTTAGAGAAATGAAGTATTTTTTTTTTCTTAAAATAAAATTATCTGGTGTTTTCCCTAAGGGCAAATGCCAGGAGCATATGCTCTATATGTTTTGCCTCGGGTGGGGTTGGGGTTAAATCCAGGGAGCATATACCCCTGGTTGAGGGCCAGGCGTATGCTCTCTGGAAGGTTATGTTTTATTTGAAGCCATTGTTAGAAATACAGCATTCCCATGAATTGTCTCCTTTTAACCTCTCTTCTCATTCTTGTCCTCCTTTTCACCTAAGCCCTAAGTGAGCCTGATGCTCTGTGGTTACAATCCCACCCTTGGACAATGCCCGCCATCAAGTATTCCTTGTTGTCACTTGTCATCCTCATCCTATACTTTTTCTATCACAGAAATGTGCTGGGACTTTTCACGCATTTATGACCTCCCCACGCTCCATGCCATTCTTCTCCTTGACGTTGTATGTTTGTTTCAATGTTTACTTCAGAGAGGTCTTGGGGGCTATGGACTTCAATTCCATTAGCCACATCACAGTTTTCAACAAGAATCTCCTGACTGAAATGTACTGAAATGGAAGAGAAAGTCCTCTCACCAGAATTGAGGAATGTCAAGGCTGGAAGGTATCTTAGAGATCATCTAATCCAGTTCTTGCTTCAGAAACGATTCGGGGAAGCAAGTGAAGTGACTTGGACTTTACCTATGGTAATACTGTCTCCCCACCCTCAACACTGCCCAGCTGGCATTTCTGTAGCCCCAACACCTCCCCCACACTGTGCCTTGGTGAGTCTTCACCAAGGAACGCTGCATTTTGATAAGCCTCAGTAATCAAGAGCAGCCTCTGCCCATAAATACACCTGCCCTGCTCCTGCCTGGGGTGATTCCCTCCGACTTGCGTCTGCTTCTCGCCAGCAGCCCCAGCATTATGCAGAGACTTGTGCTGCTATTAGCCATTTCTCTTCTACTCTATCAAGATCTTCCAGGTAAAAAGGGACTCTCAGCTGGAAATATACACAGTTGCTGGGGATGACAGGGGGAGAAGAAAAACATTTGATTTAGAAAATAAATCCTGAAGGATGGAGTAACCTTCTTCAATCTCAGCCTTTTTTCTCTTTGCTTTCATTGGGTCCATTAGTAAAATGCAGTATGTGGCAATCCTTGTATGCACCTTACAGCCATGAGGCTTACTAGCTCAAGGAGGAAAAAAGAAACGTAGGGATCAGGAGTCCTAGATGTCCTTGGCACCCTGGCCACACACGGTAACAATTCCTCATGGAATCCTCAGCAGTGAGGACTCACTAGCCATGCTTGTTCCATTGCAGGGCAGCAGCAATTATTCATTGTTGATTTTGTAGAATAAGATGCCTTCTCCCATCCTCCTCCTTCTGAACAGCTTTACTCTGCACAGAAAGGGCGCCTACTCATCCTCCTAAATTTTGCAACTTTTCATATCAAGTCAGATGATTAGGATTAAAGGGGATGCAGTGATTTCAGTAGGCAAGAACGTAATTTACTGACAACACAAATAGCAGGTGCCTTTGAACTCTGCTCAGGAAATTTTAGACTGAGATGTCAGCAATCTTCTGACTCCTACGTTAATCTATGTCCCCAGAAGCATGTATTTCTTAATATATTTGCAATGGATATGAGTGAGCACCTAATCTAATTCCCTTCTTTTACAAGCTGAGCAGCATTCTCTATAGTACAGTGAGAGAAAATAAGATTTTTAGAGTTGCTTAACAAGTCTAGCAGTGCTGGGACGAAACCAATTGTTTTGACTCGTAGAAGCCATCGGATCTTCTCTTCCAAGCTGCTCAGTCAATTTTATGGGGCTTTGACAGACACCCAGCACCCATCTTTTTACCCTTCCAGGCTGTGCCTCCACTGTGATTCAGATGGGTTAATGATTTTTTTTCAGAGGGTACCTGTTTAGGTTAACTCTTCCTTTTTCTTTCTTCCCGTGTCATTTCCCAAAGACACTTCTGTGAAATTCTGCTATGAGCATGTTCCAGGTCTGTTAAAATATGATAGCAATTTATCAAAGAACAGGTTTTCTTCAACCTTTGATCCCAAGACAAAGAACTTGGGATGGAAAGCCTGGGTCAGGGATCCCTCCAGATCCCGAAGAATGCACCGCAGAGCTGGCTGCCATTATCCACACTTGGCTGCAGAGGGCTGGGTCAGACTGTCCTCTGCAGTTGAATTCTGAGAAAGACCATTAGCAGGAAGAGGATTAGGGAGGGAAGTGGCAGAAGTGGGTGAGGGTGAATGACATGCGCTGCCTGCCTCTTCTCCTGCCACCCCTGCTTTGGGTAAGTTTGGCTGTCACACACTGTCAGCCCCTCAGATACCCACAGGGACTGGGGATGGGTGCTGTCAACCAAAAATAAAATTCTAAGCCCCCTCCCCAACCATCTAAATGGACTCCCTCCTCAGCCAGGGCTCTTAAAATTTAATCTGAAAGACTGCTTCAGGCCATGAAAGGAAGTGGGGGTTGGACATGCCTCATTACACTTTCCATCATGAACATCAACACAGACTTTAAGTGTGATAAGAAACATTTTACAGCCTGTTCTCTCTGAAGCCTGCTAGCTAAAAGCATCAACTGCATGATACAACTTTGGCCTCCACAATACAACCTCTTGTCGCAACCCAAACATTCCTGTCTATTGATCCCAGGTCTTTAGACAAACTCAATCAATTGTCAACCAGAAAATGTTTAAATTTACCTATAGCCTGGAAGGCCACCTGCCACACACTCCCACTGCACCCCCACAGGCCCCCCGCCACCCCCACTTTGAATAGTCCCACCTTTCTGGACCAAACCAATGTAAATCAGCCAGGTGTAGTGGCTCACACCTGTAATCTCAGCATTTTGGGAGGCTGAGGTCTGCAGATCACTTGAGGTCAGGAGTTCGAGACTGGCCTGGCCAACACGGTGAAACCTCGTCTCTACTAAAAATACAAAAATTAGCTGGGTGTGGTGGTGCATGTCTGTAATTCCAGCTGCTCAGGAGGCGGAGGCAGGAGAATCGCTTGAACCCAAGAGGTGGAGGTTGCAGTGAGCTGAGATCGTGCCATTGCACTCTACCCTAGGCGACAGAGCAAGACTCTGTCTCAAAAAAAACCAAAAAAACAAACAAACAAAAAAAAAACAAAGCAAATCTTACACGTCTTGATTGATGTATTATGTCTCCCTAAAATGTATAAAACCAAGCAAGCTGCATCACAACCACCTTGGGCACATGTCCTCAGGACCTCCTGAGGTTGTGTCACAGGTGTGTCCTCAACCTTGACAAAATAAACTTTCTACATTAACTAAGACCTGAGACCTGCCTAAGATTTTCTGGGTCTGTAGAGCAGAGGAGGAAAATTGCTTATGCAAGAAAGAAACTAGTGTAGTGTAGTCTACCCTGGAATGTATTTATTGCTTAGGAAATGTTTATTACTCAGCCTTAGTGTATGGACTGCATTCTCCCTTTTGCATTCTGTTTACTGAGACTGTAAGACATACCAACTAGGTTTTTCTTCCAGCTTTGACACATAAGTTGCTGTGTGACGTCAGATTAGTCACTTTCCTTCTCTGAGCCTTCATTCCCATCTCTAAATAGATGGCCTGTGAGGGCTTGTTTGAAACTGACAGTCTAACATTTTAAAGGTTGTGTTCTCTTCCTAGTCTATTCTTCTTCTCCCCTAACGCTAAGCTTCGTTTTCCCTGAGCAAGCATGCTGTCCTCTTTTTCCTCCTCTAACTCCAGGTTGTAAAGTGACCTGCCACAGATATGTCAGAAGGCACATATCTGCTACTCAACCTCCACCTACTCCCTCAGCATGATACACACTGCAGCCCACCTCACTCCTTTCTTCATTGCCTTGTACTGTGACCACAAGGGCTTGCTTTTGAATGAAGCCTACAGCAAAACAGTCTTTCCTCATCACCCACTGTGGGGCCATTCCAAATATTAACCCCTTCAATATCCTATCCAGCACATGAATTGGTCAAACTGCCTTTTAGTCCTCACCTACATCCTGGACAAAGAACCTTGATACCTAAGCATCAGAAACAGGAGGCTTCTCTTTACCAGAACAAATGAAAGACATAAAACCCTGGTGCGAGGATTAGCAGCCCGTTTCTGCTTTGTAGAAAAGGAACAGATGCAACAGGGGAGAAGGACTTAAGGCTAAGATGAAATTAGGACTCTTGGGCCCCGACCTCTGCAAAGAGGTCCATTTGCAGCCCTGACTCTCCTCTCCCCAGGGTTCTTCTGACACCCTCTCCCAAGCCTGGCTCCTGCTGAGTTTGCTAGAGAACCTCTAGCAAAGCTCTCTCCAGCGAGACTCTCTCGGTCCACCTTACGCTGTCCTCCCTACCATCAGCCTTGCTTCTGGGTTTTCCTGATATCTCTGTAAGATCCTATCAGTGTGGCATGTGAGATAATGAGTTTTACAAAGCTGCTTTCAGCCTCAGAGAGCGCACCCTGAGACTGAGAAGCTAAATCCATGTCTCCTGAAAACTGCTCTGGGCCAACGGCCGAACAATCAGGATTCTGCTCCTTTCTAGTTTCCTCCTCTCTACTTGCAACCACTCTAGTTTATTCTGGTCTAGTCTATCCAATCATTTACTCACCACGTCCTTATTGAGAACAGGCTATGTTCCTGGTAGCAGTTACACAATGGTAAGCAACATAAACATGGGCCTCATTGTCAGGGAGCTCATAGTTCGAATGAGAATAGCAAATAACAAAATATACATACATATATACATATCTATATCTATGTCTATGTTTGTATGTATCTCTCTCTATATATGTATATATATATATACCTATATAGATACATAGATATATAACTACAACTTGCGATAGGTGATATAAAAGAATAACAAATGCATAGGGAGAAAAATACTTTTGGGGCATTTGAATACACGAAGAGGACAGAGAAAGATTTGCCCAATATTGGGAACTTAAGGTTGAGACATAAAAGTTCAAAGAATTCACTTATGGGAAGGAAGAAAAACCTTCCAGGCAGAGGGGACAGTGCACGTGAAGGTACCAGGATAGCAAAGAGTAAGCTCACACGGAACAGAAGGGAAGCCGGCGAGAGTTTCATGGACAGAGTGAGGGCCACAGTGGAAAAGCATGAGTCTGAAAAAGTGGCCCAAGATCAGATCACGATTGCTTTGGAGACCAAGTAAGGGGCTTGGAGAGATTTAATAAAGAAAACAATAGTAAACTTGTAGGGATTTTGAAAATAAGTGTGACATGGAATGATGTACATTTTCAAATAAAATCCATGCTGGTTGGGAATCAGAAGGTCAAGTCAATCATCTAGGAAAGTGGAGGAGGATGGGGGTCCAGGAAAAACTCTACCACCATGCACTAGCATTCTCTATCCCCCTCCGAAAACACCTTCTACCAAAGCCTTGCCTTTTGGTGCCAGTAAGCAATTAATGACAGTGCCATATCCTGTTATCTAGTGAGAAGCGAATTTGAATTGGACAGAATATGTGGTTATGGGACTGCCCGTTGCCGGAAGAAATGTCGCAGCCAAGAATACAGAATTGGAAGATGTCCCAACACCTATGCATGCTGTTTGAGAAAATGGGATGAGAGCTTACTGAATCGTACAAAACCCTGAAACGCAGTAGTGCTGGTCCCTAGAGTCGCTGGAAGTAGGACCTCAGTAGCTTTCCTTCCTGCGGCCTAGCAGCAAGGGCATCCCCATTGCAACCACGGGTTCAGTTATCAAAGAAGGTTTGCTGAGCTTCCACTCAATGCAAAGCCAATATAGGAGATTGAAGAAGAATACAGGCTGGAAAGCCGCCTCTGGTTGTGATAATGGAGAATAACAATGGGAGTTAAGCATGAGTTTCAACACTTTATAAGTTGAACAAAAAATATGTCTACCTAATCAGCTATAAACCTAAGAAAAACATCATTTTTATCCTGATAATATTGGTTTTCTTTTCCGATCGAAAGTTTTGCTCAGGAGTTATATATATCGTGTGTTAATTAAAATGTAAAGTAAATCAATGTTAAGTGTGCCTTGTTTAGAATACACTATATTTCAAAACATAGACCTCTGAGGAGAAAAACAAAAGAGGTGATGTGTGATGACAAGCTTGGGAACCCATTGGAGCTTAAGGGGTTGATCAAGTGGGCGTCTGTGGAGGGTCCCATCCAGCAGAGGGCAGCAGAGAGCAGCCCTGCGCTGAGCTGTGGATTCTTGATCCTGAAAACCTGTAAAGAAAGGTGAGTGATGAAACATTTGACCTGCCTGCCTTTCCTGTCCAAACCAAATTTTAAGGTAGTCAAAAGCTTCTCTCTTCGAAAGCAGTCCAGCTAATAAATGAGGAGTGTCGCCATTTTGCAAACACATAGGGAAACAGGGATCTAGCCAAGGAATGTCAACAGCGATTAAAATAAGCCAGAAAGACAACCTGCTACCCTGTGCTTCCTAATAGAAGGACATAATGCCACGTACGAGCTTCTAGTCATGGTAAGCAGCATCATCCTCACCTTGTCATGGTGGAAACTGAGGCTGCATTGTGCCCTTTCTACCAAAACAGTGTAATGGCCCTTCGCGTAGGCATCGCCCAGCCTCAATATGTGGTTAGTCTTGTTTCATCCCTTGATAACTCTCTCCTAGATTATCTCAAATAAAAATAAATTATTTCAAAGGTGCCCATTTGAAAATACTCTAGAAGGTGTAACTCAGGGGGAAAGAACTCGTTTTGTAAAATAGAACCCCAATACTATTATCACCCCTGGAAAAAATCAGCATTCATTCCTAAATACAATTTAACAGCCAATCTGTATTCAAATGACCCTGAGCATTTCATAAGTGCCTTTTTAAGAGTTGATTTATTAGAATCTGGATCCTGGAAAGTCCACATACTGCCTCAGGTTGTTTACCTCCAAGGCCTCTTGCACAGATGGTGATGTGTACTTCTATTCCATCTATAAAATATTGTGCTGAAAATTGAGTGCATATCTGGGCAAGCCCCTAGGTCTCAACACTGCAATTACAGGAAAAGAAGAAACTACTGAACCACCCCCAAGGATGCCACACTCCAAATGCAACATACAGAACACGCTATAAGACAATGTGACATTTATTTTAGTCTTACATTTTTTTAGACTCTTTTCATTATTCTCATATTTCGTATTTTATAAAATACTTTTAATACATAATCTCCTTTGATCCTCACCATAAACTCTTGAATTAGGCATGGTAAGTGTCAACATCCTCACCTTTTAGGCACTGTTACTAAGGTTCAGACGGATTAGTGGTTTTCCTAACACTGGCCACGATATTAGGCAAGACCAGGCCTAGACCCCACATCTCAAGTGCAGTTCAGAGGCAGCACAGCATGGCATGTACAAATACGCAAAGCCTGGAATCCCAGCTCTACTGCTTAGCAGCGGACCTTGGGAAGGTGACTTATTTGACTTGTACCTTGATTTCCCCTCCTGCCGTATGGCCATTCTGCCCAACAACACTTACAAACAGAGATCCAACTGCTGACCCTGTGCTACAATTATTTTTTGTCTCCTTTTAAAATGTAATTTGATGCCTTGCCAAGGAGGCCATCTTGTACCTCCCAATGTAAATATAGAGCAAAGCAAGGGACTTCTACAGACTTTAATCAACGCCACCCGCCGTAGTGGCCAGAGAGACAAGAACAAGCAGAAAGCAAAGCTATCTCATTGTCAGATAACGTAGAAAGCCTTGTATCGTGGTCTTCACTGAAGAGCCCTGGGTTTGGCTTGCCGTCCTGGTGTCCTATTGTTTTGCTCTCTAAAGAGGCTGGATTCTGAAACAGCGCCCCCTCCCGCCCTCAGGTGTAATTCACATAGTCATATTAATGAACTGCTATCCTCAGCACTTAACGACATCACAAAGTCGCACTACTTTAATTTCAGGGCTTTACAGTAAAAGAACAAAGATAGATTGTTCTATTTTATT
Organism: Homo sapiens; assembly: GCF_000001405.40. NCBI lineage: Eukaryota > Metazoa > Chordata > Mammalia > Primates > Hominidae > Homo > Homo sapiens. Next base: position 5,440,820 of record NW_018654717.1, read on the forward strand.
GTTTCCAGAATTGGCAGGAAATATTTAATAATTTGTACCTGATGCACTACAAACACAATCAGAAACCCAATAACATTGCTACTTATCTTCTATCTCCAAAGGATGGATACAGATCTGAAGTCTGTAGTTCATAATGAATGATCAGTAACCCTTTGAAATGTGCCTAATGAAAATCAACAGAAGGAAGGATTGTTTGGATATTTTTCACTTTTTAATTTATGCGTTTTTTATTATTTGAAGTTGAGAGAGAGAGACAGAGATTGACAGAGAAAATCTCTGGGTGAGCAAATCACCACCCAGGTCCTTACTTAAATATCCAAAAGAGCAGAACTTGAAATTTTCAACGTGCAGGAGTTAAGGTTTTCCACACTGGCATATTCTCTTTCTTGCCTCCCAAGAGACATCCCATTAAATCCTGGAAAATATGACTGTGTAAAGGGGAAACATATTGCAGCCAAGTCTGTGCTCAGAAGTTGCTATAGAATCAACTTTCTCTTGCATTACCACATGACCCAAAGAAAATTAGCCTGGAAGAGTCTCACAGGTGAGTGAAGCAGAGATTCCTATGTAGATTTTCTTATCCCTGAATTTTAGATTGTGATATGTCCACAAGGACTGCTGGGACCTCAGTTTCATAGGCACAGAGGGCCCTGTGGGTAAAAATAGGTGGGGTCCTGAGTCTTCCCAACATGACAAAGTCAAAGACAGACACATGGTGAGTGGTAGAGCTGCCTTTGTGGCTGAATCCGAGAGAAAAAAATGGTCAACCTCTGAGGACTGGGAAGGGGCTGAAATGCTTTCCAGTTATGAGAAATTACACCCAAAATAATAAAAGCATCATGGCACCGTGGAGAAAAGATACTATTCCCGTGAAAAACTACATTTCTTCTTATGTCTGTGACCACCATGAACTCCTGCTCTTCCCCAAACAAATCTGTTGCCTTTCCCTTTAACTTTGAGCACCCCTTTGTTTATTTACATGGACTCCATTCTGTTAATAGTGTCTGCAGTGCATAGCCTCCTCCAGATCTTTAGTCTTTAATTAACACATATAGACACATCGCTTTTTCACTCATCCTCCATTTCCTCTTCTTAAAATATTGGTTAGGTCTCTAAGACAGTTTTCAGTTCCAAAATGTTATGATTGTTTCGTCAGAATTGCCAACCTCGGCCAGGCAGGGTGGCTCACGCCTGTAATCCCAGCACTTTGGGAGGCAGAGGCGGGAGGATCACTTGAGGTCAGGAGTTCAAGACCAGCCTGGCCAACATGGTGAAAACCCGATCTCTACTAAAAATACAAAAATTAGCTGGGCGCGGTGGCAGGCACCTGTAATCCCAGCTACTCAGGAGGCTGAGGCAGGAGAGTCGCTTGAACCCGGGAGGCGGAGGTTGCAGTGAGCTGAGATGGCGCCGCTGCACTCCAGCTTGGGCAACAATGCCAGACTCCGTCTCAAGAAAAAGAATAGGCAATCTCAACAGATTTATTTAAACTTATAACAATACCATGTTTTTATTACCAAAACTAAATGGTGTTTATGCCTTAGCGCTCATGAAAGGATTTCCTGTGTTCTTTCATATGCTGCCTTAAGAGCATTCTTGGGATGGCTGAAATGGCTACAGATCAAATCGACTTCTGAAAACACAATTCATTTTGTGATTCTGTGCATGAAAAAGAAACAAAATACCAAAGAATATTTTTGCACAATTCTCAAAGCTACTTCTTTAACCACGATCCAAAAGCAGTTTTCTCTCCTATCATGTAATTCTTCCTGACTGCTTTTTCCAAAGAAGACTCTAATATTTGTGTCTTTTCCATATATCAGTTATTTTCCCTAGAGGGGAATCTGTGCCTCTGTAAATGGCATTCTAGTTGGTCTTACAGACTGGTTAGCATGTTACAATCTCAGACTTAAGAATAAGAAAATCTGCATAGGAATCTTTGCTTCGCTCTTCTGTGAGTCTCCTCCAGAGAAACTTTCACTGGGTCATTTAGTAATGCAAAAGAAGAGTCTAAATTTGATTCTGCAGAGAACTTCTGATTCCAAACTGGGCTACAATAGGGTTTTCCTTCTCGCATTCATATTTTCCAGGATTTACCAGGATGCTACTTGGGAAGCAAGAAGGAGGATGTGCCGATGTGGAAAATCTTACCCCCTGCACATGTGTGCAATTTCCAATAAGATCCTTCAGGAATATGTATTTGCAGAACTTCTTATTTGACAATAAAATCTTGATCATTTTACTTTAGCCCACCTACTTAGTCCAAACGAATCAAGATACCACATACTAAGCAGCTTAAAAAAAAAAGAATATGATTTATTGATTGAATGGACCAAAAAAAACTTGAAACAATTATTAGAATATTCTATAATGGGTTCTGCCATCCTCCCCCTCAGGATGGATGTGGCTTTTAGCAAGAGAATTATTCAAAGATTTTTTTAGGACACAGAAATCTGGCAGAAGAGGACAGGAGCTGAGAGCATTGTTGTGTTAGGACAGATGTAACATTAATTGCCTTTATTACGACTTCACCAGCTTTTGCCTGTCAAAGAGCAGAACTAGGCTTTCCCGGCTGCTCTTTTTTAAGATTGTTCTTTTCAGAAGCATGGAAGAGGGGGCTTACTTTATCTCAAGACGTAGACAAAGGAAGTGAGATCTAACTATTTTTGGCTCAGTTTCTTCATTTAAATTATTTCAAATAATTCTAACGACTTAAAAGAAGATTCCGTTACCTGGGTGGTAATTACTCAAATGCTGTTATATTTTAAGTCATGATTTTGATTAATGATTCATTACTATGAATATCTGAATGGTGGAATAGGCTTGTTTTTGTTTTCTTTCCTTTTATAGAGAAGATAAAAATATATAGAAATAAGTTACCAATATACTCCAAAATTTCCATCACTGTTATAAAAGATCCACATTCCAAGTTTAAATAATTACAAATACAACTGTAAGAAGTTGCTATTGAACTAGAGTATAAAAAATACCCAGAGTATGTAGATGAGCGAATAAATCTTCATTTAGGGTTGAGGTAGAGCAGCTGTCTACCTCCTTTCTTGACTGTCTATGTTCTTCCAACATCCAATTATCAGAATTTGATGCAGTAAGTGATTAAAGAAACTTATCATGGGCCAGTTGTCACCTATCTCCGCAGTGTTGCCCTGTGCTCTTGGAATTGGAAGACTTCCTAATTCCTTAAAGTGAAAGGATGTGAATGATGCTCCTGCTCTCCCTGACCAGCACCTCATGCTTTGCAGTGGAGAATCTGTCCTGAGACCCAAAAGATAGTGGCCTCCGCATTGTGCTGCCAGGGCAGCTGCTATGTGCAACTGTCCGCAGCTGCAAACCTTCCGCCCTTTGCTGGTGCTTCAGCGGATGCCCAGGTCTCTATTGTCATTGCTGCCTCTTTCTCCATTTGCTTCCAGCTTTCTCCAGGTAGAGAGTAAGTATTTTTATTTACACAAATGACCTAAGTTGTTTTCTCTGTCTGGATTAAAATATACATGCAAATGAGACATATGAGATAAGCACTATCTTTTCCAGACATCACTGATGTTACATTGGATGCTATGTGAATACAAAACTCTTCAACCAAAGCCTTCTTCACTTTAGTTAAGTCCAGAGCAGACTGTCTGGGTTACATGCATACCTGAGCTAATGCAGCCAAGTAAGAAACACACACTTGGTTAAAATGCTTAAAAAGATGAAGGAGAAGGGAAGACAAGTCCTCTGCTTGGATATTACTAGAGGAGAAAACCCAGACTCAAACACAGATTTTTTTTTTCTTTTTTAAAAGAATTGAATTGGACCCAGTGACATCAACAGGAGGTGTCTGGGGGTAAAGAGAATGGAAAGGGGAGAGAAAAATCAAGACAACTCAAATAAGTTAAAATAGAAAGGAGGGGGGTCCAAAGTGAGGAAGGAGAAGTGGAGGGGACCAAGAAACAGGGAGAGAGACTCAGAGAGGAGAAGAAAAAGAAAAGAACATTTTGAGCAGCCTTGGAACTCTCTGTATAACTTCAGGAAGGGATAGTTTGTAAAACCAGGTCCTACCTGTTATGTTGTGTGTCTTATGCATGATTTTTTAACACTAAAATAAAAACGCTCAGCCAACAGGATAGAATCGACATGGCAGTTTATTTATGTCCCTGTTCTCATGAACATTAGGGGGCTTTTGAGAAGCGTTTGAGGACATTGGCAACTTTATGATAGTTATGTTTGTTCTGCCCCTCCATGCCTTTCATCTTTCTGTTTCTCTCTGTTCTTCCTTATTCACCAAACCCACCCAAGGCATTCAGGCGTATTATTTACTTCCTGAAATATGTGTCTCAAGTGTTTGTTCCACCAGCAGTGGGATAGTAGCGTGTCCACATTGTCCTTTGAGAATGAGAAGTCATCCTGGAGCACAGCTCTTCCCACGCTCCGGGCCCACACACCCAGCCTCACTCCATCAAAGGAGCCCCGCTGCCTGCCCACCCACCCTGGGTGCTTTCTGGCTTGCAGTGCTCTTGGCAGACATGAGGCAACGATTGCTCCCGTCCGTCACCAGCCTTCTCCTTGTGGCCCTGCTGTTTCCAGGTAAAATGGAAAGGTGACCCGGGTCTGGGTGCCAGAATCTCTCTGCAATGGTCATCTGAGGTATGGGAGTCCAGGCTGGACAGGGAGAGATGAAGTCCTTGGGGCATGTATTCCTGGTGGAGCTTTGGGTACGAGTCTCTGAACTGGGTTCATAAATGGCACTCTGAATTGGCTGATGGCACTTGCTTCCCAGGGAAGAGTGTCCCTCCCCGACTCCATTTTCTTATCCTTTTAACATTCCCCTTTCCCTTACAGAGAAGAACATTACATTTTAGGGAATCTTAACAACTGCATTAGTGACACTTGAAATAAATTCTCTGGCTGTGCTGGCTTTGAGGAGGTGCTCAGACTCACCATTCATGGCATACATTTCTTACACTTCATTCACCTTCTCTCTCTACACATAGGTGCATACAACGCATGTGCACAAATGTGCACACACACGGAACACTAGCACCCCTCCCAACTCCCCCACCCAATCACCCATGCTCACTCACCTGGTAGAGTGTAGGTGCCTCATGCTGACGGGTCTGCCAGGCGGAGGCCTCAGAGCATCCTCAGACGTGTGTTTCCACTTGCACAGGATCGTCTCAAGCCAGACATGTGAACCACTCAGCCACTGAGGCTCTCGGAGAACTCAGGGAAAGAGCCCCTGGGCAAGGCACAAACGGGTTTCAGCTGCTACGCCACGCAGTGAAACGGGACCTCTTACCACCGCGCACCCCACCTTACCAAGGTGAGTCAGGGACCAACACGTGCAACAAGTGCATCCACTGGGGAGACGTAGAGGGAACAAATAGACGGGAAGATGTCTGTGCTGGTCGGGGTGGGTGAGCAGTCATTGTTTGGGGAAGACATGGTGCGGGTGCATTGGGCTGCCCTGCCTGTCAGGGAGACCACGGGGTCTCACAGCTTCCCCTGGGGCTGGATCATTGAGGGCCTTGTGGAACGTGGGAGTATTGAGGGGCCAAAAGCCAATTTATCTGAAGCCACACCTGTAATTGCTGGCTTCCTCCAAGAACAGGTGCCAGAGGAGACACTGGTGGAAACATGGCCTCCTGCCAGGTTGCAGCCCCATGCCCTTAGCTTTGGAGGTCGTTCCCGTTCAAGGAATTTACTGAATACCTACCTACTAAGTTTCAGGTGTCCATTGAGGTCTGGGAAATGCTTCCTGAGGATGGGGGCAGAGAATAGACTGTATTGTCAGTCTACTCAGGCAAGGAGGTAGCAGGACATGGCAAGGGACAATTGAGCCCACAGCCACTCTTCTGGACTCTTCCAGAAGGGCCAGGCTTCTGGTCAGCCCCCAAACCCCTGGGCAGGACCAGCTTCAAATCCAAAAGGGCCTGGAAGAGCCTGTAGTTTCCAAGATGCTTCTTTAATGCCAAGCTGATTGCTGACCCTAAGACAGGGAGAACTAGGTTAGCAGATCAGTGGGCAAGAGCAAGAAAGACAGGAGGGTGTTGGCAAATTGCTGTGACATCCAGCAAATAAAGTCCTGCTGAATTTGATGCCTGCAGCATCCTACCCAACCTCCCATCCCTTTCTAATTGGCCCACAGTTCCAAAGGACTCATTCATCTGGATCTCCTCCCAAGGGAAGGGAAAAAGAAAACTCAATTATTACACAACAAATATAAACAGGTGCAATAGTAGGCGTGTGTTATTTAGTCTAACAGTATTCCTGTGAGACAGGATTATTCCTTCCTTTGGTTAAAGGAGATTTAGTGGGGCAGAGCTATATATCTGGAGTTGATGTTTTAGTTTGGAACTTGAAGCTATTAACTATGGAAAGCTGTTTCATATCCATGCCACCCCCACCCTGTCCCTCACGGCTCAAATGACCACTGTTTGATTCTGGAGATGGTCTTAAGAAGCTAATGTTGGATTTTTTCTTTTTTTAATGAAGAACCTGCATCAGATTTAAAAGTTGTTGACTGCAGGAGAAGTGAAGGCTTCTGCCAAGAATACTGTAATTATATGGAAACACAAGTAGGCTACTGCTCTAAAAAGAAAGACGCCTGCTGTTTACATTAAAACTGATGTTGCTGATATAGAAACAAAGCTCTGCCACTTACCTGTTCTCCGGGGCCACGTTGTCCAATCAGGTGCAGGTTTTTTGCGGAAGTGTCTGAGCAGCAGGGAGCGGAGATATTGCCACTTGTGCCAGACAGTTCAAATATTTTATTGTGGCAAGATAAATGACAAAAATGCTACCTGTGATCTTACAGAAGATGACTTAGCTTGACATGAACAGAATTTTCAAAATCACACAATTTGTGCTAGTAAATGTGGATATCATAAACTTTTATTAGAAAGAATTAAAATAATTTGTTCTTTTATTTAAAAACTATTTTTTGAATACCTACTTCTATTCTAGGTACTGTGCAATGGAGTCCATTCTATTCTAAGTACTGTGAAATGTAGTTGAGGTGTCAGGTGTGTGGTCAAACCCATTCTCCATCAGCCCCATCATCTCCTACCTGCAGGCCAGTTCGAAGCCCTGTTCTCTAGCAGCAGCTGAGAGAGTGTGCAGGCAAATGCCTTCTGGGGAGATACTGAGAGCTGGGAGTTACTGCCTGTTCTCTTTGTGCTAAACCTGGAAGAATACCCTCTGGAAGTCCTCTTGTGCCCCTTTAAAACTACCCATTTGTTCTCTGTGGCCTTAGAAGACACAAAATGCAGAGACCCATTTATAACCCGATGGTGCTGTGCAATTCCAGGCTTTTGGTGTCCTGAACAAAGAACTGGATGTGATACTCAGACAGCAAAGCAAGCAGCAAAAGTGTGTGAAGCGCAGTATTACATTCCCGGAGAGGGGAGAGTGGGCTGACTTCTGCCAAATGAGATTAGCATGGCTTCGGTGTACCTTGGGTCTTTTTATGTGTTTTTTCCCCTTCTCTTCGCAAGGCTGCCTGATCTTTTGCCGGTGCCTGCCTTTTGATAGATAGGTGTGTTGCTTAGTTACTTTAGCCTGTGCGGGCTTGTGAATTGTCTCCATCCCATAATTTTAACTACATGCGTGATAGGTAGTCCATATGCATGAGCTTTAATGAGCTGATTATCATACAGCATCCTGTTAAGGATACTTTTTCTCTTTAATGCGCATGCCTATCTCTGAAGAGCTGCCCCTTCCTGGTTTGATCTGGATCTTGCTGGCCATGGGGTCCTTGCTCTCTTCTTTATCTCACTTTTTCTTTTGGCTGCTTCACTTCTGCCTTTTATCTTGCTTCTTGCTCACCCACCCCTTCACCTTGCTTCTGTTTCTGCTTTTATTCACTCTATCCTTTATCCAACTTCCAATTTCCTCTGCAATTCTCCTGCCTCACATTAACTTCTAGAGATAAGTGATTTAGGAGCCAGTCCCCCAGGTGGCAGCTATAAAACTGTGCTTGAAGTATTCTCCTTCAAGGGAGAAGCTGGAGACCTGGATTTCTTGCTGGAGCTAGTCGAGAGGAGCAGGCGCAGTGCCTACCTATACCTCTGTTCAGGCTCCCACAGGTCTACTGTTCACCCTGCCCCTTTGGCTCCCAGATACAGACCCAGAAGTCAACCCTCAGGCAGCAGATGGGAAAATGGGTAGATAAACCCCTTGCAGGTAGAAACCGGGAGGTGGGCATTTACCTGCCTGCTCTGGCCTGAGCCCAGGGAGAGAGCTGCCAAAAGTGCTTGCAAATCTGTGTCCCACCATCTCTTTGGTGTCTGTGGTTTAGGGAGACCTGCAGATGCCCAGCTCTATCAACCCTGAGCTGGGTGATTTAGGAGCCAAACCCCTGGGTGGGAAGCATAAAGGTCAGGGTACTATATGTGTGGTCCAAACCCTTCACTCCTCAGGGAGAAGCTAGGAGTTGGGACTTCCTTACCAATTAATTGTAAGGTGTTATGCCTGGGATAGGGATTGTGCGGGGAGTGTGTCTCAGCTCTTCCCACCTGTTTTCACATGAATATTTTCTCAGTTGCTTGATGTGTAGTAGTCGTTCAATTAGTCCATGGTTTTCTCTCAGAAAGAACCGATCTGTGTGTTGATATTTCTTTGGTATATCCGTGGAAGGAAGGAAAGGCTGGAGCCTCTTAGTCCACCATCTTGCAGATATCAGTCTGGCACACCCTTGATTACTGTGTAGTTGAGCGTTTTTTCTTTTGTTTATTGATCATTTTTTCTCTTCTGTAAAATTTAATAGTTTTACTGGGTTACTACTTTATTCTCTTTTTTCTTTTTTTTTTGAGACAGAGTTTCACCCTTGTTGCCCAGGCTGGAGTGCAATGGTGCGATTTTGGCTCACCACCACCTCCACCTCCCGGGTTCAAGCGATTCTCCCAGGTTCAAGCAATTCTCCTGCCTCAGCCTTCCTAAGTAGCTGGGATTACAGGTGTCCACCACCATGCCTGGCTAATTTTGTATTTTTAGTAGAGACGGGGTTTCTCCATGTTGATCAGGCTGGTCTCAAACTCCCGACCTCAGGTGATCTGTCCGCCTCGGCCTCCCGAAGTGCTAGAATTACAGGCGTGAGCCACCGCGCCCGGCCAGGTTACCGCTTTATTCTTATCCATGTACATGTGCTCCTTTTATATCTAACCTTACATATTCTTTCCTCCATCAATTATCTTCCCTTTCTCTGGAATGCCTCCTGCTTAAACCCCAGTTATCCTTGAAATATCCTCTCATTATCTTTCAACCATAATTTTCATGCTTTTCCCTTTTGTTCTCTACTTTGCAGATATTTATTTTTATATCTGTAGAGCCCTTCTATTTTTTTTTTTTTTTTTTACTATTTTTGGATTTTGAAGTTCAGTTATTAGATTTTTAATTATTTTTAAATAGTCTTATATTTGCAAATAGTCCCTTTCTTTCTCAACGTGTGACTTTCTCATGGGATCTAATTCTCATTTTGCTGACCACAGTTTCTCAAATCTCATTAGGAATAAATACATATTGATTGTTTTAAAACTGCATTTTTCCATTGAAATCGCACATATTCCAGTTCAGTTAAGTCTCTTCCAGTTTCTAAAAGTGCTGACTTCACTTCTGCTAGTTTTACACTGACCGCTAACATCTGCTTGCTCATGCAGACCAGCTGTGCAGGATTGCTTTGGTAGGGTAAGCAAGCGAGTGAGAGGTGGCAAAGAGTGAATGTGGGTAGAATCTGCTGTTTGTCTTAAACTTTTCTGTAGGGTATCTCTACTTAAAAGAAGTTTCATGGATGTCTTTAATAAATAAATAGGGAAGAAATAATGATATTTGCCTAATCTGTCCATAAAATCTTCATCAGTGATCATTATTTTAGGCTCAAGTTAATTAATAATAAACTGCACATCACAAAACTTTGAGCTCATTATTCTCTTTGCAGCTTTCTTTAATCCCCATAAATTAAAACTTCCTGCAAATATTGTTATGTATTAGATTGCTACAAAAGTAATTGTGGTTTTTGCCATTGAAAATAACGGTCAAAACCGCAATTACTTTTGCACCAACCTAAATATAAGCATCTGGGTAAGAATCAGGATCCTGGGGCTCAGCATAGGAAAGAAACTAGGTACACAGAGCCCTTTACAGAATGCCACCTTTCCAGGCTTTTTTTCTGAACAAAGATGTTCCTTAATCAACTTATATATGGGCACACTCACACGGGGCTGATACCCACGGATAATGAAGGTATATGAAACTAGTCCTCACATACAAAACCAGAAGCACTGGTAACTTAAATAACCTCTTTGTAAAGCAATCTTAATATGTATGTAAGATATAAAATACTCGTTCTCATTGTTTCAGTTATTCTGCTCAGAAATTATCCTGGGAAATAAAAAAATACTTTGAGAAACCAAAAAAAACTCTAAAAAGTTCAAAATGGAGCACTATATTAGCAAACTACAATAAATCTACTCAGAGATATTACATATTCCTTAGGTATAATAAATATAACACAGTGAAAAACCATCAAAATGCATAACATTTTCAAAATACTTACATGTCCTAAAAATTATGATACCAATGTTCACATATTTGATATAAAATTAACTGTGAAAAGTATGCTTAAAAACAATAAAGTTTCTAATGTTAAAATTATTGGTGATTTTTAGATATTTGCACCTTTAAAAATACCATCAAGTTATTGCATTACTCTTAAATGTTAAATATACGTTTGTAAGAACAAAATTAATGTGCCTAAAAATAAACATATATATGTATATACAAAGATATCACTTAATTATAAGCAAAGACATTCTGTTGTAGACTTAAGTTGCATCCAGAAACTCACAGAGTTAACATAAGAAAGCGCTTTCTGGGCAGTAAGATGATAAGACTCCTTGTTTGCATAGCGGTGAGTAAAAATAAATAAAAATTTTATAAAAAGATGATATGACATTTAAAGCATGTTACCCAGGGAGATTTTGGAGCCTACCTGGGATTCATAAAAAACAGGTAGAAACTGATTTTTTTTTCCTCTCATTCTTTGATATTATAATATTTGCAGTGCTGGGTTGTGGACAAGGGGAGGGAGAGCATTAGGACAAATACCTAATGTATGTGGGGCTTAGAATATAGATGACGGGTTGATGGGTGCAGAAAACCACCATGGCACATGCATATCTATGTAACAAACCTGCACGTTCTGCACATGTATCCCAGAACTTAAAGTAAAATAAAATAAAAATAAATAAAAATTACAGACGTTAAAAAAACAAATGTGCCATCCTGCTTGGAGACAACTGAATAAATATAATGGGTTCTCAAGGTCAGTCCTGAGCCACCAATTCCGTTAGTTATGCATTCTTTGTTCTCACAGCAGCTTTTTAGTACAGGCCCCTGAGCCCTGATGAGGTTTTATGGCCACCAGTTTTACGCAGTGGGAAGAGGTCCTTAGACAGAAGCTTGCTGGAGGCTGTCTCAGAACGCACTGCAGCACACCTGACTGCCTTGTATTCCACTCTGCACGCCCACCTTCCGCGCAGCATCCTTCCCTCCACTGCACCCCAGCAGCTTTTCCCGGGATTTGATCCTTCTGACTCATCCATTGCTCAGAGAGTCCCCATCATCAGGAAGCCTGTCTTCTCTTCAATGCCTGAGGTTTGCGGGGCAAGGAACAGGTGGGCAGGCTCAGTCAATTCCACCCCATTGCACCTCGTGTGACATAAATAATGGGCGCTTCTAATCTTTTCTTCCTGTCCCTACATGTGGTCGTCACCGCAACTCTGCAGGCTTGACCTGCTCTCACCTGGCTTATTTTTACCTCTTTGGGTCATGGGAAATGACCTTCTGCACCCAGGGAATCTCCCTTAGTTGATAAGACCAAAATGGAAATAAATAATAAGACCAAAATGGAAAGTTAGTATGCCTTCATAAAGAGAGATTAAATTCATGAACACAAACCCTGCCTCTTTCTTGAAAACCCAAAATACATAAATAAATAAAACCTCCGGAGCAAGAGGAGTAACATTAGCATTGTCCATGAGGATAAAAAAGTGGGGAGAAACCCCAGCTGACTTTTTCATCATCCCAAAAGGAGACACCAGTAAGCAGCCACTGGATTTGCCAGCTGTGCACATTTCATATATATGGAATCATACAATATGTGGTATTTTGTGCCTAGCTTATTTTACTTAATGTGAGATTTTCAAAGTTCCTCCATGTTGGAGAATGTGGCATTACTTCTTTTCCTTTTGTGACTAAATAATATTGCATTGTATGGATGCGCCACACTTTGCTTATACATTCATCAACTGATGCACATTTGCATTGCTTCCACCGTTGACACTTGTGACTAATTCTGCTATGAACACTACACTCATGTACAGGTTGCTGTTTGAACACCTATTTTCACCGCTTGTATGTATACACCTAGGAGTTGAATTGCTGGGCCATATTGGTAACTCATATTGTTTAACTTTCTGAGGAACTGCCAGACTTTTCCACAGCAGCTGCACCACTGTACATTCCCAGCAGCAACATATGAAGGTTACAATGTCTCCACATTCTCACCAACACTTGCTGTTTTCAAAAATTTTGTTTTGTTTTGTTTCATTTTGAGACAGAGTCTCGCTCTGGCGCCCAGGCTGGAGTGCAGTGGCCCGATCTCAGCTCACTGCAACTTCCGCCTCCCGGGTTCAAGCGATTCTCCTGCCTCAGCCTCCTGAGTAGCTGGGATTACAGGCACCCACCAGCATGCCTAGCTAATTGCCCGGCTAATTTTTGTATTTTTAGTAGAGATGGGGTTTCACCATATTGGCCAGGCTGGTCTCGAACTCCTGACCTTGTGATCCACCCGCCTTGGCCTCCCAAAGTGCTGGGATTACAGGTGTGAGCCACTGCTTCTGAAGTTTTATTTTTTTTATGACTGTCCTAGTAGATGTGAAGTGATATTTCATTGTGGTTTTGATTTGCATGTTTCTAATGACTAATGATATTGAGCATCTTTCGTGTGCTTGCTGGTCATTTGAATTTCTTCTTTGGAAAAATCTATTTAAGTCCTTTGTCCATTTTTAAGTGTGTTGTTTGTCTTTTTGTTGTTGAATTGTATCAATATTTTTTAAAATATAGAAACATTTTTTCTACTATCAAATGTTTGCAAACCCAAAGTTATCTTTCCTCTCTTCTCCTTACACTCTTCTTTTCCATTCATGAGTATGATGCACATCAGAATAATTAGCTTGTGTGTTGGCACAAATTGAACTCTATTTCCTTTCAACTCTGCAATTATATGAACCTATGAACCTATAACCAGATATTAACAAAATTAGCCAATAAGCGTGATTTTCTAGTTTGATTTCTTTGAAATGATATGCCTTATTCTTCAGAATTATCCACAAAATAGTTCCGTGGGGATTGCTTTCTGGGTCTGTGATTTGGGAATGGATTCAAGTCTGGAGGAGAAGGTACATGATAAAATTTAATACTATTAATTTATTTCTCCCCCAAATGAATTTATTTTCCAACATAGTTTATTGTTTCCAAACTATACAGAAATTTTCTAAACTATAATTTCACAATGATTTGATTAGTAACTGTACTGCTAGAAAAAATATGCCATCCACATTTACCTTGGATCCTTTCCAAATAACGTGTAGTATAAATAGAAAGAATGAATGTAAAGTATAAAATATGCATTTTATTGTTTTATCTATAAGTCATCTTAGTGACTTTTAAAAAATGACTCAAATTTTTGAATATCCACACTCAGTGTTTTTATCAAACAATGGTTCATGTATCGTACAGCCACTTTGTCCATGCACAGGATACATTCAGAATTGTCATTATTCCTTGGGACCCTTGAACTTAGGGTATCATCTTTGTGTGGAAGCCAATTTCCCTAAGGGGCAAATGAAATTGCTTTTCTTTCTTTCTTTTTTTTTTTTTTTTTTTTGAGAGATTTCAGAGATGTCTTCAGAACAAATGCTCCACAGAGAAAGAATTTCACATTTTAATCGATTTCTTAAAGTACTGAGTTGGACCCTCACAAATATTCATAACTATTTTACAATTACTTAGTACATAGCTAACATTTAAGGTAACTTTTTTTTTTCTCTCTTTTTTTTTGGTGGAGGGTCAAAAGCAGCTTGGAGTGCCCAATTTTCCCTAAAGTCTTAACTTCAAAGGTGATTTTGCAAGGTACAGAAAGGTCTGTGAGTCAGAGAGTCCCTGCCAGGGCACATTGTCCTGCTTAATCTCTCCAGAGGTGGAAAGTTCCAAATGAACACCCAGACCCTGCCTCTTTGAGATGCTCACACTGTTCACCCATGCAGAAAGTCCAAGACCACTGCTTGATGTCTCTTTTTCAAAATCCATGTCTAGGTAAGACTCATGGTGAGATATGGTTGTTGTAGACTGGTTAAATAACGCAGAAGACAGCTTGCAGAAAATATGATGTGTCTAATCTGAAGAATAACAAGGCTCTGCAAGCTATAACAAGTAATATAGGCAAGTCCAGAATGATATCTAGAGTCTGCTATTGCTTACATAAAAATGGGGTATGGATTCATCTCTGCTTCCATACACATGGGACACCTCTGGAAGGATTAATAAGAAGCTAACAGCAATTGTTATGAAGCCCAGGGGGATAGGAGAGAAGACATCCTTCTCACTTGCCCCTTTTGCTTAAGAGAATTTTAAGGGAAATAAATCTAAGTGATCCTGGGACTAAAATCAAATAGGGGCAAAATGTGCAGCTTTATCCACTGTGTGTTTTAATACCACACATTATATAAACCCACACACAAAAATATCGTGTCCTTGCAGATTCTGTTTTCACAACTCCCAGCACCCCAGAGCCCACAAACCTCCCTCCAGCCCAGGATGACACAGCCCTGTGGTTGCCGGGGGCTCTCTGCATCCCTCACTAGACTGTCACCTCCGACAGCGGATAACTTCATCAAATGAGAGAAGAGCATGTCCTCTTCCTCCAAAGTAGACAATATCCTGGCTCTTCATAAATAGGTGAATTTTGCCAAATTTTTGGAATAATGTGGTACGTTGTCTCTGTTTTTTTTTTTCTTTCAGCATAGCGTTTGTGAGGTTCATCCACGTTGTTGTACACATCTTCTTGTTTTTCTATTCTTGTTGTGGTGTGGAAATACATTGTGTTTTGTTGTTGTCATAATACACTATTTGGTTGCATTCTCTTGGCTGCAAGGAAATGTGCTACAATGAACGTTCGTGCACATGTCTCCTAATGCACGTGGGCCTATGTTTCTGTTGGTAGATGGGAGTCATGTTGCTGGGAAATAAGCTAATTATCTGCTCAACTGTGGTGGACACCGCAGCTTTCTGAAGGCAGAAAATATATCTTTACACAACCATGTCTCTAGCACCTAGCACAGGGCTTGGCACTAAGTAGCCACACCTCAATGTTGGTTCACTTTCCTCTTCAATATCCGTATATGGAATTATTGGTTGATCCCTGCTTCTCTGAATATCAGGAAGCCAGTCTATTTTTAGGCAGAAAGGGAAGAGTAGTCAGTAACCTTCTGCCCACAGCCTTACTCAGTAGAGCAGATAAATATGCTCATGCTGATCAGTATTCCCAAAAACCTATAAATGTCCCATTTTGTGCCTTCTCCGCTCCATTTCATTCCATCATTCATCATATTTGTGCTCCTTCACGGGAGGGCAGGGAGGTTCAACGGACCTTAAAACATGAAGGTCTTTTTTCTGTTTGCTGTTCTCTTTTGTTTGGTCCAAACAAACTCAGGTAAATGTCTCCTGGTTAGCCCTGGGGAAGGTAGTGCAGGAATTCCATTTATGTGTGTGTCTGTATGGACAGTGTGTAGATGTGTCTGTATGTTGTTAGTGGATGCAGGTGGGCCACTGTGGGGCTCAGTCTTGGACAATTTTGATCTCCCCTGTGAAGTTTTTTAAAAGCTAAATAAGTGTTATAAAGGTCTTGACACAAGACAAAGGGGTATGCTTGCTCTGATACAAGTGGCAAGCACTCACTGCAGTCTGAGAAAAGTTTTCAGAAGGAAGTTATAGTCATATGAATGTCAGAGCTGGAAGGGAATCAGAGATTGTCTATAGCAGCCCCATGCTCTACAAAAAGAAAACCAAAGTCCAGAGAAAGTGTTAATTTACCATGGTGCAATGAATCTTTATGGTCATAGTAGGTCTTCAAACTTATAATATTCCCCCTGCTTGCACATAGAACACATTTTACAGATGGGCAAGCTGAAGTGTAACCAGTTAAATGAGTTGTCTAAGGAGACATAATGAGATATTGGAAGAAGTAAGACCAGAATCCAGTCTCCACGCTTCCAGGCTGGGGGCTCTTCTGTCTTGACTAAAGGTGGACCCCCACCTTCTTCACTTTGCTGTCTCCTCCAAGCTGTGACAGGGCTGAGATGATACAGAATCAGGGATTAGACCCCGTTTGGAGGTTGGATGTTGTGCAAGAGTGTTTTCCTAATCACGCAAGACCAACACTGTGCTGTTGTTGTTGTTGCTGCTGTTGTTGCTGCTGTTTAAAGTCATCGTACGTGGCATTTGCAGATCTGACATAAGTAAGATCTTTCTTTCAACCATCTCTTGCCCAATGTCCTGTTGTTATAAAAATTTAGGTGGTCATTTGTGACTTACAAGCCCACAGGTCCTGGTGAGGAGAGAGGTTTTATTTTCTCCTTTTCGTTGTAGGACATAAAACTAAAAATTGGGCCATAAGTTGAGAATGGGTTAATACCTCTAATTTCCTTAGAGACCAAGACCTGTCCTATTCTGGACCACTTCTGTTTTCCAAAACTCCCTTTGTTTGCTTCTAGTGCACATCTCTCACCGGGAGGCTCGAGGACCCTCATTTAGGATCTGTGTGGACTTTTTAGGGCCTAGATGGGCCAGGTGAGCATTCATAAAACACACCCTATCATCCTCCTGGCAACATTTCAGATATAAATTATCGTTCCTGTTTTAAAGCTAAGAGGCCAAAGTTCGGTTAAACTGGGGCTTGTCCAAAAGTACTTAGCCTTGTCAGAATATATAACCCTTGGCAGCGGGCTGGGGTCATCTTCTATTCTCTGCACTATATGAGTTAAATGTCAACTCTCTTCTGTTGTATCCATAGGGGATGTTCCACCGGGAATTAGAAATACCATCTGCCGTATGCAGCAAGGGATCTGCAGACTTTTTTTCTGCCATTCTGGTGAGAAAAAGCGTGACATTTGCTCTGATCCCTGGAATAGGTGTTGCGTATCAAATACAGATGAAGAAGGAAAAGAGAAACCAGAGATGGATGGCAGATCTGGGATCTAAAATATAAGCTCCCGGAAGGCAGGGATGTTGAAGTATCCCAAGGGCTTAAAGGAATGTGTGGCTTATAGTAGGTGTTCAATAAATATTTGTTGAATGAATTTAGCACCAAAGGTGAAGAGCTGATAAAAGACATTTTTTTAACTTCCTTACTTCTCCATGTACTGCCTTTTCAAAGGGGTCTCAGAATTTTGTGATATTCCACTTTCCTTTCCTAGTCAAGGGAATATCTCTTAAGTATCTGGAGATGGGAACTGACTAGAAACCGAGCTCCAAACTGATTTTCAGAGAGACATAAATGCAACCAATCTGCTGCTCTGTTTTCCTTCTGATGACATCTTTCTTACCACACCCAGCACTAGCCTTCTCCTGCTTATTCACCCAGATGGTAATGCACCTTATCCCTTTTCCCTTTATGCCTCCTCAAGCAATAACACCAACAGGTCACATTTCAGTAGGATAGTGTTGTTTTCAAGCATTTACTCTTAGGCTATTTCAATTTATTAATACAACAAGCTGATAGTGTGTATAATAGGGGGTAAGCAGGTCCATTTTAGGAATGAAAGAAAAATGAAAATCATCAGGTGAAGCACATTTCCCCCAGGCTAGCAATTCATAAATGGCATTCTCAGTATGCCTATCAGCCAGCATTCATTCTTCTATGATCCTTCTAAAAAACATATTTCTGTGCAATTGGAGCAAGGCAGGGCCCCTGTTCATGGAGATTCCTGAATGCTTAGCTGCCTTTTGCCTTTCTCTGGATCCTGCTTGAATTTGTTGAATACTAATTCCAATAGTAGTGAACACCAATTACAAGTAAGGAATTTAAAAAATAATAAAAACAAACGTGCTGAGAGATAGAGACCACATGCCAAGCTTTTTCCTGACTGACAGGTGGCTTGGGAAGATGCTCTGTGTTCCTGTTTCTGTCGCTGCCTGAGTCCAGTGTGCTTCTGAATGAGCTGAGGTGCTGTAAAGAGCCCACTAGAATGTACACTTTGGGGCTACAGTCTCAATTCCCAGCTCAAGTTGCAATGAATATTTGTCATCTTGCCTTTGGCCTCTCGCAACCTCTTCTAAACTCACTCTTGTTTTTTTTCTTTTCTAAATGCAATCAGACAGACCTCTGGAAGTGCACAGAGTAAGTCTCTCTTAGGCACAGGCACCGCTGCAGGGCTCTCTGTCATGCCTCTAGAGGGGAGAGCCATTGTTCCATCCCTGAAGGGAATGACTTCCTGAAGGGCATTGGCCCCTATTAGCCTTGGCTGAGAGTGAAACGCAGCAAACGTGCATGCCTCAGAACTGGCAGACACGTTCTCAGCCAGGAGTGCCACCAACCCACACCAGCAGATCTGTGTACCAGAAACACAAAATAACATGAAGGGCCACTGGGGGGCTGGAGCCTGGTTCCATAAGGATGGGACTTCTGGGCAGGTGCCGTTAGACAGCAGCACCTTCTTTTGGCCTCATGTTCCTCAGAAATGAAATGAAGGAGGTGGGCTCGATCTCAGACTCCATCAGAGCACAGCAGCCTGGGGGTGTGGAAGCAGAGCCTCACCCAAGGACCAAGGGGTCTCCACCAGGTGAGATGGGGAGGATGGGAACCCCGTCCCTCCCTGCCAGGGTGCTGCAGGTGAGAACCCCCAGGGAGCCCTCTGCAGAGTCCAGGGCCGGCCAGCAGGGCACTCGCGTGGGCCCTAGGCTGTATTATTTAATATTTTTAAGGTGGTCCCTGGGCCTGGGCTGATCTAAATTGTGGAAAATGTCATCTCCCTCTTATGTAAAATTTCTCCAAAGGAAGTGTTTGTCCACCTGTAAGGCATGGTAAAAAACTAGTACCTATGGCGTTGCCCAGCACAAAACAGGCTGTCTGGGAGTGTTTGCTGAGGCTTCCGGGAAGCAAACACGGAAGGGAAGGGAAGGGAAGGGGAGGAGAGGGGAAGGGAAGGGACGGGAGGGAAGGCGGTGCAGGCTCCTGGAGTCCTCAGTGGTGAGCTCTGGAGTTGCTCTGTTCCCTTTTTAATTTTTGTTTACTTTTTGGCTGTTTTTTCTTTTTCTTTTTTTCAATGTAAAGTGTCTCTGTAAGGCCTGAGAATGAATCTGACTGGATCAGCCCAGAGACCAAGTGAGAGCCCCCAAAACTGGGGCTTACTTTCTTGTTCCGCCCCTCTGGGATATTGGGCAGATCTCCATAGCATCCCTGTCCCCATCTGTAAAGTGACAGGATTGAACTCAGTCCTAAAATGTCCTGGCGTGGTTCTAAGACAGAATCCCCAAAACGCTCTTTTTCAAAGCCTGAAAGGCTTGGGTCAGGCAGGCATCCCGGCAATACCAACACCTACCACGCGAGGGCGCGCTGCCCTTCCGGCGCCTGCAGATGGGATTTTTTTTTTTTTTTTTTTTTTTTTGACCACTTGTTCTGAAGCTGGGCACTGGGCTAAGGACAGGAGCAGCTGGGGTCACCGCAGGGGAGAGCCAGGGGGCCCAGGTTACCAAAGCTTCTGGCCTGAATCTCTTGGCACTGATTACAGTGCCTCATTCGTCTCTGCCCTGCACAGGGTACCATTCACGCCGGGGGTGCGGAAATGAATTAAGTTCAGACTGAATCAGCAGGGATATTTATTGAGGCATTGTCAGGCATCTGCTCTTATTTGGGAACAGGGACAGGCCAGCAGCACAGACAACGCTGTGGATAAGGAGAGTAGAGACTTCCTCTTCCTGCCTCCTGTCTTCTGGAGTTGTGACCGCAGGGTGGCCCAGGTGGATCGGCTTCAGAGGCCAGGAGGCAGCTCTCTGCAGCCGAAGAGCAGGAGCCTCACCCACGGTCTGTGGCTCTGACTAAGCCTGGACTGCCTCTCGGCTGTGCTCCGTGGACTGGCTCCCCAGGGATCCATGTGAGAGACCGGAGTATGATCCTCAGTGCGAGGACAAATAAAAGTAGTGATTATGTCCACCCCATCCTGCCCTCCGTCCAGATCTGTTTTCAACTTGAGGATTCATCTGCCTTGTCCTTGCTAAGACACCTTCAGCCTGTGGTCAGGGGAAGCTGGGAAGAGGTGCTGGGAGACCCAGGACATCGCAAGTTGCTTCTCTGGCTGGCACTCAGAGGTGCGTGAACCCTCTGCCAACCCTAAGAGGGGCAGGAGGGTGCCTGGTGATGGGCCGGAGCTCCAGCCAGCCAGCAGGGGCAGAAGGACTAGGCCTGGTCCAATGGGGGCCCAGGATGTTTTTCTTGGCAAATCCTCATACTTTTCACGTAGCTCTTTCTTCTGAGATAAGTGTGATCATCTCCACTGTATCTCTAAGGAATCAGCTTCCTGAGATGACACAGTAACCAGGAATGACAGAGCTGTTCCCTCCTAGTACTCAAATTGGCTCAAATTTCAACCCCACTCTGAAGCTTTCCTGGCCCTCTCCCCGCATTCCTGCCTGGCATTATCAATTGCTCTACGTCTCTGCCCCTCAGACACTTCGGTGCATCCTATCATAGGGTCTTGTCACTCTGTTGCCATCATTTATTTACATATTTATAGTCCTCCCACTAGACCTTGAGCTCCTCAAGGACAGGGCCTGGTACATAAATACTCATATTTACATCTTTAGTAACCAGTGAAGAACAATAAATATGAAATAGAGGAAGGAATGAGTGAATTAACCTAAGCCTCAAACACTGGTCTTCTTCAGTGCACCACTACTGTCCTTTTTAATCCAAGCACTGGGGCAGATTTCACCAGGGGATGCTGGGAAACCCCACTGTGATCGCGGCCACATCCTAGTCACAGCCTGAAGCCCGCATCCTTGTCTTATCTCTCACAATCCCCTGGTTTCACCGCCTTCTTCCTCTCCTCATTCCAACCACTCCCCGTCCCATTGGGGTACTCATCTCTACAATCCGGTCAGAAGGTGGGGCGAAGCCTTTATTAGCTCTCCTTTATTATAGGGCCTCACAACAGAACTTGTAACCCCTTCATTTTCAGGGGCTTAACACTTACCCCACGGGAGGCGGCAGAGCTAACAGGGAGGCTCGACGTGTTGGGGCTGGAGAAGTGAAAAGTCCCCTGGCCCCTGAGTCTCCACACTGAGCATCTGCCTCTGACAGCATGACATGTGCACCTTCTGTCCCTCCCTCATGGAATCATAGACAGAAAAGGGACCCAGGATGTCACTAAATTGAAGCCATGCCCCAATGAGCCTCATGGCATCCTGGAAAAAGCCCTGAACTAGGAATGAAAATGCCTGCGTCCTTGTCCTATGTCTGCCGTCCTTGACCTCACTGAGCTTTGGCCCTTCCTTGATAATTTGAACACACGTTGTTTGCTCTTTGATTTTGAAAACAAAGATTACATGAAATTCCTATGAACCATACAGTATTGGGACTGTACAGGTGATTCATTTTATTAACTAATAATTGAATCTTCTTGATTCAAATAAGATACAGCAAATGTGATTTGAGATAGTTGTCAACCTGGAAAGAATACATATTGCATTTTAACATCATACAGGTGGAGTAATTTAGTGACTAAAACACACACATGCAGATACATGTATAATTTACACATAGTGTCTCACTATGCAATTATAGCCAGAATGGATTTTTTTTTTTTTTTTTTAGACTGAGTCTCACTCCATCACCCAGGCTGGAGTGCAGTGGTGCAATCT